>NC_000006.12:45514545-45817575 GCF_000001405.40 Homo sapiens | reverse complement strand
TGTCACCTAGGGCCAGTCATGCTCCTCCTGACCTCATCTACCAGTCACAGAAAGTACATTAGATAACCTGAAGTTGTTTTAAATTTTAATAATCTGTAATTCAATGGCCAGTTATGAAAAAAGTATGCCTCTTTTTTTTCTGCTATCCCTTCTTCCCTTCTCTCTCTCCCTCCCTCTTCTCTATACCTCTCTGTCTCCCCCTTTTTCTCCCCACCTCCTCCCCCCGTCACTCTCTCTCCTCCTCTTTTTCTCTCCCCCTCTCTTTCCCCCTCCCTTCTCTCTTTCTCCCCCTCTCTCTCTCCTTCTCTCTCTGTCTCTCTCTCTCTCCCCCCACCTTCCTCTCTTCTCTCTCTCTCTCTCTCTCTCCTGGCAAATGCTTCCCAGCAGCCAAATAGAAGTCATTACCAGAAGCACCGCAGCTAAACAGAGGGAAATGTTTAGGTAAGCATTATAATGGGCATGGAAATAAAGAGACCACAATTCAAAGCATAAGTCATCATAGATGAGAATGCACATGTTTGGGGCTAGTTTTATGAGAAATGAACGGGATGATGCTGCGCTGGCGAATCCCTGGGCTTGTGTTTTCTTAATGCCAGGAGTGATTTATTTTCTGGTAAACAGTTTTGCTCAAGTAGGGCATCCAATTACTACAAACCTTGTTTGGTATAAAAACTAACTGCATAGAAAAATATTGCCTTAGCAAGGTTTAACTGGTTGTTAATCCAAACATGTGGCAGAGCCCGAATTCCACGGCTCAAAATATCCTCCCGATTCTCAGCAGCATCCGAACGTCCAGAGATCATAATCATCACTCTCAATGAGGCGTGACTCAGAGGTAGCGTATGGAAAGAGGACATTTCCAGAAAAACCATGGTATGGAAACCAAGCCTGCTGGGAGAGGCAAGGCCTCCCTTAGGTAAAAGTTCTGCTCTGCTCCTTTGAAGTGTGAGGTTGGGCTGCTTCGGGAGGATGTTAAGAAAGATGAAAAAAACTTCTAAAATCTTCCTTTCCACACAAATCTCTTCACATACAGCTCTGTTCCCTGGGACGTTTCATCACCTTAAGAAATATATTTAAAACAGACATAGTAAGAGTATCCTTTTATAAGTAAAGCAAAGCACCAGACTTTTATTTTTCACACACAAAAAAATTTTAATTGCCTCCTTCAAATTCTCAGGGTTTACCTCTAGCATCCATAAGACTTAATTGTCATACTTGAGATATTTTGCTTTCAAGCAAAAAAAAAAAGCTTGAAAGAACTTAAGAGAGAAAGAAAAAGAAAGGAAAATGAAAGAAAGAGGGGGAGAGAGAGAGGAATAAATCTGCTCATCAAGAAAATTTAGCTTTGTGTCAAAAATATGTCTCAAAATGAGAAAGGGAGGAGATAAGTTTAATATCCAAATCTTCCTGTTTCCCACCTCTTTTTCCGTGGGGTTTCCTGCTGTGCTAATAGTTTTCAGTTGTCTCTAGGAGGTGTCCGGTGACCATGTATTCTGAGTACTGCAAATGCATACTTTGCCTGCATGTCCTGGAGGATTTGTTTAAAATACTTTTCCTATTTCAAGGTGGCAGTTGGCAGTCAGAAAGATCCTAAACGACTTTGGAGCCATTTGAGTCAAAAGGAACGTGAAGTGTCAGCTTACCCCAGCGCACAGACGCAGCAGCCCTGCCACAGGGCAGCAGGCTCCTGGCTCTGCACACTGGATTCCCTGCCACAGGCAATACACTCAACTCAAAGAATCATGGCGCACCAGGAGACTTGGCCTACAGAATCATTGGCTCCGCCATCCCTCTGCTGGCTAGCAGGCAGATAACAAAACCATCCCACCGCATCGATTCATGCAGATCACATTAATTTAAGAATTCCAAAGATGGGGATTTCATAATCCTCCTTGGTTGTTCATTCCAGTCTCGCAACCCTATCAAACAAGACCTTCTTCATCTCTCACTCTAATCTCCCCTGATGCAATTCTAGCCTCTCAGTTTTTTTCTGTCTTCACTAGAAATGAAAAACAGATGGACACCATCTTCTGCATAATAACCCGCCATAAACTGGGAGACCATTATTAAATCAACCGATCAACCGGGTCCTTGTCTTCTCCAGGTTAAACGACGCCAATGCCTTCAGCTTTCCCTCATAGTTGCTGGTTTCTAACTCATTATTTTCATGACTCTGTGTCACTCAAATTGTAGAGGCATGAACTCAAAATTTTATGAGGATTTGACTAATACTAACTAAGTGCGTGTGTGTGTGAGTTTGTGTATGTTCGTGTAGGAGGGAGGTTTAGCTTACAGTTCCAACAAGTTAATTTTTTTAACTTTTTTCTTTGTGAAGGATATCAAAAAGAGTTTATATAACATACAAGCACAGTTTAAAAAAAAAAAACAAAATAAAATGAGAGCGCATGCACCCACCACAAGTTATTTTTTCTATTAAAACTGACCTTGTGTTTGATTTTGCTTTATTTGAGAGGAGGTGGAGGGTGATTATGTTTAAAATCACATTTACATTTGGATTTCACTGATTAGATTTTAAACCAATGATACTTTTTAAACTCTTACACACGTTTGTTATAGCCTCCTTCAAATCTGACAAAATTTAGCTGAGGCATCAAAATTTTATAAGACGGCCCATTCTAAAAAGTCCCAAACTACATCAAAAAGTCTTTAAAAGGGGGAATGTTTCCAAGGAGCCAAGTTTATTAAGAGTCTAGTTCTCTATTATTAAAATATTCATGTCTGAGCTAAAACAATGTTTTCATCAGGAAATGTCAGGAAACAGGCCATTTAATCATGTTTCTCTCAGATGATATTTTGATGGTATCATTCCCATCATTCAAACAAACTGCCAAGAAGCAGATGTGCCTGGGATCCAAGCGAATTAGAGATTCAAACCTCCCTAGAGTTATTGTCATGAATTTTCTACTTCATATCAGTCCAAAAGATACCACTTCATGAAAACATCTGAAATTACTAGCACTAACCAATCACTTTCATTTTGTATGTTTTAGGGAAAAATATGTTAATGAGGTGCCATTATGTCATCGATCCATAGCTTACCATTTATAGTCCATCTGAATCTCTGCTTGAGTCAAAAGCCAAAGAGCTTCCTGGAGATAAAGCCATAATTTTCAGTTCAAAGATTTGCAAGTGCTTGTTCTCAAGAGCCTGATATTCCTACGTCTCTCATCACAGAGGGCCTATCCCATGTCTAATTGCAGAAAAGGCCTCAGTTTACCTTCTTGGCTCTACTTCCAGAGCTCTTGGTTGTCAACTTTTCATGTTGGAGAAAAGAATCGGAAGTAAAAGCTATGCTGCAACCCTCCCTGTGTCTATTTTTTTTTCTCTAGCAGAATGAGGTTATTTCTTGCTTGTTTTTGTTTTGTTTTGATTTTGTTTTTCCATTTAACCTCCCCTGCTTGCTGATTCACTCTTGTGGCTGAGACTGCACCTAATTTGCTTTGTGTTTACAGGTGCTTCTCTCGGGACTTGATCAAGGCTTGTGACTTGGTCACAAACTTATTTTTGTTTCTTTCAAGATTCCAGACCCAAACATTGAAACCGTTTTTGAATACAGACCTCAGTTGGCTTCATCACACATTCCCAGGAAGCTGTGCCCTGTTTGCTTCCTGCATCCAGTCCCTTTATCCAATACCCACCCTTTCCCTTGGCTTCTGGGGAAATATTTTAGAAACCATCTCCATGCTTCCTGAGAATATATAAAGACTATTTGTTTCCATTTTTTTCCTAGCTAATGCCCACATTTTATTCTTATTCCCATTGCTAACATTGAGAAACACTCAGGATTTTCTTTTTTCCCTCCTTGGTAGCAACTTCCCTGTGGACATTTCCTGCAAGAGTCTTGCTCCACCTGTCAGAACCAATGCCAGATTACTTCCCATCTTTATAATGCTGCAGGGTTAGAAACAGGGCTGGACCCACCAGCAGACTCAGTACAAGATCCAAGGTAGGGTTGTGTTGGGCTACCTATCCTGGAAAAGAAAACCTTGTCTATTAGGACCATCTGCCTGACACCATCCTGCAGTTTCAGGCTGGTCTTTTAAGAGGGAAAGGGGTGAAAAAGAGAAAAAATAATATAACAAAACTGATCTCTGCACTACCCATGGAGTCATTAATGTGGTTTCTAGCAAACTGCTCATAAAATTCATAGCAGCAGCTAATTGCTACCATGTTCTTCCTCATATACTCCCGTATTAAGTTTGAAAGAAAGAAAGAAAAGCCCTTTCAAAGCCATATTAATCCATGCACAGCAGTGGAATGCATGATCTAAAGTGAGCCTTTCCTATCACCACAGCTATGTGGGCTAGCTGTCAAATGGTGGATTTCATGTCACTCACAACACAATGAACAATGCCTTTGACTGCCGCTAGCTCTGCCTGGGCCCAGCTCCCTTTACCCAGGCAGCACTAACCAGCATAGAGTGCCGTGTGAGTGCACACATTTGAATGTCAGTGTATCAGCCTCCAAGCCGTCTCCAGGGAATTCAAGCACAATCTTGGCATATATCTTTCTGTTTCTGCCTCCATCCCATATACACATTTGCTCACAAGTCCGCAGCGGAAGAGTTGTGGCCAGCGGCCAAACTTCAGCTGCTGCCTTACCCTCCATGAAGATATTTCACTACATAAAGCCATGCAATATGCTAAGACAAGCCTTGCCTCAAGAAAGCTCTTGTAAGGACTTACAGAACCACAAACTCAACAAGTCTATCATACTTTTTGAAACTCTTTCTAGTAGAAGGCTTCCTTTGGAATTAATTATTCCAAGCATTCATCTGGACTGGGCTGCTCCTCAGCTGGTCTGAGCTTATGTGGATGCATTGGTTGCTTCTGCTCAGCTTCTGTTTTGATTGGACAGGCTATTGATAGCATGCTGATTGGAGGTGGCACCCGTTCCATTTGATCTTTGCATCCCTTCTGATTGTCCAAACCAGTGTCAAACCGATTGTTGCATATTGTTAAAATGTATTAAACGAAATAAGTTTAGTCAAGAAACCAATATGTTCAAACAACATACCAGAATAGCTGGGTAACAACTAGTCAAAGACATACCGGGGTCTGCAATGAGCATTTAATTTCAGAAGGTCCTGCTGCAGTATGAAAATCTGACTCTCTCCCAGGTATATCAGGGATGTCATTGCAGAATCACTACAGATTACTCTTTCTTTTCTCCATCCACCCTGAGGGTTAAGCAGGTAAGCTACAAAAAACTGATGTAGGTCTTCCTAGTGGAGAAAGAGAGCATACAGCATCTTTCTGGAGGTACTATAACTCTTTCTTCTGCCTCAGCCTCATGCCCTGTAGGAACTGAACACCCTTCATTAACACCTCAGACCTACTGTAGCCCTGAGCCAGCTGAAGCCGGGCAGTAAATTAGAAATCCTATCCTAATCAATAGGCATGTTTGGAGTTAGTTTGGATCATCATACAAGCTGATGGCTCATAGGAATTAGGTGATCATTATGTGTCCACCAAGTCACTAAACTTAGCCTCTTCCTCTCAATCATTGCTACTCCATATCCCATTACTTCCATGGGGGTGAATGCCCTGCTCTGAATCACAGCCCACTGACGCAGGTCTAAACCCTAACAGTGTTACTGATACCCTCACCTGTAGAAATAGTTCAAGGCTTCTCTTCTCTAAGTGGCTTCTTCAATCCCCTCACTCTCTGTCTGCTTCCAAGAGGAAAAGTTCTGAAATCATGGAGTCTCAGAACAGAGTCAATCTCAGTCCTAGGCAGTGAAGCTTTGGATGGGAGGAGATTAAATGGGCATGAACCTGGCCAATTTCTCTTTCTCTTGGGTTCTTTTTGTGTGCATCCTCATGTCAGAGTGATATGTCAAAGTGTCCTGACTTTAATCTAGGTCTTGGATTAGAGGAGAAATATGGGGTCCTTACAGTTCATACATGACCCAGCCCACTGCCATAGGGAAGACTATGGGTAATTATGGCCAGAACCTGAGTCAGAAATAGAGCGTCTTCCCCTTGCCCCTGTCCCTTAGGAACCTGTAGCGATGATAAGCAGCTGGTGGAGTGTTAGAAATTCATGATTTTGAAAAACACAACATTCTATCCAGGCCTATTAACATAGCCTAGGTTCAGGAGACTCTTCACCATACGCCTCCCTACTGGCTCGGGTTTTGCTGCTAACAGACAAAAGTGCCTAGACACAGAGGCACCCACCCTCCAGACGAAGAATATGCCTCTGCCCAGATCCTTTTGCTGCGGAGTTTCAGCCACCATGTTGGTATCTTAGGATGTTTTCATCAACACACATTCAATCTCAGTTCAGCCATGTCACTATGACATTTAATCAGCCCTCCTCCTTGGAGGCCAGTCCTAGAGTTGGCTTTCTACATACTGACATTCCCCTCTTTTCTACTGACCTATCTTGGAGTCTTCAGATTGCCTTGCAGCCATGATAATAGAAGTGCTGGGTGTATGGACAAAAGTGGAATTGGCTTGAAGTAATTTGTGAGACCTTTCTATCCATTTGAAACCAAAGAACCACAGAGGAGACAGATAACATAATGTCCCAAGTCTGCTGGAAATGTGTACATTTTGACCAAGACAAATACAAATCTCAAGACATTCCCTTCCTTACCTCAAGGCAATAGTCTTCTGTTTTCAGTCTCCTCCCCAAATGATATTAGAACCACCCACATCAGAAGGTCAGAGAAAGAGGCACAGGGAGGGGTGTATTAGTAGAAGGCATGGGATAAACTTGGCAATATTTGGGTCTTCTTGTGAGTGCTTGATGTCTTGTTAAGCATCGCCATAAGGCCTAGCTGGCTTGATGTTTGGGTTCCATTCCTACCTGCAGGCAAATCCTAGCCACATTGATCCTACTTTTGACTAAGAGAATGACACAAAATATCCTAAGATGTTAAGGGGATAACCCTACTAAAAGACAAGGAAAGCAAAACAGCTGATGCGTTGCTGGATGCAGAAAGTCAGGGGACTAAAATGCAGCCAAATCCTGGAGCAGCTTTGCTTCTACCCCCAGGATGTTTAGTGGGGAGTCCTGAGTATTCCTTCATTCAACAGAAGTCAAGCAACGTCTCTACCTGCTTTAATAAAAATAATCATTCAGTTGAATAAACCCGTATTTTTGCTCAGGAAGCTCTCAGGGGAATATGTAAGAGATAGGTACAAAAGATGAACATTAAATCAAACATGAAAATACAAGTTTGGCTTAACAGGAAAGAGAGTGTCAAGGAGGGCAATATCCTCCCTGACAGGGTGGCCCACCATTCCAGTTTGCTTGGGACTGAGGGGACTCTTGGGGCATGGAACTTTCAATGCTATAATTGGGAGAGTCCGAAAAAAAAAAAAAGGACCGTTGGTCACCCTGATCCTGATCCACACTGAGTGAGGCTAGTGACAATGTAAGAGTTAAAGGAGGGTATATTGTGGTAGGATGGGACCAACTACACAATCTGAGAGGGGTCTGAGGCTGTTGTCGATTCTGTACATTTGGAGGATGACAAAATGAAAGCGGAGCTCTCCAACTCCGGCTTTGCTTCTGTCCTGTCTGGAAAGAACAGTGATATTCAGGCCAACGAGAGCAATATAAAAATTGGTGAAGGATCTCCCAAAGCTCAACAGGGATGTGTAACCAGGATGAGCTGGTCCAGCTGCCCAAAATGAAATCAAGAGTCTTGGCCCAGAAACTTAACCTGAGAGAAATAGCAATAGAACTACCAAACCCTTGTAGACAATCTTCACAAAAGGGGACCTAAACTTGAGTGTGCTTGATGTCTTCCTGGGAAGTTTTTTGGGAATGCAGATTCCAGGGCCCCTCCTTCAGATAGGCTTATTTGATGGGTCCAAAAAAGGGGGTCTGAATTTGTAATAAACGCGCCAGGCGATTCTCTTAAAGGTGGACTTTTAATGGACCACTCTTCGAGAAACACTTGAAGAATATTGATGAAAAACCAATTGGTAAACACCTATTTGTTGGTGGACAAACAGAAAAGACTGGAAATTTAAGAGAGAGAGAGAGAGGAAAAAAAAATATATGTATATATATGTATGTATGTGTGTGTGCCATTTTAATTTTCAAATAAGAAATTTCTAAGATGGATTTCTCAAAATACAACCTACTGAGCTACTTGCCAGTTCCTATCAGATGCAAGGCGTGGCCTCTCGCAGCTAGGACAATACGAATATTAGTGGCAAAGCCTGGTCTGCTGATGCCCACTCTCTCTAAGAGATTTTTCCTCTGAACACACCTAAGCACTATTCTGAGCTATCTGTTTATTTGTTTGAAGTTGATGCCTTTACCCAAAAGAATGAACCTGAAGATAAAAATCAAAGATGCCTTGGCAAACTGAAGCATAATATAGATACACATATCACTTGGGTGTATATGTGGTCATCAGTGGGCTAGACAGCTGCAAGTATGCAAATCAGAGCCCTGGAAGCCACACTGTTAAAAATGCCTCGGCTGGCACCTCCCCACCACTCAGGCAGCCCACATTCTAATAATGGCATTTCCTTCCTATCTGGTTGCTAATTCTCTGAGATGCAAACAAAGAAGAAATGAGAAAAAGAAGTGACCTGCCAACTAGCTCCATAGAAAAATTCCTCCCAGATTTAAGATTTTTATCTCTTGTTAACTTTGGTTTCTGAAATAATAACTAACATGTGCATAGCGCTTTATTCTTTAACAAGGTTCTTTCATGTGTATTATTATCTCATTTTATCCTCCCATCAGTCCCATAAAGTAGATAAGACAAATGGTTTAATGACACTGGGGCCATACAGGCTGAGCTAGAGGCAGAGCTCAGATGATCAGAACTGGGACTCGAACTCAGTGTCCTGATCACAAATCCAAAACCAGTCCTTTGAGCCAGACAATCATCTCTTTAAATCCTTTGTGGAAAAGAAGACAGTGCAAAGTACTTAATAAGCTAATTAGTCCATTAAATAAATGGCTCAGACAGTTGTGGCTGCTCTTCCGATCACCGTTATATTTGTGTTTGCTTTCCCTCAAAATTAACTTCATTATGCCTCTGAGTTGGCGGATGCCAACACATATCCACAGGGAATTACATTTCTGCACTGGAAGGAAGCTCCCTCTTGGATGTTTTGCAAGATTCATCAAGGAACCTGATGGAAATTGAGCCTGTCATTAATGAGACAGGGCAATTTGGCGCAGAGAAAACAAACCCCTAAAATGACTGTGTCAGCAACCTCCTTGCACTCCCCGCTGAAATAGAGCAGGAACCAGTTCCCAGAGGGCAGGGGCCATGTAGTCAAACACTCTGCCATGGTGCCTAGTGCAGTGTCACAGGCAGAGTGGGTGTCCAGAAACATTTGTGGCACGAATGATTCAGGATGACCACACGCTGTGTGAGACAGAAGTGGAGGGAACAAAGCTGAAGAGCAATAAATCAGGGCCTGAGGGTTCTCATCCCAGCTCCAGTCTGACATAGAGCAATTTTCTCTTCTTTCTCATGGGTAAAGCACTCTAGATGAGGACAAACTAACCATCTTATTACTGGAAAATCTATACAAAATCCACCAGAGAAGGTTAGGCACTTAAACCAAAGTGGCTTAACAAGAAAGGGGGAAGTAGCCCAAATTCAAAACTCAGAACACTAACCAGGAGAAACATCAGTTTCATTCGCTTGCCTTTGTAAAATGATCCTCCTTGCTAACCTGAGGTTGACTGTATGCTTAAGGGTTAAATGTATTACCAGCTGGCAAATGACCTTCTTGAGAGAGAAAGGGGAAGCAAGAGAGGTCAATGCCTCAGAAATAACTAGTTTAATAAAAATAATCTCCCCCTCACATTTCTGACACCACCGGGCAGTCACACCATCCTGCTTCAGGTCACCAGACGCAGCTCCGTGAAGTCAGAGGAAATTATAGAAATCCATCATGGCTGAGTTTTCTGACCTGGTTATTACTTGCTGCTTTTTATCTTCCAAACAGACCCTAAATTTAATTGCCTTGTTGTAATGGATTAACCTCTGAGGTCCACAGTAGCATTTATATTGTGTTCAAAGGGAAGGTTGAGGGTTCTGAGCCAGTGTGGGGAGTGTGCTTTTATCAGACCAAAGCTGTCCTTGCTCAGTTCTGAGTAACTCCAGTAAACACTTGTCTGTGAAGGTCACATGAATGTCTAGGCAAAGAGAAACAAAAAGAGACTCTCATTTGATCTGAAGGAATCAATGCACCCTCTCCAAGCTAATTTCAATATGGAGGAGAAGCAAGCAAAGGCCACAGGGACTGTGACTCTGCAAATAAGTACTAAAGGCACCAGTTTTAGAGAAGGGAGAGATGTGGGTCTTAGTCTTTCCTGTGTCATATATCTCTCTACTTCTAGATCATTCTCATCAGAAAACAGCCCCTCCTGTCTCCCATCTACTAAAAGGACCTCTTGACTCATATTCCCATTTCTTTGTTATTCCTTAAAATAAGTTCTTTAAAAATATTAGCTATGCAGGCAATCTGTCACTTCCCTTCACTCTACCTACACTTCTCTTGTCAGAGTCATCCACAACCTTTCATGAAGCCAGATTCCATAGACACATTTTTTTTAATCCGTCTCCATCACCTTTGTAGTAGCATTTGACACAAGACTGATCCCTTCTTCTTGAAACATGATTTCCTCCTAGATTTGGTGTGAAACCCATCCTCTCCTTGTTTTACTTTTCCTTTCTGGCCATTCCTTCCCTAGTTCCATTCCTCTTACTCACCTACCAATCATGTCAGTGTTCTCTCCGGGGCCTTCTTCTTGTTTCTCTCTATCCTCCTTCCCTAGACATTCTCATCTGTTCCTATGGCTCTCAATGCCATCTATAAACTGATGACTCTAAAACATGCATCTCTAGTTTCTAACTTTGTGTTTGAACTTGAGACTAGCATATTCAGTTACTTGTCTGGCATCACTGATGTATCCCAGAGAGATCACAAACATATGCTCAAATCTATTTCTTCAAGTATTCGTCATCCCAGTACATGGCATCACCATCCACCCAGTTGCTCAAGCCAGACCCAACTGAGAGTCACCCTTGAGCCTACCCTTCTCTTACCACCAATCTACTGCCAGTATTGTTGATTCTATCTCCAAAGTACATTTCAAACAAATCTACTTCTCTGCATCTCTATTGACATCATCTAGCTCAAGCTGACAACTTCCTCTCTCAAACCCACAGCCAGTGACCCCGAGTGCAGGCTCACACAGCCTCTGTCAACTCCACCTTACTTGTCTGTTTTCTGTTCCTCAAGTACACCAAGTTCATTCCCACCCCAGGACCTTTGCACTTGCAATTCTCTCTGCTCTGTCTTCTGATCTTCTCATGCCTGGTTCCTTCCTGTCACTCTGATAGTAGCTTAAGTATCACCTGTTTTGAGATCTTCCTTGCCTACTCAATCTAAAAAATTATGAGAGACTTAAGTTCAAATTCTAGCTCCCTACTTTCTAACAGTAAGGAAAAAATAAAGAGTGAGCATAGGAAGCAGGAGAGTGAACAACATGTAACACTAACTGATATGGTTTGGCTCTGTGTCCCCACCCAAATCTCATCTCATAGCTCCCATAATTCCCGCATGTTGTGGAAGAGACTCGGTGGGAGATGATTGAATCATGGGGGGCAGGTCTTTCCCATACTGTTCTCATGATAGTGAATTGGTCTCAAGAGGTTTTTAAAACAGGAGTTTCTCTACGGAAGCTCTCTCTTTGCCTGCTGCCATCCATGTAAGACATGACTTGCTCCTCCTTTCCTTCCACCATGATTGTGAAGCCTCCCTAGCCATGTGGAACTGTAAGTCCAATTAAACCTCTTTCTTTTGTAAATTGCCTAGTCTCAGGTATGTCTTTATCAGCAGTGTGAAAACAGACTAATACATGAACCATGATCTTGGGTTCAAGATCTGGCTCTGACACTACCTGCCTTATGAGTCTTTCCACTATATTGTAGTAGGTAGAAGGAGGCTAGGTAAGATGGATGGGCAACGAGCAAGAGAGAGTTTATGGTGGGATGGCTGTTAGACTTTCTGGCCAATGTGTGAAGGAGGCTTCTGCCAAACAGAAATGACCACAGACAGCAATTATTGGCTGAAAGGGAGCTTTAATAAAATTGATGCATCTTATATATCTCCAAAACAAGCAATAAACTTCGCTCAGTAGGAATATGAGGGATTTTAACTTATGGTCCTTTCCTTTGAGCCCTAAAAATACCATGACAATTAAGAATACATAGATCAAATAATAATCATAACTTGCATTCACTAATGCTCTTATGCTAGCTGGACACCCTACTCTCAATATCCTGTTCAATCCTTCCACAACCCCTTGAGGTAGGTTTTCTGTTACTATTCCCACTTTATAGAATAGAAAACTGAATATTACACTAAAGCTCACACAGGTAGAAAGCTGAGATTTGAACCCAGGTGTGTCTCCTCCCTGGGGCTATAATATTTCCTGTAAAAAAGACATCTTGGACAAGATCTGATTGGGTTCTAACTCAGGAAGTTAAGCAAAGTTCATTATTTTGGGAGAAGTCCTCTTAGAGGAGCTGGAAATCATGTTCAGTCTTAGTGTATGTGTTGGAATAGGAAAGACAAAATCAAAAGAAGAGGGCATGGAGCAGTTATTCCTCTACTGAGTGCACAGCCTATGGACTTGAATAGTAGGAGACACATTTGGAGAGAATAGGAGGCTGCAGTGGCCACAACACAGTGTGCATATCCTGCCTTCCCTCCTTCCTTCATTCAATCATTCATTCCACAAATGTTCATACAATACCTCCTGTGTAGCACAGTCCTGGCAGCTTGGGGAATATGAGGGACAACCAAGGAGACATAGTCCCTGCCCACACATGGCTAGAGCCAAGTGGAAGAAACAGATACTAACAAATAAGCACAGATAAATGCCTTGTTTCTTTGATCTAAGACATTATCAATTGTAAGAAATACAACTTCATCACAGGCACACATAGTTTGTAAGATGCAGCCCAGTTTGGAAGCTTTAAACTATTGGGGAAGAGATGTAGATATAGCATATAATTGCATAATTGTGAGAAGTGCTATGAAGAAAAAGTACAAAGCACTATAGGAGACACTAATGGGGTGTGGTAAGGATTAATTTAGGCTGCAGGAATCATAGAATCCCTCTTGAAGGAAGTGAAGGATGCTGGAAGAGTAAGTTAGGTGAAGAAAGGGGCTATCATATGTGCAATCCCTCAGGCAGGACTCATACTATAGCTGCAAGGACATGAAGGGCCAATGTGGCTCCAGGAGGGCCAGTGTGTGTGTGTGAGTGGGGGCAATGCCACCAGAGTGTAGCCGTGGCCAACAGGTTCAACATGTGGGCTCTTGCATGTTACATTAAAGACTCTGGGTTTTATTCTAAGTCCATGGAGAACCATCAGGGGTTTTTAAGCAGGAGAGTAACATGGTCCAATTCTTGTTTTTAAAGGTCAGTCTGGCTACAATATGAAGAGCAGATTGTGGGAGCAATAGCAAGGAGATTAGTTAAGAGACACTAGCAGTAGTCCAGGAAGAAAGGATGGACCCTTCCTCAGGGTGTGGAGAGAAGCTGATGGATTTGAGACACATTTTGGAGGTGTAATTGAGAATACTTGGTGATATTTGTATACTGAAGGAGGTGTAAGAATTAAGGATAAACTGTCAGGTTTCTGACATGAGAACTTGAGTGAATGGGGATAACCTTTCCTGAGATGAAAGAGAACAAACTTTGGAGGAGAAGCCTACAACTTCTTTTTTGGATGTAAGTTTGGGATGTTTCAGAGAGTCCTAAATTAAGAGTCAATTTGGCACTTAGATGTGAGTCAATTCGGCACTTAGATGTGAGTGTGGAGTGCAGAAGAGAGGTCTGGGTATTTCCATGTCTGCAGTTGGTGTCTTTAGATTGGGAGTTTTCGGCATAAATGATGTTTAAACTCATAAGATTAGAAGAGGTTGTCTAAGGAAAGAATATATTGTGAGAAAAAGACCAGGGTGAAAGCCTAAGGTGCCCCAGCATTTAGAGGTGGTGTGAAAGATGTAAGTCCAACAAAAAGGATGAGCAGAAATGGCCAGAGAGAGCAGGGGAGCCAGGCACCCAAGGTGAAGGCCAAGAGAAGAGACTTTTAAGAAGCAGGGAGTGATCGATTATGTCAAACACTGCAGAGATGGTCAGGAAAGATGTACCCTTTGGATTTTGCACTGGAGAGACAATGTATCACTTTAGCAATAGCAGGTTTTGGCTTGCGGTGAGGAGAATACAGACTGAGATGGGCTAATGAGGAAGCGGAGGCAGACTGTGTAGGCAGTGCTTTCAGGAAGCTTGGCTAATGACGGTATATGGGAGAGGGTGGAAACTAGTGAGGGTGATGAGGTCAAGGGAGGATTTAGTTTGCTTTTGTTTGGAGAGCCATTTGCCCAAGTGGAAAGCTAACACAATGATCCACACAACAGTGATGGGTTGAAGATATGGGAAAGAAATGACAATATTAGAAGAGTAATATTCCTGAGCCCCCAGGGAATGTTGCATCTAGAGCACAATGCAAGCCATATATGTAATTTTAATTATCTAGGTAAATATGTTAGCAAAAGTAAAAACAAAGAAGTGAAATTAATTTCGATAACATATTATGCCCCACACAAAATATTCAAAATATTACCCTTTCAGCATGTAATCAATGTAAGAAATTATGAATGAGATATTTTACATTCATTTTTATCCTATTTTACACTTATAGCATATTTCCACTCAGACTGGATACATTTCAAGTGCGAATAGTCACATGTGGCCGCTGGCTACCATATTGGACAGCCCAGGTCCAGAGCACAGGTAGAGGCATTGACCTCTGATGGAGTAAACAACATTTTCTCCCTTGAAAGATAGAAAGGAAAAGCTGCAGGAAGGTTTGAAGATTTGGTGGTAGGTGAATGAAGGATATTGGGAGGAGTTTTCAAGACCATTTAGTACAACTACCAGGACATTACTTAATCTTTCCATCAATATACTTCTGCTCCTTTGAAATTCCTTTACTTCCATAATACATTGAGAAACCATTGGGCTTCTTGAGTGACAGAAGGTAGGCATATTTTATGCTGGAAAGCCTCCCATAAAATCTTTCAAAAATCCCTTTTTAAGCACCATAAGGGCTATTTTTATACATTGTCTTCTCATAACTTTGGAGAGACAAATCATCCTTCAGTGGCAAAGCAAGTGTAAGTTCTCGGTCCTAAGCCCAGTCTTGCCATTAACACCTCACTGTGCTGGGAAGTTCCCTTCATAGGGATGGATGGTCTGAGCAACAAGCATAAGAAAGATAAAGAGACCCTGCTAGGTTCTAAACGGCCACATGCATCATCAATAATGATCAGAACAACAATGACAATGATACTCACAGGCCCGGCCACATCCTCCTGGTGCTGGCAGTTGATGCCCCCTCAAATCTACGTTTCACTCATCGAAGGATCAGCAAAACCCCAAGTGTGAGTCTGCCTAGGCCTTTTCCTCCTCTCCCTTCAAACCCACATGTATCTTGAGGTAAATCTAATCCACATGTTTCTGATTCATTTACACTTAACTCATCAAAATGTTGTTTTCTAACAGCTATTTGATGGCCAAAAACTCTTTCTTAAAGCTCCTTTCTTACAAATAGGATGTTGTGGTTTGCCAAGAGAAAAAAAATAAAGCTGGGCCCCAAAAGGTTTGAATGTGACTCAAAACTAAGAAATCATGAAGTTTGGACCAAATTTGGCCAGAAGCTTTCTCATTATTCCTCATAACCTTTCTCCCCCAGGTGATTTTTCAACTCTCAGTTCAGTGATAGACAAAGTGACAATGCTTAGGCCAGGCAGGGTGCTGGTCCAGGATTGCATTTGACGCTGGTTGAACGAGAAAATACGATGCATTCGCAAGGGACATTTTTCAGTCAATTCACTTCTCCTCCCTTGAAATTCCCTTTACCTCTGTGGTTTACAGTGGGCCTCTTGTCCACTAAATGGCAGCTCCTTTACTCACCCCAGGGCGCTTTCTGCACACATAAACTGCTCCCCTCGGGTGGGGCTATTCATGGTACTTGGAACCATGCTTCTTTCTTCATTTCCTCTTCTCAATGAAAGCTCTGTGTCAAAGGTTTCAGGAAAACAAAAATCCCAGAGCATGAAGAATTTCATGGCCCTGCAAAGAAACAGAAAATACATTAGGTCAGATGTTAGGCTGATAAACTCATCAACTCCCTTTAACTTAAGACTTTAATTAAAATGACCCCTGTAAGGGGGATTAAAAATAAACACTCATTTATGGTTTCTCTCTGAAATCCTGTAAAATCGACATGAAAACACTACTTCTGGTTTATTGTAGCTTCCTAAGACACCCTGGCCAGACGGATTTTATTCCTGCCATTTGGAATTAAGACAAATCTTCAGCAGCCCTCACAGGCATAGATACTCTGATCTTCCTCCATGTTTGTTTCTCTTTGGGCAGCTTCCAGACACGGGCCATTGGACGCATGTTACGCTAGCAAATGAGTTTATGAGGTCTCTCTGCTGTAGGAGCAAACTGTGTAGTCTGGCAGTAGTAACTAGGACACAATAAATGGCCAAAAAGTATGTGTTGAATTAATCTGTATCAACAAATCTCAGTGGGTCTATGGATCTAGAGGAATAGAGAAGAACCATATTCATAGTTTGCAAAGCAAGAGAAGAAATGAAAAGTGTGGTGGAATGAGGAGAAATGCAGAGAGAAGGTACCTAGTAAAGTCATTTTGCAAACAACTCCAACCATTGCCTCTCTTTCCAGCAAGCAATGAATGACAGTTTCTAGAAAGCTTTACCAAGGTGACAATGGATAAGACAGGATAAGACAGATTTTGTGACATATACCAATCTAGAGCTATTTTGTTATATCTTCCTGGAGCAATGGCAGAAGCCCACAGTTTGGTGTATCTGAAATTTCCACTGGGAAGACAATAGGATAATGGAAGAAATAAGGCACAATCTTTGGACTGGGAAGGAAGATTTTCCTGTTTCTCTCAGGCCAGTAGTTCACTGGGTCCAGACTCTAAGATACAGATACCCTGGATCAATTCCAGCAGTGAGGATGAGCTGTCCCTGGGAAGGTGGCAGGAGCCAGCAGCAACGGCAATGTAGAGAGATGGCCAGTTTCTGGGCAGCCAGGATGTAGGGCAGCAGCTGTGATGCCCTACAAACTCAAGCAGTGAGGCCCAGTACCAGTACCAGTACCAATCATCTGGTGTCCCAGTGCCAGTAGGAAGGTCAAGAGCAATCAGCCCTGCCTGTAAACTTGAGGTGAGCAGCACCTCACCCTGAGGCTGGAGTCAAGTCATCACCAGCCAATACCCACATGAGACAGCAGAGAGGCAATATCAGATTATTCCACGCTCAGCCAGAAGCAAGATCAGAAGATGGAACCTGACGGTTTGTTCCAATCACAACCTTCTGCAAAACTCTCAGAGCATCTGAGTGACATTTTGGAGATGGTTCTGTCCAGAAAGTCTGCAGGCATGAACTCATGTTCTCACAATCTTGGACTTTAAGAAAGCATAACTTGGTTCTTCAGAAAGCCTTGGAACATATATAGGTGACATGAATAATGCCATCCTTAGGAGCCCCAGCCAGCTATTTAGTTCCCTTATCTAAGACTAGCACTTTAGGATTCCCCCACATTTGACACCACCTTTCTGTCATCTTCTGCCATCACATAGAACCTTTCCTGATATAAAAGGATCAGAAATGAAGGTTAATATGTATTTTTTTTAATGTAAAGAAGAAGGCGGCCGGGCGCAATGGCTCACGCCTGTAATCCCAGAACTTGGGGAGGCCGAGACGGGTGGATCACGAGGTCAGGAGATCAAGACCATCCTGGCTAACACAGTGAAACCCCGTCTCTACTAAAAACACAAAAAAATTAGCCGGGCGTGGTGGCGGGCGCCTGTAGTCCCAGCTACTCAGGAGGCTGAGGCAGGAGAATGGCGTGAACGCGGGAGGCAGAGCTTACAGTGAGCCGAGTTCGCGCCACCTCACTCCAGCCTGGGTGACAGAGCGAGACTCTGTCTCAAAAAAAAAGAAGGCAAAGCTTGTGTACCCTGAGTTATACTCCTCGATATCCACAGGTTTTCCAACCTGGTGAGGTATCGACCCTTCCTTGAATTAACTCCTATTCTACTTTCAAGAGGATTACAGCTATCACACTTGGGGCCTCCCTTTGGGATGTTCCTCACATGTAACTGGTAGGCCCCTGGCCCCCTATTTTCTGTCCGCTCTTCATGAAGAGTGGTTGAGCTCCCCAACCTCTTCCTGTACTCTTTGGGATAGGGAAGCTTCCCACATCTCATTCAACAACATGTTAAAAATATTGCTTGCTGCTCACCAACTAATGGATATGACAGAAAAAAATAATCTATCATTTGTCATTTCTGCTCCCACCATGTCTCCTGAAAGGAGTGAATTCTGGAAACTAGAAGATCTTTTTAAGAAGCTGAGCCCCGCATTATGGTTCTCAAAATAATGGGCTTGCACATGTTGATGGCAATGCGATGAAAGATGTTTTCCAAAGCCTTTCACCAGGACTTACAATATGAGATACATTTTGCACTATAGTCCCCCACCAACACACACCATTTTAATTTCATTTTTTAAAATTTATTTCATTTTTTAGAAATGACAGTGTCACCCAATAAATTGATTTCACAACTCACTATTGGTTTATGATCCAGTTTGGAAAATACGGAAGTAGATTTGGGCAGGGGTCTGTGTGTGTGTGTGCATGTGTGTGTGTGTGTGAGAGAGAGAGAGAGAGAGAGATGGGAGAAAGAGACACAGAAGTGGGTCGGGAAGGTTAGGAGAAAGGAAGGAAAGGTCTATAGCCTAAGGGTAACTTTGGAGTAGATGGTACATGTTTTTAATGAGGATTTTTATTAGTCTCCCCTCTTGATTTCCAGTAAAACCTACATTCCTCAGTGATGCTCCATGGGGTGGATTAGCCTGGGGGACAGGGTGTATAACAAAGAGCTATGCCTGATTCAAGGTTGGCAGGGAATGAAACCAGAGGCTGCCCAGGAGAGCAGAAGTGTGTGGATTGTGTTTGTCAAATGGCCAACTCTCCAAATTTCACAGAATTCCATGCACTGGGAAGTCAGCAGAATTTAGAGAATGGCAGGTGAGTGTGATGGAAAGAGGGAAGGCTGGGAAGCCACGAGGACTGGATCTTAATCTAGGGTGGCCTCTAAGAGGTCACTTCGCCATGTGGGCCTCATCATCACCTAGAAAAATGGAAGAATTTTAAGATTTGTAAGATCCTGTCTGCCTCTAACTTTCAATGATTCCTACATTGTGTTCTTTATCCTTAAGAGCTCACTTCGGCAGCACATACACCTTATCCTTTAGTTGTTTACAGTCATTGAGATATCCTTCTTATGGACCAAATAAAATGTCATTGTTTATCTCCTTTGAATTTTTTTTTATTATACTTTAAGTTCTAGGGTACATATGCACAATGTATCTCCTTTGAATTTTATGCCAAATTAAGGCTCAGTCTTTGAGACATCTCCTCTGACACTTCCATACATGATGTGCTTGCCCCCTTGCCACAGATACACATACCCTCATGTACATGCATGTGAACACACAAACACAGACTGTAGATGTACTGGGTATTTGGCTGGGGGGTACTGTGGGTGCACTGGTCATCTAGTTGTGGGGACTATGGATGAACTGGTCATCTAGTAGGGGAGACTGTGGATGCACTAGTGATCTGGTTGGGGGGACTGTGGATGCACTGGTCATCTGGCTTGGGGGACTGTGGATGCACTGGTCATTTGGCAGAGGGGACTGTGGATGCACTGGTCATCTGGCTGGGGAGACTGTGGATGCACTGGTCATCTGGCTGGGGAGACTGTGGATGCACTGGTCATCTGGCTGGGGGGGCTTTGGATGCACTGGCCATGTAGTTGATGGGACTGTGGATGAAGTGGTCATCTGATTGGGGAACTGTGGATGCACTGGTCATCTGGTTTGTGGTACTGTGGATTCACTGGTCATCTGGTTGGAGAGACTGTGAATGCACTGGTCATCTGGTTGAGGGGAGTGTGGATGCACTGGTCATCTGGTTTGTCCCTCCATGTCCCTCTCCACCTGATCTCTGCCCTGAGGCTGATGTGAGTGTATACCCCACCAGTAGTCTCCTGGATCTTCTACTGCCCACTTGGTTAGTGAAGAGCCCTGATGGAGTTAGGAGAAAAAAAGAAGGATGAATTCTGGGTATTTATTCTAGCTAGGTATCCTGGAAATTTATTCCCCCACTTCCCTCCCTGTGAGGCTGCCCTGAGCTGCCCTGAGCTGCCCTGTCCCTCACTCTTCTTCTCAGAACTCTCTTCCTTCTGGTTCTGGCAAGGTCTTCTCCTTGCCCCTCCCTCTCCTGTCAGCCTAGCAGTGGCAATGACCCTGTTGCTTCCAGCCCTTGTTCCTGCCCCCTCCCTTGTGGCTCCTCTGCATGCCCCCTGTACCTGTATAACAAATAAGCTCTCACAGAATTTGGACAGTTCTAACTGGAGCACACCATCTGTCCCTATTGACACCTTATACAGTGTAAGAGTCATAAAAGATCTCTACACTTCATCCTTGGAAGCTGGTGACAAAAAGAAGTTAATGAGATTTTAGTTGCTTTAGAAGCCAATAGTTACAAATTTTAAAAAATACATGTTTTATGAAAGGTAAAATTTTTCTGTTTTTTAATAATATTAATAAATATGGATTAGGAAAATTAAATAAAGCTAAAATTGGTGATAAAGGTATTAGAGAAAATATCAGTTCTTGAAATGGCACAAAAGCTTGAATCACAAATTTATCAATAAACTCATGAATTTTGATAAATGCTTGTATCCCTTATGGTCATATGAGTCACATAGTCAGGGCACTATGTTGAGCCTCTTCTCTGTTAAAAATATACTGTGTAGATATTATATATACATACATATATTACATATGTGCACACATAAAAGCCCACCCACAATGAGGAAATATAGTGATTTATGCTATATATCTGTTTACATGATATATAGTTTTATTTGGCTAAGAGTATTAAACAAGGAACAAGTATTGAGCATTTCATTGATTACGGGCATACGTAATTTAAATCATATGTTGGGATAGTGATGATTCCATAGTTTATGTCTCAAAAGTTGTGTGACTATCTTGAATATCTTAGGGGAAAAAAGGATCTTAAGCTAAGTTCATAAAAAAATACAGAAAACTCTGAATACTGAATGTGCAGCTGGATTATGAAAAGCATATGGCCAGGGCCCTCTGTTCACCTCTCCATTTCTTAAAAGAATTATTCACAGCACTTAGCTCAGAGTTGTGCACCTAATAATAGATAGCTGAAGTATGGACCCGACTGTTGATCAAGTTACATTAAGCCAAGTTAAGACCTTACTATAATTCTTTCATGTACACACACACACACACACACACACACAATCTGCAGTCAGATTAATGCTTCATTTATCTGACATTATTTTTGTACATTTCCCAAGTAAATAAAGCTCATTCATTTAAAGTTACATTTCTTTAATTGGGATCACAAAACTTTCTAAAAGAAAATACACACTACTCTACGTTCTTAAACAGAAAATTCTCAACATGGTATAGACTGTAAACAGTGACTCATGATGGTTCCAATTATGAGCATCAGTCATTTTACTTGGCCCTCACATTCTGTTGAGAATCTTTTAGCGATCATCAGGCTATTTATTATTTTAAAGCTGCTTTCTAAATAGCGGAGGCAGTGAGGCCTCTCCCCTTCCTAACAGCACCTTACATCTGCTGACAGCTTTTGTCCCCAGAAAAAGCCTGACATTTGGTCTCTGAAGAAAATATGTTTTCTGCCTGGGAAGGATCCAGGTATAGGATTGAGCCTGAGTATTGAAACAAATCTTTTGGTAACTGTAGCCATCACCCTGATTAGATTCTTAGGGAACCAAAAAGGCAGCTCCACCCAGGAGTAAAATACACTGAAGGGCAATACTCCCAGACTACAGCCCTCCTTCTTTTGTCCCTCTAGGGTTCTCCTGGCTGCTCCATGCCCTTCTACCCTATAGAGAGGCCCGTGCCCACTTAATCAGAGCACACAGCCTGCTCCCCTATTTATGGGAGAGGTTTGTTGGGTGAACAGCCTTGTCCTACAAAAAAACAAGGGAACCTTATGACCAAAGGTCATCTCATGTTGAAGAAAAGCTGATTCCATAAAAGGATTGGATGAATACAGACATCAGTGGTAATTCAGAGAATAGAAATGGTATTTTTAAAAAGTATAATTAGTATCCACAAAGAGTTTTAAGAAGATAATGCATTCAGAAACCTAGGACAGGCTATACAAAAAAACAGAAGCATTCAAAGAACAAGAAAGAATACTTGGAAACTTTAAAAATAACAATTTTCAAAATAAAACAGCCATATCAACAATAAAACAAAAGTGCCTAAAGATGAGGGTGATGTTCTGGAATCTACAACGAAGCAAACCACTCATAATGCAGAGCAATAAGACAATGAAATGGAAAGTGTAATAAGAAAGTTAGGAGACAAAGAGGAGAAATCTACCAGATCCAGTATATGTCCAATAAAAGTTTTAGAAGGCAAGAACAGAGACAAGGGAGGGGAGAAAACAATCAAAGAAAGGAGGAATAAACTTTCCCTAGGTTGGGGAGCAATAAGAATCTGCAGATTGGAAGGGGTTCTTAAGATCTCAACAAAATGCCGGAAAAGGTTCCACCCTGGGGATAGGAAATATTACAGTATTTTAAAAAATAAAAAGAAAACTTCAAAAGTTTCTAAGAGAAAAAGTTTTTAGAAGGGAACTTGAATCACACTAACATCAGACTACTTGTTGCTAAAACAGTAGATGCTACTTGTTGCTAACAGTAGATGCTAGAAGTCAGTTAAGTAATGCAAATATACACAATTGGAGAGAAGCAAGGGACCCAGAAAATGCAGCTGTGTATCATGCAAGAAAGCTGGAGGAAGACACTGCTAGTTATTTGCCCAATATAACTATTACCTTCTTTTCCTAACAGAAACCCGGTTTCTTGGGGCAGGGCGGTGGGTAACCAATGTACCCAGCTAGAATTATTTACATCACCAGACTCTCTTGAAGCTAAGAGTGGCCAGATAACCCAGTTGTGGCCAGTAAGTGTAAGCAGAAGTTGAGTTTGAATTGAAACTTTCCGGATGCCTTTTTCAAAAAAACAAACTTACCACTCTGTTTCATACCTTTGCCCTTTTCCCACCTCTGTTTTAGAATGTGGACTTGATGTCTAGAGGCACATGCTATCTTGTGAGTAAAAGGACCGAAGCCTACGTTGTAAGGAAGCTAATAAAAAAGGATGGAGAGAGCCTGGATCCCTGATGAAAAGCAAAATCATAAAAGTATTAAAAGAAAGGTGGGGAGATTTTAAAAATAATGTTAGAGGAAAAAAAAACTAATAAGTATGACACAAAATTCAGAAGCCATAAAAAGATTTAAGGAAAATTTTAAATTTCTGTATCAGAGAAAATAACCCCACAAAAAGTCAAATAATTACTGATGAAATGAAAGAACATAATTGTAACTCATATCATAAAAAGATAATTTCCTCAACATATAGTGAAATTCCTAAGAACTGCTACAGAAAAAAAAGGACTTAATTGGAAAAATAGGCTCAGTGGCTCACGCCTCTAATCCCAGCACTCACTTGAGCCCAGGAGTTTGAAACCAGCCTAGGTAACATAGCGACACCCTGTCTCTACAAAAAAAAACAACAAAAAAGACAAATAGGCAAAAGAGAAGAGCATAAGAATCATTCTTTGCCTACCCCTAGATCCTGAAGATTTGCTTCTGTGTTTTATAAAAGTTTTATAATTTTATGTCTTATATTTAAGGCCACTAGCCATTTTGAGTTACTTTTTGTGTGAGATATGAGACTCAGATCAAGGTTCTTTTTTATGGGGGAGGTGTTGTGGGTGCCCAATTGTTCCAGCACCATTTATTGAAAAGGCTATCCTTCCTCCAGGAAATTGCTTTTGCACTTTCATCAGAAATCTGTTAGGCATATTTGTGTGAGTCTATTTCTGGGTTCTCTAATTATATTCTGCTGATGTATGTGTTTATCATGCCATCAATACCACAAAGTCTGGATTACTGTAACTATAAAATAAATCTTTAAATCAGGTAGATTGATTCTTCGCCACTTATTCTTTTTTATTTTTTTAAGACAGAGTCTCGCTCTGTTGCCCAGGCTGGAGTGCAGTGGCGCAGTCTTGGCTCACTTCAACCTTCGCCTCCAGGGTTCACGTGATTCTCCTGCCTCAGCCTCCCGAGTAGTTAAGATTACAGGCACCCACCACCATGCCCAGCGAATTTTTAATGTTTTTAGTAGAGATGGGGTTTCACTATATGTTGGCCAGCTGGTCTCTAACTCCTGGCCTCGTGATCCACCCGCCTCAGCCTCCCAAAGTGCTGGGATTACAGGCGTGACCACTGTGCCTGGCCCTTCACCACTTATTCTCATTTTTCAAAATTGTCTTAGTATTCTAGTGGGGTTTTTTGCCTTTCCATATATATTTTAGAATAATTTTGTTTATATTTACAATGAATATCTTACTTGGATGTGGTAAGGGATTGAGCTAATCTTGTATATCAATTTGGGGAGGACTGACATCTTTGCTATTGTACTATTCATGAACACAGTATGTTTCTCCATTCATTTAGATTGTCTTTAATTTCTTTCATTACCATTTTATACTTTTCAACATACAACTCCTGAGCATGTTTTGTTAGGTTTCCATGTAAGTATTTTATCTAGTTTGAGCACTTATAAATAGTATTGCATTCTGCTGTCCATGTGCTGTTTGCAAGTATATAGAAATACAACTGAGTTTTATATGCTTATCTTACATTTTGTAATCTTGCTGAAATCATTTATTAATTCTAGGAGGTTTTGCTTATAGATTCCTTAGGATTTTCTACATAAACAATCATATCATCTACAAATAGGAAGAGTGTTATTACTTCTTTTCTAATCTATAAGGCCTAATTTTGTTTTTCTGCCTTATTACACTGGCTAGATCCTTCAGCATCATATTGAATAAGAGAGGTAAGAGTAGGCATCCTTGCCTGGTTCCCAATTGTAGGAGGAAAGTATTCAATCTACTACCTTTAAGTATAATGGCAGACATAGGTTTTTGCAGATCATCTTTATTAAGTTAGGGAAGTTGACTGTATCCCTATTTTTCTAAGAGTTTTTCATGAATGGGTGCTGAATTATGTCAAATGCTTTTTCTGGATAATTGATATGATCCTATGATTTTTTTTCCTTTAACCTGTTTATATAATAAATTACACTGATTAATTTTCAAATATTGAAACAGCCTTGCATCCCTAGAAGATACAAAAATCAAGGATTATTCATGTAAACTGGTTGTGGTATCTTTGCACCATCCTTTCTCTGACCTCACCACACTTCCTCATGGGCTGGAGAGGTTGGCAACGCTAGCTGTGTGGACACTAATTCAGGCAAGGACTGCTAGGCCATGGAGCTGGCATGCGTTGTGGGGCAGCCAGTGTTCCAAGCAAGGAAGTGCCATGGATGCATCAGGCTCAGGGGAGAAGTGAGATGTGCCCTCCATGCCAAGCTTGCTGCCTGCAGTGCCCATTGAGGCACCAGCCTTCAGTTGGCCAACAATTCCTACTAGAGAACAATGTGGTTGGTTAATTCTGACTAACTATGCCTACAACCATGCAAAGCAGGAAGGAAGAATGTATCCAGCTATTATTGGAATGTAGTACTCATGCATGGAAACTCTCATGTTTGCCTACTTTGCCTTGCTACACTCTGAGAACTCATTCTGCATTTTTATTTGTGTGGAATAAATTCTCTTCAACAAATCCCAGACTTTGCCACATTTATCCAGTGCTAAGTCATAAAAATACCCACAGACCTTGAATATTGCTAACAAGTTAGGATAATGTGTCTGTGGGAGATGAAACTTGGAAGTAGTTCCTTCTAGCCCAAATTCTATATAACACTTAAGCAGCCTGGAAAAAACAGGCAATATCCGGTGTGCAAAAGATCCTTCTCTGAATCTAGGACCTCTAGAGAAGCCAGAAAACAGAGGCAAATCTCCATTCAGAAGCAGAGGCCATCTGTAAATCTAATTCTCTCATATTAGTCATCAAGAAAGGAATTCATACATGCCGAAGAAAGTGGAAAAACATTGTTCAGCATTTTAAACTGAAAGAGCTCTGTTTTCTATGTTTTTCCCCTAATTAGTGTTCCTTAAACTTTTTTCATTATGTCTCACTCTAAAGAGCCTTTTTAGACACATATTTCCTAAGTGTCTCCCTGTCTTCCCCATGAAATTTGAGTATCATAGGTATACTGTAGATATTGTTGGGTAAAGTTGAGCTTTGAAGGGCCACAAACCAGTGTGATATCTAATTCCCTCCCCAGTCAATCTTAGCCCTTTAGGAGCAATATTGCCCCTGTTGAGAATGCATGTCCTAAACTAATGAGTGCCAAATTCTTCACTAGAGCAGAAGAAGGGAATAGTCTAAAACCACCTCTAAGGTTGCACCAATATCCTGTCCTCAGAATTACAACGACAATAATTCTCCTTTATCTGAGTGCAACTATTAGTATGCTTTAGTCCAGACCCAAGTAAAAAGGGATTTATTTCTATTAAAGAAATGTCAGGAAAGCTGGTGTCAGGAAGTCTTAAAAGGCCTGGCAAGTCATAATCAGGCAGCTACCTTCCCATGTTCTGTCTCTTCTGGGAACATGAGTTATCTTCTAAGTATGTTCCAGGTGAAGACTCTCACCTGTTCCTGCCCAGGGCTGTGCACCTCCTGCACAGGTACAAATGCCCGAGTATCTCAATCACACAATCTTCCAATGTTCCTTTGCTGTTAGATAGGAGTTATATGGAGCCATTTGTTGCAATATTTGATGGCCGGACTCTGATGCCATAGTTAAGTGGACCAGCTTAATTTAAAACATTGTAAAAATCTTGCAATTATGTTTTGGGTTCAGAGTCTAACAGACTTTTGGTACCTGAACCATGCCACATGTATCGGGGGTGGCAACTGTTGTATATTAAAGTTGTGCATCTGATTTTACTCACATTAGCGGCTTCTGTGACACATTTCCACTGGAAGTGGGGAGCAGTCACCATGGTGTCAGGTGGCAGGGAAACTGAAGCTTCACGGTGGCAGCTCCGTGTACTGGGAGCTAGGATTTTCAGGAAAGACAGTTGCTGAGTTAGAGGAAGCCTCTAACATTCTCTCCACAAACTGATTTAATGAGGAATCTTGATTCATTAGATAATAAACATAAAACGGATTCTTTTATCGAGTGTCTGTTACCAACTGGACTCTGTCGAACTACCCTTTTCCCCTGGTGGGGACACTCTTAGCAACACCCAAAAGGGCAGCATGCCTTTCCTGTCTCGTTTCAGTTCTCTAAGAGTCAGTGCTGTCAATATTAAATCTCCAATTCCATATTCAAGGGGTAGTGCTTCTCCTTCCACCTTCTCAGCCTCAAGGAAGACTATGCATGGAGCTTGACTGGATTGGCCAGGGGTGAACAGTGAGACACAGTCTCTCTCACATGCTTCCTTCCTCCTGTTCTCTCCTCTTGTGTTGGAATGGAGAGCAGAGAAAGAGAAGGTGTGTATCTAGTATGTGAATGTCACAGTGAGCTTTCAGACATCACCTTGGTTGGTAGTAACTGCTGACTTCGTTCATTATCTATGAACTCAACCTGGTCAAGTGGTAGCTCCAACAGCCATGCTGACAAAAAACTCTTCTAGGCATAGGTGGTCTCCTGGAGACTAGGCCACATCTTTCACTTGTCCTCCAGCCAATGGGTTCATCCACTTGCTCTGATGCCCCGAACTCCTTTGGTCTCTGGCAAGACTGTTGAACCAAGTCCCAGTTACCCTTCCTAACCCCAAATCTGGGGCCCATGATGTGTACAGGATCTGTTTTCCATCCTCTCAGGAACCAGGAACCCCAGAGGGACAGTCTTTGTTGCTGCCTGGTAGCACACCATGCCATCTCTTTCTGCTGCTGTAGTAGCCCAGATATGGGCTCTCAAGCCTGGTGACTGGATGCCACCACCAGGAAATGAAAAGCACAACTCCTTCTGCAGTTGGATTTACTTTCAAGAGTCTGCATAAAAATGTATGAGTGGTGCTCCATCCTTTGACTTCAAAGAGAGCAGAAGCCCCTGGGAAGGGGAAGGGAGAATGGTGTGGGGGGCCACATAACACTCCCTTATATAGGCAGTTTTATTCCACTCCTAGTTGGCCTTTGATAGCTATGGGAAGAAGGGATGGGGAATAATAAAAGCCATGCTTCTCAGCAGCCCAGTGGTGATGTCTGACCCATTAATGACAAGAAAACAGGACCTCCTTCTCCCTGTTGTCTCCCTTCCAAAGCCTTTGACTCCTTTACCCCCATAATAATGACATGCAAATATGCCTTTAGGTTGTTGTCATAACAGATCTGGCCACTGCTCCACCTGACCTCAACTCCATTGTTCAAATCTGCTTGGCTTGACCTTAGTGACTCAGTCCAAATTGTTGAGAGAGGGACTCCAATTGGCTCTGCTTTGGACAGAGGTTCATGAGGGATTCAACCCGATGTGGACATAAAAGCAGATCACCAGGGAAGAACATGTCTTCCTAGGTCTATTTATTCATCAAGGCTTATGGCTGGGGTGACTGTATCATAATATCAATGAAACTTAGGCATTTTAGAGAGTGAAAGGGACACTCTTCCCCAAGGCCAACAGGCATAAGCTGGGACTTTCCTGAATAAACCAGAATGGATGTATGCCCTACACAAAGGAACTTCCAAAGAAGGAAGCGTAGCTAGACAAGTACACCAGGTACATTTGTGCCACAGAAAAACACATTCAGCCAGCAGCAGAGTGTGAGACCATTGTTTTGTTATCATTATTGTGTTGTAAATGGGTTCATATTTGATGATTTTCTATAAAAATATGATTTATATTGCTAGAGAAATAGAAAAGACGTATAAAGATTAAAAGTATCACCATCTCCCCATTGCTCTTCCCATTTTAAAACTATACTTTTTATTTCTTTAAACTGTCATACTGTAGTAAAATATGTAAATACATAGTGTATCTTATTGTTGAGCCTTGTACTTATGAGTGTTCAAGTTGCTTTATCTTTTTTCTTTATATGACTGCTATTTTAATTACAATATTGGCTGAGTTATGGTGATTTCTCTGGAAGGAAATCCGCACTCCCACCTTGTTGTGTGGGAGAAGCTCTAATGCCAGGCATTTCCCCTCTCAGGGTGGCAGCCACCTGAATCTCAGACATAAAGCCTCAGAATATTTAACTTGGCTTGCAAGAGTCTCCTTGCAAACTCAAACTTAATGAGGACAGGAAAATTATTACAGAGGTGTTCTTGATGGCGTTCAGAGTAAGGGCACATCTGCCATTGGTCAGTGACAACAGGGCACACCCCTCTATGTGTCTCTGCCAACCTCAGGCTCCCGGAATTTCCCTGAGGTCTTGTTGGTCAAAAACCCAATAAACAGTCCAGGTTGTTTATTGGAGAGGGGCTCTGCCTCTCACCCACCATTCACCATTGCCCTGGGTGGCCTGGCCACCCTTGCTTTCAGGTTGGGAAAATGGCAAATTCAGGTTTATGCGATGCACTAAGTTGTCACCTGTAAGAAAACAGAGAGAGAGAGAGAGAGCCTCAAGAAATCAGTTCATCTGAGCATGGAAAGATGAATGCATTTAGATTACAAGGACCATAAATGGATTATAGGTTTTGTTTTGTTTTTAAGTTTTCAGAATGTTTTCATGATAGTTTAAGCCCATACAAATATCATTCTTTAGACCACAGATTGGCAAAGTATGACCTGTGGGCCACATCTGGCCAGCGGCCTGTTTTTGTAAATAAAGCTTTATTGGAACACAGCCACACTCGCTTGTGTACATACTGTCTGTAGCTGCTTTTGTGCCACAAGGCAGAGTTGAGTAGTTGCAACAGAGAACATATGTGGTCCACAAAGCCTAAAATATCTGCCATCCGGCCTTTTACAAAAAAATTTGCCAACTCCCTTTTTAGACCAACATTGACACAATCTCATTTTCCTCACTAATTTAACAGGAGGAAGTTTATATATTAATGCAAAAATAGAACACATGGCCCTTCCTCAAAATGTACCCCCTCTCATATCTTATAAGCATGTCACTGCTTTTCTATACAAGAAGCATTTTTTAGAGTAGCTGTAAAGAACAGAGAATTTGAGTCCTGACTCCATGCTCTCCAGCTGTGTGACTTTGGGCCAGTCCTTCAGTCTCTCATGCCTCAGTTTTTCTCATCTGTATAGGGGGATTGTGATCATACCTAGTTCATCAGGTTGTAATGAAGATTAAATGAATCGATACACGTAAAGAGTCGAGAACAGTCCCTTCGCATAGTGTGGCCTCAATGAGCATTGGCTTCTAATTATTTGCTTCGTGTGGTGTAGCCATTCCTCTACACTTGACGTCCAGTGAAACACACATGTATCAGAAAAGGGGCAAGAAGGAGAACATGGAAAAAGAGAATAGAAATCCATTTTGCAATTTAGCAAGATCTAAGATCTACCTAGCCCAGTCAGCCTTTGCTTCCTTCTCAGAGCTGTTTCCCCAGCTTACTACACTGATTTTTATTTATTTTTCCTAAAAACCATAAAATTTCTGAACTGGATGCATTAGAACACGGCCTGCAGAATGCCTCCTGGAACGTCTGAACTAACAGCTGGAGAGAATGACAATTCTTAGTTGCGCTGGAATCTGTTGAATTCACGATTCCCCCAGATCCAGTTATTTCTATTCACTCTCAGGCTTCAGTGAGCTCATTGTTCCTTGGATGGAATCACCAGCTTGGGCTCAGCACCCAGCCCTTTTCAAAGTGCTTAATAAATTAGTGGCTCTCCACATGTACTTACCCATGTGGCACGAAGTGAGACACACAAGGTTAAAAAAAAAGGCTGATCTGGATTTGAAAACAGGAAGACTAATCAGGCCTTTGCTCAAAGGAGGTCAGAATAATTTGCCCCAAGCACCCAGCACTGCGTTGTCCCTTGACAGGGCTGTTGAATCAATTAGCCTAATTAAATGAGGTGGAAAATTACTCCGGCAAATAAGTTGCCATGAAAGGTAAGTCTTAATTTGGCCTAAGGGAAAGCAAACAGCTCTCCGGTGTCTTGCCAAAGTCTATGAATGGGGAATAATTGGCAATTTATGTGTATGTGTTTTTAAGGCCGTGGGACAAATATATTTTTGTTGACAAGCAGCTGAAGCTTTCCCTGGTATAAAGACAGGGTTACTAATTAAGGGATAGTATAATTATGTGTGTTGGCAGAAATGTCACATATGTACCATGGCTGCAAACATCGGGGGCCTGCGACCCAGCTCATCTCAGGGGGTTCAGGCCAAGACGGACCTCTGGGGCAGCACCTCACATCAGGCCAGTCAGTCATTGCTTCCTCCTCGGTGATGTTTCCCCAGCTCGCTACACTGATGAGGACTCCATCACAAGCCACTGGGAAAGACAGGCTATGAAGTTTGAACATATGTGAAAATGTACCTTCATCTCATAGAATCCACTGCAAGCCTCAAGAATGATGTTGGAGAAATCTACGTTTTTTAGTGCAGGAAGGTGATTGAAATTATGTGATATGAAAAAATAAATATATATAAAACGGTCTATGTCAGCATGGAGAGTGGAAAGTACGCATCTTCCTCCTCTGCAACCCAGGATCCAATCTCTGGGGCCAACCTGCTCCAGCTCCATCCTGCAGGGGGAAATGTGAGATCCTTCATTACTGAGGTTCTAGGTTCCTGGGATATCTCAGAAAGGCACATCTCCAAACACAGAAAAGTTCCCTGCCAGTCACGTTGACCACCTCATGCAGGGTAACTTTGATAAGTTTTTTCACACACACACACACAAGTCTGCTTTGTATGCATTTCTCAGAAATCTCTTTCTCAAAAGGGATGCAGGCTCAAAAGAAAGTAGGCTGTGGGGAGAAAGAAAATCCCTGCCGTTCTGGGTAACTGAAAAATTAAATTATTAAAACAATCACAGCATGTGAACTTCTCCCAAAACCCTATTCCAAGCTTCCCAGTCAGACCTAGAGCAGTATTGTTCAGAGACCAAGGGGCAGTGCAGACAAGCAAGGCCAACGTGGCCTTCTCAGCCAACTTGGCTTCCTCAGAGTTTTCCTGGCCCCTCCTGTACAGTGCAGCCCTTAAGCCCCTACTGTTTGCTCACTTGTCTGTGAGCCCAGTTCAGCCCCGTGCAGGGCTTCTGGAATGCTGGCCTGTGTCTTGCACTGTCCTTCAACCTAGCTGGGGAAGTGAATGATTAGTTAATGACCTAGTATGAGGCAGAACCCAGAGTTCTAAAAGATCCTTGAGAAGAGTGTCCTTGAGGTGATGCGGGGGAGGCGCAACAAGAACCATCTTTTAAATGATTGAGGACCATGGTTGTGTGCCCTGAAGGCACCAGAAAAATTAGTGCCAGCCCCTCTGTATCATGACAGGGCTCTGTGTTTGAGATGGCAAGTTTACAAGGCAGCATAGCATGGGGTTAAGAGTAAGAGTGTCTTTCGCTCTTTCAGTAGCCAGAGGGAAGGAGGGAGGATAGGAGAAAGAAGGAGGAAGGAAGCAGGCAAGGAGTGCTAATAGTAATTCCATCATCAACGTGTGCTGTGCTCTTCACAGACAGCATCTCATTTAAAACTCCCCCAAACCTATGGGATTTATCATTCAAAACACGGCATTTTAAAGTATACCCTCTTGATTAAATAAAGCTCAGAAGTCATATAATTAAATGTTCCATTTGATCTGTAGCCCTCAGCCCATCCCTGAACTTTACCTCAACTTCACCCCGTCTTGAGCTTTATTCCAACCCAAACCCTCTCCATCCCTAACATGAGGCTTAGGGATGGGGTAGGAGTCAGGAATGTGTTAAGGTGTCTTCCTCAGAAGATACTGGGGAAATTTTAGAGCTGATATTTTTTAAATGGATTTTAATTTTTATTTTATTTATTTATTTATTATTTTATTTATTTAATAGATTTTTTTAATAAATAGATTTTATTTATTAGATCTCCTTAAAAACAAAAGTAATCAATGATTCTTCTAACAAATTAAATAATAAAGTGATAAATGAAGAATAAGTTAATAATTCCTCTCACAAGTTCTGCTTCATGTGGTAATTAATGCTAATAGCCCAGTTATTCTTCCCTGTTCTTTCAAATACATACAAGCATCACAGATATAAATCTATATATTAAAGCTGACATTTTAATGGTTTTCTTTGAGTATCATAAAAATTTACTGTGAATGCCAAAAATCTCTACCAAAATGCCAAGTCAAATTGTCACATTACCACTATTTTTCCCATGTTAAAGATGAAGGAACCGAGCTCTAGAGAAATTAAATAACTGGGTCACATTCACACAGCTAGAGCCATGCTGGCTGGCTGGCTTGTGTGCCTGTCTTTCTACCACACAGCACTGCCTCACGTTTCATACGGGACTTGGGGTTGAGCTGCACAGCCTAGAGGTCATCTGCTTACTCATCTTCCTATGCCACTCCCAGGCCTGGGCTTCATCTTTGAGTGTCCGGGATCATGAATCTGCCTGGACAAGTTCCTTCATACCTCATGCCTTAATTTTCCTGTTAATAGCCCAGTAGCTTACTGTGTGGGATTGGTCTGAAGATTAGACGAAAAAAAAATAATAGTTCTTTTTAAACAAAAATATGAAGTCTGAACAAATGCTTCAAGAAAAAGCTTTCTTTTCTGACAGGTGCCATTTTTCTCAAACCCACATAGATTTAAAATGGGCCAGATGTTGCCTTTATCAGCATTACACAAGGATCAGGTAAATGGATCCACGGGACCAGTTCCTACTCTCCGTTTCCTTTTAAGGTACTTAAATAATATGGGCACGGTCAGTTGTTTAGGGAAAGAGACAAGCTCTTGAGATTGAGGTAATGAGAAGATCCATTGAGAAGAGTCCTGGAGAAGGGCCTGCACTGGACTTTGAAGGTACCCTCAAGCTGCACAATCTTCTGTGAGGCTTGTCAGACTCTGAGATTCCTGCCAAAGGTCTATTTTTTTCCATTAGTCTTCATTGATGAGGTTTTCATTTGAAACCTGAATGCACAAACCAAGAGTTCCTTCGGTCTAAACTCAAGAAGAGAGCCACATGAGCCAGAGTTGACTGTCTGCATTCAACTTTTTAGAAATGGTAGGGCGGGGGAGTGGCAAGGATTTTGTTTTAGTCTGTTAAGGGACAACAAGCTTCCAAAGTTCCATTTGAGGGACACACAGGAGGCTGAAAAGAACCAGTAGGCAGCTCCTTGTCCTAGCCCTGAGGTTACTTATGGATCAAATGATTCTACTGTTTTCTCTGCCCCCTTCAAGTCTGACAAGCATTGACTGTCCCTTATTTCTTAGGGTCTGTTAAGTTTTTTTTTTTTTCAATTTGAAACACATAGCTTAATTTGAAAACAAATGAGTTTTCTTAGAAGAAATAATACTTGCCACCTACTAAAGAGGCTTATTGCATTCCACACTGAGAAACAAGTTGCCAGAACCAGGGGTTTAGATGGAGACGGGTGGCAATGAGCTGCCTGATGTCCCCTCTCTGGACTTAGCATTTCCAGATCCACTGTGGCCTGACTGTGACATAGCCCTGTGGGCCTTGGCCACCTTGGACCCAGACACACATCTGCCAAGGTGAAGTAACAAATGCTTGTCCAGTCTGGTGATCAGCAGGACAGAGACAGGCACCCAAAAAATTATTTTTGGCTGGGTACAGTGGCTCACGCCTGTAATCCCAGCACTTTGGGAGGCCCAGGCAGGCGGATCACTTGAGCTCAGGGGTTGGAGGCCAGCCTGGGCAACATAATGAAACCCCGTCTCTACAAAAATTAGCTGGGTGTGGTGGCCTGTGCCTGTAGTCCCAGCTACTCAGGAAATTGAGGTGGGAAGGATCTCTTGAGCCCAGGAGGTCGAGGCTGCAGTGAGCTGTGATTGCACCACTGCTCTCCAGCCTGGGCCACATAGTGAGATCCGGTCTCAAAAACAAAGAAACAATTTTTAAGCCAGAAACCTACCCCATTCTTAAGTAAAGACAACAAGGATTCAATAACCCTATCTACACCGTCACCACACAGCAGAGTACGTTGAGCCCCTCCAAAACTGTGCCTCCCAAAGGGGACACAACCTGCCCAGCAGCTCCTCCACAAGGCTGAGGGTGCTGTCCTCCTCTCATTCCGGGAACCCAAAGCAGGCCCCAGGAAATGAGGAGTTTTTCAAAATAGCATCCTGGGGTCCCTTTTAACCTCTCTATCTCTGCAAAACCTACAAGACTCTGTGGAGTTGGGTTCGAGCCAAGATAGGATTAACTGGAATTGCAGAAGTTTTCAGAATAAGCAGTTTCCTACTATTAGCAACTTCTTACCCATAGCTAAGGCTCAATCCCCCTTCCCCTTTCTTAGCCAAAAAGGACATATATAATAATTCTGTTTTGTGAGATAAAGTGTGTGTTGTGTGCATGTGTGTGTCTGTAGGTACGCATGTGCACAGTGGTCCTTGTGAGTGCATACACACCTACACACAAGGACTGCACAGCCATATCCCTACCTTCACCACACTGCAGAGATGGACATGTCCCACTCTCCAAATATATATATACACACATTTATATATATATACACACATATACATATATATACACATATATATAGTAGATACTTATATAAGTGTTTTCAGTGCGTGTGTGTTTGCGTGTGTATAAACATAGATAGATATTTATCCCTTCTCTTCTTCCTCATTCTCCTCCAAAGTCTTCATCAAATCTAAAAACTGTTCTTTTCCATTTCTACCCAATCCAGACTTTCTGTTATGTCTGCTTCAAGCGTCACAAAACAGAGGTTAAATTCTGAGCCTCAGTGATTCTATCTAGAGCCACTGTTGGGCACTTTCCTTACTGGCCTTGACCTGTCTGGGATATCGCCTACCAGTAGTCTCCAGAAACATGCCATCAGCCAGGATGCATGGCCCTGCATCTCAAGTGTCTTTTCTGGGTTATGCTATAAATTTTGGCTGAGACATCAACACATGTCAACATGTTACTTTCAGTGACATGTTTTTCTTTTCTCTGTTAGCTTTGGTTCAGGGCTGTAAATCCATTTGGGGAAGCAAAGTGTCCAAGCCTAAGCAAAAGTCATCTAATATGCTTCATGGATTGTGGGATTTCTCTATGCCTGACCCCTCCTTCCGTCACTCCCCTCCCTCCTTATTTTCCTTAGAAATCAAAGTGAAAAGGATATTCAGTTGGATATCCTTTAGTGATTAAAGTGATCAAAGTGAATTCAACTGGCAGGGCATAAATGAACACAAACCAATGAGCTCCCAGTGACCTCTGTCCTTGGTTGGATCTTAATGAGATCCCTCCCAGGTACACACATTTGCTGCCTCTAGGGAATTGTAGCCAAATCTCCTTTTGTTCCATCTGAGCTCTGAATTTTCTTTTTTGTCTTTTCATTGACAACAGTGGTCTCTGTCCAGATTTTAACCCCGCTTTGTCTAGTCTCTTCTTTCCTTTTTCATTATTCAAAATATCTTTGATCTGCTTGACATAGGGCTCTGGGCTACCTGAAACATTCCTTCCAGGTGTTCTGAGAGCTCCAAAGACTCTCCTCTTGCCCCAGGGGGGCTGCTTCTCCACTGTCTTCCTTTTGCCCTTGACAGAGTGAGTTCCCTTGGCTGTGCTTTCATTAAGTGTAATGGAGAAGGAGGCGCCACAAGCAACTCAGCTCAAAGCTGTGGCTTATGAAAAGTGATCTAAAAGGTGTGCTATACATTCCTCAGGCTGGCTGAAGGTGGCTAGCAGAAAGGCAGTTTATAGGGAACAAAAGAAACATGGCTTTACTGCCTCTCTATTAAAAAAAATAAAAATAAAAAACTCAGGTTTTGAACAAATAATATTAATGTACAGCTTGAACACACATCTTAACCATCAATCTTAAATCTAAATCAGTTTTGGCTGTTCCAAAAACCCATTTGCAAAGGATAAAGACTTACCACGATTAGGGTATCCTAAAGAATTAGCCATGGACTCTGAAGAAATCAATTGCAGGAGACAGCTTACGGCTGTGAAAAGAGCAATAAGCCAGAAGTCAGCCAACCAGGATTCTAAGCCCAGAACTGTGAGCATGCTATTTAATTACTTTAGGTTTCAGTTTCCTCATCTGCAAAAGGAGAGGGGTGAACTTAAACCTCTAAATTTCCATGGGTTTCAAAAATGTTTTGAACAAGTAAGTAATATTAAAATAAGCCAGTATTCTCCCAAGGCAGATACTTTGCAGGAAAAGTATATATTTATTTGGATATACAAGTTCTAGTGTTTGTTTTAAAAAATTTTTCATTGCTTCATAGTCATATCTTGTATATTCCAGCTTCTGTTAGAAGGCTTTTATGACTCTGTCATTCATAAATTTGTCCAAACTCCTTTTTAATTCATTTACATTTCCTGTCTGTACAGCCTCTCAGGGTAATGAGTTCCATAACTTTATTACGTGCTAGGAGAAGTATTATTTCCTTATTTTCCCTAAACTTACCTCAAGCTTCTAAACTGCCTGCTTGCCCTGTATTTCAGAATTTGATGAACAAGTTCACCCATAGTCTTTGCTTTACAAAATGAGATTAAAATCATTTTAGGCTGCTACAAAAAGCAGCGGCCCACCCCACACCTTCCCCTAATTATTACAGTTACTTATACAATAAATGTGGGTATTGATGGCATAAGGAAGTCCTGGCTCCAAATGACTGAGAGTCAGGAGAGCCTGGAGGCCTAAAGTATAGCTTTAGAGTCAGAATGGCTGAGGCTCAGATTCCAGCTCTGCCGCTCCTGGGCAGTCTCTCTGAGCCTCATTTCCTCATCTGAAAAATGGAAAACAGTATTCACCTCAGACCTTGTTGTAAGAGTTAACTAATACAATTTTTGTAATGTGACTAACACAGTGCTAGGTCCATTGTAAATATCTTCCCAAATCCAGTGGGTTTTTGCGATCATTAATGAATGTCAGGATACTAGATAGCCCTCTAGGTTCTAGAATCATTGCTCATATTGTGAACAGGGCCCAAACAACTGGTTGACAAAGAACAATCTGAGCTTCCATGCAGGAGATGATGGAAAAGCAGGGTTGGAGAGTGAAGTTTTGGACAATAGAAAGTTAGTAGAGTTTAAGAAGAGATCCTTGGCAGCAGATCCACAGAAAACCTACTCTCAGCTTGAACTAAAGTGGCACCAGACATGGACAATAAATATTTACAAGGTGCTAGAAGAGATTTTAAACCAAAAGAAGGAAGGGGAAGCTGATATGCTCTTTCCAGAGCAATGGCCTATGGGTCTTGAGAGTAGAAATTCCATTTCTAATGCTTACCAATCAACAGTGCAATCTTAAGCAAATCAATGCCTATATCTAAGTCCAGGTTTCCTTGCACATAAAATGGAATTAGTCTGGTTCACTGACTTACAAACCATGCTCCTTGGAACCTGTATTAGGGAGGAGAGGAAAGAGTTGGGGAATGAGGATAGGATGTGAGTCCTCATCCCTAATTCCATCAAGTAGCCATATTTGTAAAGTCCTAGAATTGACTCATAAAGGAAAATGGCATGGAGTCAAAATTACTCTTAAAAAATCCTAAATCACCCAAATGTTTACTGTGGGAAGTACAAAAGAACCAAAACCAAGTGAGGAAGAGCATCTCCCATCTCACACTTACTCTGGGGTATGCCGTCATTGAGCCAAGTTTCTCTCTCTCTCTCTCTCACACACACACACACACACACACACACACGTATGTATGATGAAATCTGTTCGAATGCATAACCTAATGCTACTGCAATGAGATTCCATTTAAGATTTAAAATTTGGTTTGTAAAAAGGCTTCCCCAGCTATAAAGAAAAATAATCAATACTGCTAAACTAGACACTGGGGTGCTTTCCACTCTAACAGGCTGGGATTCCAACAAGAATAATGTAAGCTTGAAATTCAGGATTCTTATTAGAGGGGTTTGGAAAGAATCCATTCACATAAGAAGAAATTGGGACAATTTGTACACCTAATCAGACAACCAACAGGTGCAGGAAATGGAAAGAAAATAAGCCAAAATATGTAAGCATTTCTGGAAGCCTAACAACAACAATAAAAAGAAACACTTGGCATCTAGCAGATTCATAACCAACTGGCATCCCCACAATCAACTAGTTATAAGAAAGGAATTCAGGAGACTCTATAGGGTATTCCCTGAAGACATCATCCCAATGTGTAGCTAGGGCCAAAAAGGCCAGTAAAATTCTATGCACATCATCAGCACGATTGCTTTTTTGAAAATACAGACAATTTATGTGATTCCTGAATAAAGGCATGGTGCAACACAACTGGGGTAATTTGCATTGTTCTCATTCCCACGGCCCCTGACCTCGACCCCCAAAAGATGTAATTAGCTGAGCAAGGCAACCCAGAAAACAAAAAGAGAAAACAGAGCAAAAGAAACAAGGACAATGGATTGAGGGAGGGAGAAATGGAGGCAGACTGAAACATATTAAAAAAAGGAAACTGAAATAATTAAAGTGATGGAAGTTTCTTTAGTCGGGAACATTTAGAAGGGATATTACTAATATCTACGAGATTACAAAGGAGAAAGCAAGGTGGTCATGGGTTTTCCCATGGCTCCCTTCCTTCCTCACACTCATAGGAGTTTAGAAAAAGTAGTTTTGGGGCTAGACTAACAAAAAGCATACTCTATTTATTCAATAAAGCAATATATATTTAAAGGATACATCACAGGTATTGTGTGATACATCACAGGATACATCACATTTATCCATGGGAAAAACATGGAAGTTGTTATTCTATCAAAAGAATCCAGCGGATGTTATAAGTATATTCAAGAAAGGTTAGAAAAATACAGATAAATTTGAGAGCTTTATTTAAAGAAAATGCAACTCTTCATATATCTTTGCCCAAAGAATAGTCAGTTTCTTAGGCAGGGGAAGTTGTCTTCTTCAACCAAAAATAAGAATCTAGACAACATTGCTTAAGGGTCTTTGCATTTCCATATTAGTCTGCTAATACCTGGAGGCAAGGATTAGGTCTTGTATTCCTTCATACCCATCTAATTCTCCTGCTCACACAATGCCTTGTATATATTCAGTGGTCGTTAATGTTTGCTGAAACAAATCTAATTACATAGATTCATTGGAAGAGCTGGTAAATATAGTCTCTCTACAAGCCCTCTTGGTACTTTCAGTGTTCCCCTTGGATACATAAGATCAATCTCTAATAATCATTTTACATTTTTGTCATCTGGAGAAGGTCCTTTCTTTTTTAAAAAACTTCTTTGAAAAATCCAACCTATTTAGTTTCCCAAGAGTTCCATCTAATAAGCCTTTTAGAAAAGCAAGCAATTTGAATAACAACAGAATAAATTCAATCTTTGCCTATTTGTGATACTAGGAAACAGGGCCAATCAATTTCAAAACAAATCTCAGGGTTAGTGCATCCAAATAAAACAGCAGTCAACCAACAATTTTCTTCAGAGCATGACTGTTGGTGCTGAGCCTGAGGAGGAAAAGGCTTATCCATGAGCTATCGGGATCTGTCATCATTTCCTTTGAGGAGCAACCAACCGAGACACAGGAGATGGAAAGTCTCAGCCTAGTTCTATCATCAATGAACTGTGTGACCTCAGGTGAATGATTTAGCCTGTCTGGGCCTCAGTTTCCTCATCTGTAAAAGGCAAAGGTTACTGACTAAGGTCATAATACACAAATCGCAGAATTCTATTTACTTAAATCTATTGATCAAGGAAAATACTGTTTTCAGAATGAAGTTTTGATTTCTAATTTTGAGAAGGTAGATTTTTCTATCTTACTCTAACTTAATGTAACAGCTCCATAAGATGTCTGGAAGGCTGGAGAAGAGTGTGTGTGTGTGTGTGTGTGTGTGTATGTGTGTATGTGTGTAATATGGGGTGGGGAAGGTGAGGAGGGTTGGATAAGGCAAGAGTTTAATAATAAGCACCCCTTAGGCTCCCCTCATTCTGGAAGAAAACAGTTTTCTCACATCATACCACATTTCCATGTTCATATTTATCAGTGAGACAGCCCTCCAAGATGAAATATTTCTTCTGAGAATTTTCTCAAGGCCCACCCTTTACTCCACCATCAGATGAAAAATTCCTAGAGAATGGAGACCTTAGGCCACCATCCTGAAATGGTTCAAGAAGGAAAAAAGCAGAGTCCTATGTGAAAAGAATGGAGCTAAGAGAGTTTCAAAAGAAAGGACTGTGGAGAAACATTGCAAGTCTTGCGAGAGAAGTAAGAGTGTTGTGGCTCATTCTAGACAGCTACAATCCCAAAAGAAAACATAAGGCTTCCCCCAGAAGACCCTTCAATCCTTCTAAAATTCCACATCCTCACCAGGCACACAAAACTAAAATTAGTGCATCATACACCGTGCAGCGACACACCAATAGGTCATGGCAAAGAAAATGAGAACAAGAAAGGGCCTGCTCCTGGAAAGGCTCATGGACCCAGAGGGTCAGCGCCTGGCACATGGTAAATGCTATAGAAATGTTTGTAAGTAAACAAAATAAAAATTAAAACCCTTATTGTTCAAACCCCATGTGAAATATAAGCCTGCCACATACATTTTGAAACATTTTCAGCATTGTTATCTATAAGATGTTCTCCATTCATATAAATAATAGGCCTGAGCTGTGACTGTGTTGTAACAAGACCAGATGGGGAAAGGTCTTGTTCACTTGCAGCCAACTTCATATGAATCGAAGATATGCTTTGCCCTATGGCAAAAGAAGACAGAATAAAGTAGCATGTGTGGCCTCTACCCAAAAGAAGATCGCAATCCAGTTGGTGAGGTAAATTATACAGGTGCCCAAAGTTAATGATCTACCCAAGAGATGCCATTAGACAATACAGATGGGATGTATTTAATACAGTAGGCAAGAAGATAGAGAATGAACTGGGCACTTTAGGAAGGGCTTCACAGAGAAAGGCTTTGAATGGTAGTCATGAAGGGCACTGTGGAGAGGAAAAGAGAGACTTCCAGAAAGTTGGAAGACTGAGTATAGGCACCCATATCAGAGGAGATTGAGCATTTCGGGCAGGCTAGCATGGAGAATCACCATTTGGCAACTTACGCTAGGATGTTGCAATAACTGGGTAAATCAATTGGGTAGGCTAAGCAGCTTGGACTTCATCCTGTGAATAATAGGGAACCCTTCGGATAAACACAGCAAGATAGGCTGTTGGTCATGCAAAATTCCCTAAGCCTAAGATATTGATCATTTCTATCAGTGGTAGTCTTTGCACTGAGTGACCATGGAAACACTACACTACCCAAGGTTGCCCCCTCACATGTGGTCTTAACAGATCTTCTTCCTAAGTTAAGGGCACCCTGGCAACCTTGAACAACATCTTAGAATTAGAAGAAATCTAAGAAGTTATAAAATCCTATTCCTCAAACAGTGCAGAATTTTTTTTCTACGAGATCCTCAAGAGCGGCATATTCCTTGGGCTGGCACAGTACACTGCACACAAGAGGAACTCAGTCAAGGTTTGTGAGTAAGCAAAGTAATCCAGCCATTTCTTAAACAATTCTGATAATTTAGATCTCCCTTGCAGGCTTGGGCAGCATTTAATCATTAGAAAGTTCTTTCTTTATTTGAACTTAGGTCTATCTTCCTGTTTCTACTACCCATTGGTTCTAGTTCTGTCATCCAAAGAAACATAGAACAAACATACTCATTATTCCACGTGACCACTTTTTGAATATTTGGAGATACTCATTGGGTCTTCTTAGTCTTTTTCTCTCAAAAACATCTCCAGTTCCTTTCTAGAGCAAAGGAACCAACATGCTGTTTTCAGTAGTGCTGTATTCTCCTGTCTCTCTTTAATTTACTGAGAAAGATGGGTTGCATGAAGGGTTGGATTATAGATTTTGGGAGGAGAGGGATCCCTCCAGAGGCTAGATACATGAATTCCTGAATATTTGTATCTGTGCCATGATTCTCAGTGGCATGTTTTCCACCCCCACTTGCAACCAGGTCTCCCGATAAGCCTGATCTTTTCTCCCCACAAGTCCCCACACCCTCATGCTGTAGGGTCTCTGGGGGTCTGTCATCCTCCCCCACTTCCATTTTCAACAGATGGTATTTTTGCAGGTAAGAGCTTTGCCAGTGTCCCCTGGCAGACTTTGCAGCTAGCTTCTCTGTCTACTACTCTAAATCGCAGCCATTACCATTTAAGCCCACTTCCTCCAGGTTGGTCCCCAGCGCCTCAAGCAAGCAAGAGCAGCTGGTTCCTCATCCTCTACACCGTAATCCTTCAAATCCCTGAAAACCTTCATTAAATCCCAGTTCCACCAATGTCACCACACCCTTAAGCTTCAGGGAATGCTCTGCCACAAACCTTCACCTTCTAAAGCAGAGGATCATAGTCATCATTTTAAAAAAACAAAATAGAAAACACCAGAGTGCATGATATTCAATAAATGTAAATATTGTTTCTGGAATTTTTTTATATACATTAATACTTTAGTTATATATATATATCCTATATATATCCTATATCCATATACATATATATTCTTCATGCACTGTGATGAAATGTCAGTGTCTTTGTTATTGTGAGTTATGGTCAAAAGAGTTTGATGAACACAGATTTTCCCCAGCCCAAAGCTGTGGCTGTCCCTAGTTAATGTCTGAGCCTACAGGGCTATCTAATAAAAAGAACACTAGGTCAAGGCGATTAGACTCTGGGTTCTCAAGGTAGATATCACATCTCTCTTATTCGTGAAGGCATCCCTGCATCTAGTTCAGTATCTGCACAAAATAGGTATTTGCTAAATGAATGAACACCAGTCACTGGCTAGGTGACCTGTGGGACTCAGTCCCCTACTTATAAAATGAGTTTTCAGCAATTTATGATGAACTCCGAGTCCCCTGAAAACCAATCCTGAGAATTCGAGACCATCTCTGGGTCCTGGAAAACACTTTTGCAATGGCAAAGATTGGCTCTGGTAACTTCTCTTTTCCCCCAAACTCACACTGTACAAATAACCACCTCTGGGTAGGAAGTGTGAGGATAAGCTGGTGTTGAAAATGAGCTAAGAAAAAAAAAAAGCAAATCCTGCCCAGTGTATGTCAGGTTGTGGTTTGTACTAGATTAATGAAAGCCCCACATGGCATAATTATGTTTACAGTGAGCTTATAGGAGTTTTCCCTCAAGGTAGGGAAAGGGGATCGGGTTAAACAAATTATTTAGCTTTTCCTGACCTGACCTGGCAACAGTGATGGGGAGCAGTAGCTGAGGAATGGCCTTCTCAACGTCAGCCTTAACTACGCTCACCTCGAGCTCCTTTGAAACCAGACACTGGTCTTCCATCTGGGAAGGGGAAGACAATTCTGAGGACTAAAGCTCCAAATTGCTTCCTGTGGGCAAATTGTGTGGCCAATTGTGTGGAAGTGATTTCCAGCTACAAGGCAATAGTATTATAGGAATTAAAGGTCTTGCTTTTTGGATAGCAAATTTGTAGCAAATAGCAAATCTGATTGTCTAGAACTAGAATCTATCTCTTTCTTTATCATTGATACCAACTCTTCTTCCTGAAACAGAAACACTTTATGGAGTTACATGCAGCCCACTTCCACAGGAGGGTACTATCCTGCACTTCTATTAAAAACAAAACACAGGTTCTATCTGGATGCTGAATTTACACAACAAAAATCCAGTTTGAATTAACATTGACTGAATGGATTCAATGAACTACATATTGCACTGACATGTTTGACTTTGGTCTAAAAGCAAATTAATTTTAACTACAGTTTAGGGAATGTGGATATAATTTTGCTTTGTTTTTATGGTTGACTTTTTTTTTCAGTCAATCTATAGACATTGCCAGTTCTCTTTAGTCTCTGAAGATATTTTTAGGTATGAGACTGTACTAACAGGATGTATGTAATTTATTGGCAGAACTTTTCTGTCAACCCGTCAGTCACTTGTTATTCCAAATTACGTGGGCCCAACCCAGGTCTGGGATGCATTCACATTAAATGATCGTGGATCATTTATTTCAGAAATGATAGGCTGAAGAAAATGTGCTTTGCATATGAGAAATAAAATCCCACAGCACATCCAGTTTCCTGTTTCCTTGAGAGCTTCATTTTTCCATTTGGCCCTTATTTAAATTTTCTTCCGTCTTACTTAAAGGTCTTAAGAGGATCCAAATTCAGACTAGGAAAACCCTAACCACCCACTCCCTGGCCCTGGGTTGTGTAAGACCACATTCCCAGAGGGCAGGAAGGAAATCACAGTCACAATTGATGTTTTGTAGAACTCTTGGGAGTTCAGCAAGGGAGTGAGATGAGGTGTTATGACCCACATTTTGCAGGCCAGGAGACCTAGGCTGGATTAGGTGATGTGGCCAAAGTCACACAGCAAGGAAATAGGGAAGCCAGAACACAAACACTACTCATCTGTCACCAAATCAGGTGTTCTCACAACACTGCACTCTTTTCCTGGAAATAGTTTCCACGGTTTGTGAGTCTTTTCCTAGCTTATTTCACCAAGCACAGTACCTGTCCCAATCCAGCAAATTCTTATCATCAGGGTTCACTCACAGAAGCATAACCTCTGGATGGCATGTGTTCTGGGATTGGGCCTTCTGCAGTCATGGAAGTAAGCTACATGGATTATGTCAGTCATCTGCTCGCTATCAGGGTGGGCAGGCAGAAGGGGAAGGCGGGGAAGTAGGGGAGGCCAAAGACAAACAGGAGCACTGTGCACCTCTCACCACCTCTGATACGGTAATGCAAGGGGCGTGTGGGTGGATCTGCACTCACACCTGGTCCAGGAACCGGAGAAGCTGAAGCAGGAGGTCTGTGGGAGCTGGAGTTACCCTGGGCCTGGAGGCTGCCCTGGCGATGAGCAGACCAGCCATAACACACTGACAGCAATTATACAGGGTCCACTCTATGACCATTTTCACGTACTGTTTAGATTTTATGTATTTAAGCTTTTTGTAGATGTAAAAATTACATATCCTGAATCTTACATGTAACTGTGATTGACTGTGACAAATGCACATGTCCATGTAACACACACCCTTATCAAGATATAGCATGCTTTCATTACCCCAGAAATTTCCCTCCCAGTCAACACCCCTCCCCAACACTACCAGAAGCTACCACTGCTCTCATTTCTTTCCCAATAGATTAGCTTTATTACTAGACTAGTAGTACTAAAGATAATCTATTAGCTTTAGTACTAGTACTAGTTTAGTTTAATACTAGTACTAAAGCTAATCTATTAATCTAAAGCTAATCTACTGGGAAAGAAATCTGACTAGTACTATCGATAGATTAATACTAAGACTTTATGTAAATGGAATCATACTGTATTTACTCTTTTGCAATCTGGACTCTTTACTTAACATAATGTTTGTAAGGTTGTCCATGTTGCCAGTATTAGTAAATCATTCCTTTTTATTGCTTAGTAGTATTTCATTATATGAACATCCCAAATTTATCCATTCACCTGCTTATGGATATTTGGGTTGTTTTTATTTTGGGGCTATTATAAACACAGCTACTATAAACATTCTTGTACAAGACATTTGGCGGGGAATATGTGATTTCTCTAGGGTACTTAAAAATAGAATTACTGAGTCATAGGGTAGGAATATGTTTAACCTTATTACAAGCTGCCAAACTACTATTTTTCAAAGTAATAAGTTACAGGTTACATTGTATCCCTCTAAAATTTATATGTTAAAGTCCTAACCCCTAATATCTCAGAATATGACTGTATTCGGAGATAAGGTCTTTAAAAGAATAATTAAGTTAAAATGAGGTGGTTAGAATGGGCCCAATCCATTATGAATGTGTCCTTTTGCAAAGAGGAGATCAGGACAGAGATACACATGGAGGGGAGGCCATGTGAAGACACAAGGAGAAGACAGCCAGCTACCAGCTAAGGAGAGAAGCCTCAGAAGAACCAGCCCTGCTGACACCTTGATCTCGGACTTCCAGCCTCTAGGATTGTGAGAAAGTACATTTCTATTGTTTAAGCCACCTAGTCTATGGTACCTTGTTATGCCAGACTAATACATGGTAGTGCCATTTTTATACCTCCTAACAGCCATGTATGTGACTTCTGGGTGTTCCACATCCTTGCCAAGACTTAGTGTTGACAGCATTTTTATTTTTAGCCATTCTAGTGGGTGAATAGTACATATAATTGTGATTTTCATCTGCATTTCCCTGATAACTAGTGATGTTCAGCACTATTTTTTGTGTGCTACTAGCCCAGGGGTCCCCCTGCATCCTCACTGGCCTCTTTACAAACCATTTTCCACAAAAACATCTGATCCCTTTTACCATCTAAAATCTTTAAATGACTTCCTATTTTTATGAAGCTAAAACAGAACTCTTCTGATGGTTTCAGATAAGGCCCTACATGGCTCTCCACTCCATGCACACTAGACTTCTTCCATCCTTTGTTCTCTCCTGATTTCTCCTGCCATCAGAACTTTGGTACACTATTCCTTGTGCCTGGAAAATGATGGTTTCTCTTCCTTATTCAGACAATGATGGCTTCTCTTGCTTACTGAGCCTGTAGCTCACTTCCTCAGGGAACCCTCTGTTCACCTTTCTAATTAGATCCTTTTCCTCTCTTAGTGGTAGTATCTGTCCTTTACAGCCAGCAAAAAAATGGGGGAAAAAATAACCAAGGTCTTCCCCATCTTTGAAGTTTCTTCTCCCCAATTTTTGACTGACACAGTCATGTTCACATTCTACTGAAGTTAGTTTCTCACTGAAGCAGTCATGTTCACATTCTATGGAAGGGAAGCTTATTAGAAGACAAATCCCAGAGACCAGGGCACAGTGGATTAGTGGACTCTCCCTCCAGATATTGGTTGAAATTTGGGGCCTGGAAAGACAAACTGGCGTGACATTGAAGAGGGCATGATGTGGCAGCATAGGGTTAAGTTTACAGTTTTCCTTTCTTGATTTATTTTAACATGAATCCGTACTTATAACAATGCTGATTTCACGCTTATAACAAAGTGTTGAGTAGGAGCTTGGGAAGGAGGCAGGGAGGTCTAATTTAAAGCTGATGTCCCATAGTAAGATTGGTCCCAGTCTTTAACTTTCACAAGACACTTGCTGAGGATTTGTAATAAATAAACATGGGGGGAGGAACAAAACCTCAAATTCAATACTATGTCTATGTCTTTAGAGTTGTGAAGAAAGATATTGAAAGCAATGACATCAGCACTCAAACCATGGAATTCAACTTGCAAGGTTGTCATCTTGGGGGAATCTACTCTGTTTCTTAAGTCTCCATTTGTCCTGTGGCCCTAGGGTATAATTACTTGTCACCAAGGTAGAAGTCAATTCCCACTGTCTCCTGCCACAATCCAGTTTGTGAAGAGTATAGCATCTATGTGGAGTTTAATAACCTCCATTGACATTTTTGTGAAAAAAACAAAAGCAAGCGAATCTAACCCGGAAACACTGCCCATTATAATGTATCTTATACAGGAATATCTTATAATCTTTATTTTGTTTAACTAGTAGGATTTTTTAGCATTTCATTACGCAGTGTTTAATTTATATTACTTATACACATTTTAATAAATTTAGCATAGAGGGTATGGATAATATCTTCTTTGGAGGACTTTAAGTACTCTTCTTAGTGGTAGATATTCTTTATTTATGTCTTGTATACTTCGGATTTCGAAGCACTGAGTTTGCAACATTGTAATGAAATAAAAGCAGTTTTAGAAAATTAATATGAGAAACTGTAAACAATTTAATGAGAGGGGATGCTGTTTTGTTAAATGCCTAGGATGTAAAACTGAAACCCTTTAAGTTTGGCTTGAAGATTCCTAGCAGCCTAGGCCAAAAGGAGATCATGATGCCTTCTAATGAAATAAATTATTTCCCTGGTGCTAAAATGTGCTTGGAATATTACACAGAGCCCTATATATAAAGCCCCAAAATGCAATTATGTCTTCAGTTTGAGTTGCAGAGAAAACACAAAAATTGTCTTCAACATAATCCTAAAATAAAATCTGAGGGTACATTATCCATCGAGATATATATTTCTTCAGGAACCTTGAGCACCAGATTTGCTCTGATAGTGTAGGCTTGTGATAACTAAGATCCTATCATGATGCTGGGCAAAAGCCAGTTCTTCTGATGTTAGTTGCCAGGGCAATGGCAAAGGCACCAAAAGCGAAAATAAGATTTCTCCAGGAAAACATGAAACTCCCAAGTGTCATAAGTAACTGTAGAAAGAGGCTCTCTATCTTGGCATAAACCTGAGCTACTTGAGGGTGACTTGTATCCTTATATGGTTAGGGATCTGGGCTTCCTTCCGCCACCAAGATGCAACTTTGCAAGTCTCAGAGTACTTGTGCCTGGAGGGAGAGGTAAGAGGGTAGTGCAATCATCCAACCCAGGCAGTGGTCATAGGTGGTCGTTTGACAAAATCATTGAACTAAGTGAAAGCTTTATAACTATAAATCATAATTTTTAACACAGGAAAAACGAGCTCCTGCAATGAAGACTGTATCACAAAATTAAACTCAATATTTCTAAACAAATTTGTTCCCCTCTTTTTCCTTATTTGTAACACACTCCCCCAGCAACTGTCACCCAAAAAACTTCTGAATAGTCACTAAGTATGGATTGTCATTGAGGTGTCATTTGTTTAATCTGACTATCTCTGTATTTTAATTGGTATGTATAGGCCATTTATATTTGATGTAATTATTAATATGGTTGGATTTAGGTCTACTATTTTATTATTTTCTGTTTGTCCTTTTTTATTCTCCTCACTTTTCTGCCTTGTTTTGGATTATTTGCCTATTTATCTTTTCATTTTTTGGTTATATCTCATTGTACTTTCTTACTTGCTATTCTACAAACTACACACCTAACCTTTCACAGACTAATTATAGTTAACATTTTACTTTGAGTAAGATGTAGAAGACTTTAGGTAAAATGTAGTTGCCTTAGCACTATATATATCTCTTTAAATATCCCCTTTTTATTATAATTGACATATGTATTACTTTTGCATACATTTTCCACCAACATAATTTTTGCTTTCAATAGCCATACATATTTTAGGAAACATAAGAGAAAAATAATCTTATATTACAGCCAGATATATAACATTTATCTTGCTCTTCCTTCATCCCCAAAGTATAAAGTTTTTCCCTGATACTCTCTTCCTAAAAAACTTCCTTTAGCATATCTTTTAACACAAGTCTGCTGGCAAAATTACCTTACTCTTTATTTCATCTTTATTCTTGAGGGGCTTTTAAAAAATACAGTTTGACAGTTCTGTTCTTTCAACACTTTGAGGATACTGTTCCACCATCTTTTGGCCTCTTTGGTTTCTGATGAGAAATTCACTCTCATTCAAATTTGTGTTGGCCTATATGTGGTGTTTTTCTCTGGATGCCTGAAATTTTTTTCTTTATCTTTGGTTTTCAGAAGTTTGATTTTGATATATTTGGGCTTTGTTTCCCATGGGTTTCTATTGTTGGGGTTCTCAGAGATTCTTGAATCCATATATTTGTATTTGTACTATATTTTGGAAGTGTTCAGACATTATTTCTTCAAATTTTTCATACCAATCTATTTATCTTATCCTTCTGAGACTCCATTGATATAAATGTTGTTTTGATATTGTCCCATAGGTCCCTGACAATCTATTCCCCATAGATTTTTTTCTCTTTTCTGTATTCTTCAGGTTGGATAATTTCTGTTAATCTATATTCAAGTTCACAAACTTCTCTGTTATCTTCATTCTGCTACGGAGCCCATCCAATGAAATTTTCATTTCAGATATTATATATTATACTTCTAAAAATTAAACTCCATTTAATTTTTTTAGTTTGTATTATTCAGTTGAGAATTTCTCTCTTCCATTCACTTCAAAAGTGTTTGCTTTTATTCTAAGGAGCATGACTCTACAAGTTGCTCTAAAGTTCTTTGTCTGATAATTCCAACATCTAAATCACCCTGGGTTTGGCAACAGTAGATTGTCTTTTCCTTTGGGAAGTGGTCCCATTTTAATGTTTCTTTTTTTTTTATTTGTATGCCACGTAATATTGGATTGCATCTTGGAAATTTGAATAGTATGTTGTGATCCTCTAGGTTCTGTTAAAATCTTTGAAAATTTTTCATCTCTTATTTGTTTTATTACACAATCAACCACCGTAGGTTCAGTCTGCAGTCTTACCTTGCTTTTTGTGAATGTTGGTTTTAATGGCAGTTCATTTCCATGGCCTTTGCACGGCTGTTTGTGTTTGCACCACTCAGGGGTTAGTCTGGTAGGTGCTTGGGCAGTTTGTATCTTAGCTCAGTTCTCAAATACCTTACTATACTTCATAGGTTCTTACCCACACATGCATAGTTCAGGGGCAAGCCTGACACTTACGTTAGATTATCCATGACATTTGGAGACCTTATCTTCTAGCATTCTTCTCTTATTCATTTCCTCCAAACCTTCATCTTCTAAAGACTCCTTTAGACAGTTTTTATAGCCAGAAATATGTGTTCTTCTCAGAGCTTTAGCCTCCTATGCTGTCATGCAGTTTTGCCTCAGAGAAGAGAAAAAAGAGAGAGAGAAAGAAAGAAAGAGAGAGAGAGAGAAAAGGAAAGGAAAGGAAAAGAAAAGAAAGGAAGAAAGAAAAGAAGAAAGAAAGAAAGAAAGAAAGAAAGAAAGAAAGAAAGAAAGAAAGAAAGAGAGAAAGAAAGAAAGGGAGGAAGGAAAGAAAGAAAGAGAAAGAAAGAAAGAAAGAAAGAAAGAAAGAAAGAAAGAAAGAAAGAGAAAGAAAGAAAGAGAAAGAAAAACAAAAAAAGAAAGAGAAAGGGGAGAGGAGGGAAGAAGGGAAGGAGGGAAGGGGAAGAGGAAGGGGAAGGGGAAGGGGAAGGGGAAGGGGCTTTTTGTATTCTGTCCAGAGTTTTTAGTTGTCTTCAATGGGAAAGATGTGCTCTAGTAGGCCTACTCAATCTTGGCCAGTAGCAGAAGTCCTCTGCGAAGTTTATAAATATGAAAGACACGGAGCTCTTCAGATTTTCTAGTCCTTCCTGTGTCCTTTGGGTAATTTGTATATTTCATGTGTTCATTTAATCTTAGCTATCAAGTTTGTTGGTATAGAGTTGTTCACAATATTTCTTGATTATTTTGTAATGTCTTACAGTATGTCCTGATAAATTATCTTTCATTCCTTATTATCTGATTTTTTAAAAATTTTTCTCCCTTTACACTGATCAGTTTAAATCTAAGTGTTAAACAACTTTGGTGATCTTTTCAAGCAACTAGTATGGAGTTTTGTTGATATTCTACTTAGCTGTTCATTATTTCATTAATTTCTGCTCTTAATTTTACTATTTCTTTTATTTCACTTATTTAATATGTTCTTTTTCTAACTTCTTAAGGTTGAAAGGTTAAATTATTGATTTTACACCTTTCTTTTTTCTTAGATATGCATTTAAAGCTATAAATTCCCTCTAAGCACCACTGTAGCTGCATCTCACAAAATCTGCTATTGTGTTTTCTCACTTCCCCTGTAATTTCTTCTTTCATCCATGTATTACTTGTGTTGATTAATTTTCAAATATTTTGGAATTTTCCAGTCCTCTTTTTAAATTTATTTCTAATTCGATTCCACAGTAGTAAGAATACATACTCTATATGATTTCAGTCTTTTAATATTTACTGAAACCTGTTTTGCAGCCCAGAATAGGATCTAGCTTAATTAAAGTTTCAGATCTTGAGAAGAATTTATGCTCTGCAGTTATTTGGTAAATGTAATCCATAAATATTAATTAGATAAATTAATCTAATTGATATCAAAACTACCAATTATTGATAGTTTTAAGGAGTATTCAATGTCTTAACTGATTTTCTACTTGTTCTATCAATTACTGGAAGAGAGTGTCAAAAATCTCCGATTATTATTGTAAATCTGTCTTTTACTTCCTTAGTTCTGTAAGTTACTTGCTTTATGTATTTTGTGGTCTGGTTATCAGGTGCATATATATTTAGAATTATCATGTATTTATTATGAATTGACCCTGCTATAATTTTGAAATGTCTCTCTTTTTCTCTGGAAATACTCATTATTCTGAAGTCTATCTTGTCAGATACTAATAGCCATGCCAACTATTTTATAATTACCATTTGCCTTGTATATCTTTTTACATGTTTTTACTTCTAACCTATATGTATTTACATTGAAGGTGGGTTACTTACAGACAGCAGCACAGTTTTGGATCTTTCTTCTTAATTCAGTCTTAAGAATCCTATCTTTTAAATGAAGTGGTTAGTCCATTTACATTTAGTATAATCATTGGTGTGGTTAGATTTAAGTCTAGCATCATTTCTATTCATTTATTTGTCCTATCTGCTATTTTCCTGTCTTTTTTGGATTTCAGTTCATTTTGCCTCATCAGTTGGCTTTTCATCTATTCCATCTTGTGCGGTTTTTTGTTTGTTTGTTTGTTTATATTTAAGATTTACAATATGTGACTTTAACATATCACATTCTGCCAAAAAGCAAGATTTCATTGTTTCATGTATAATGTAGGAGCTTTACCCATCTTTTGTACTTTGAATACATTTTAATTCTCCATTTGTTATAAACCACAAAACATATTGTTGCTATTTTTGCTTTAAGCAGTCTATTAGTCTTTAGGGAAAACTAGGAAAAAAGAAAAAAAAGGTCTTTTACATTTACAATATATTTGGCATTTCCAGATCTCTTTATTACTTCTAGCTCTGAGATTCTACCTAGAATCATTTTCCTTCTGACTGAAGGTCTTTAACTTTTTTTCCTAGTGCTGGTTTGGGTGGTGACAAATTCTCTGAGCTTTTGTTTATGTAAAAATGTCTTTTATTGTACCTTAATCTTTGAAAGCTATTTGTGCATTTTTGTGGGATACAGAATTCTTCCTTGATTTTTTTTTTCTTTCAGTGTTTTAAAAATGCTTTCTTTTGTCTTCTGGGTTGTGTTGTTTCTAATGAGAATTTAGCAGTCAATTTTATGACTGTTCTCCTGTTTGTAGAATGTCTTTTTTCTTTTATGAATTTCTCTTTATCTTTAGTTTTAAGCATTTTGATTATTATATGGCTAGGTTTGTCTTCATTCTGCTTAGGATTCATTAAGTTTTTGTCCCATTCTTTCTATCTTTTCTTTCTGGGATTCCAATTACACACATTAGATAACTTAATATTGTCCCACAGATCACTGATGCTCTGCTTTTTTTTTTCTTGTTTCTTCTTTCTGTATACTTCATTTTTGATAATTTGTCTCCCTGTTGTCAGGCTTATTGATCTTCTGTTCTGCAGTGCCCACTCTATTGTTAAGCCTGTATATTGAATTTTTTCATAACCTGACATTGTATTTTTTAATTCTAGAATTTCCATTTGATTCTTCTTTTATGTATAATTTCCATTTCTCCATTGGGATTTCCTTTTTTTATATATATTTCATATATTTTTAGAAATCTTTGACTATATTTAAAATAGGACTTTTTAATCCTTGTCTGCCAATTTCAACACCTCTGTCATCTAGGTTTATTTATATTGATTAATTTTTCTCCTGGTTATAAATCACATTTTCCCATATTTCTCCATATTTATCAGTTTTTTTAATTGCATAGTGGACAGTGTGGCTACTACATTGTTTAAAGGCTTTTGTTGCACAAAATCCTTTAGAAAGAATATACCATATTTCATTGATTCTAAGAAACTAACTTTTCCATTTTAAGTTTTATGAAATCAAGATTCATCCAATAATTAATGGCATGTCATAATTTAATTTTTCTTGCTAACTTTTACATAAAATATTAGTAGATTTTTTAATTGGTGGCACTTAGATTTGATGAAATATGGTACTGATGTTCATTCCATCAACAACACAGGAAAGTTATTCTGAAAAAATTCATCGACATCAATAATTTTTGCCAATATAATAGATGAAGAATATATAATTTTATTCCTATTTGCGTTCCTTGATTACCATGGGGTCATTTTATAGATTAAAAAACCTGGGGATGAGGAAAGCAATTAATAACCTGATATAAGTCCTTCCGCATCCCCTCTACCCTACATAGTTTGGGCTAAATTTTACTAATCTGAGAAATACAAGAATCTCAGGACAACTGCTCTTTGCTATTTTTCTCCAGGCAAAACAAAAGTAATAGTTACATACCGTGAGGGTGGATTCTCAAGCCAAGATGCATTAGAACATGTACACAACTTGTTAAAATATTGACAGTGTTTTCTATGCAGGTTGGTAAATAGCCACTACCTGAAGATGCCCAAGTGTTCCAAGACATCTACAACTATCCCAGCCATTCCCATGGTTCTCCAAGACCATCCAGTTATCCAGCAACTAAAGGGTTAATGCCTAGTTCAGTAGACATAGGATCCTTCAGAAACCTGCTCCAATTCTATGACCAGTATCTTTTTGTTTGGTTGGTGTGTGTGCCATACTAGTCACTGAATCTTTTGAATATCACCCCTGTTGAGTAATTGATTAAACTGATCCCAGTTTATCTATTCAGGAACAATTCAGAGGAAGAGGAAAGAGAACAACTTAGAAGTGGCAAGAGAAAATGTATGGAAGAGAAGTCTGTGTGGTTACCACACTGGCATGCCTGGGATAGCCAAGAAGTATCTTGAGGCTTCAGGACCTCTGAGAAAAACATGGAAATTCAATCAATCAGACATCTGCTGAATGCCTGCCAGTGTCCTATAGAGTAATCATGGGGGAGCAACAAGGGCACACATTTCCTTCATAGAGAAATTTAAGACCTAGTGGGAACAGAAGGCCACAATTGTACAAAAGGGTCCCAAAGGCAGTCCTTCCCCCATTTCATATTATTGGCAATGATTAGCTCTTAAGAGAAGCTGGATGCATAATGGGATGAGAAAGGCATTGATCTTCCATAAATCCTCAGAGCTACCGCATGCACTGCCAGCTACTCTTTGACCTTGAAATATATCCATTGAGAGAAGCTAAGAAGTGGATATCGTGTTCAAAAGTGGGACAAAAAACAGGTAGCCTAGAATCCTAAATCTTGTCTCTTAAAACCTTTCATTTCACTCTTTGAGATTTTATTTGCCTAAAAGGTAAATTCTGTTTACACTGTTGGTCATTTGGTTAGCATTATTTATTGTCTGCTTCAGGAAGGGCACAGTTTGATTCCTGAAAAGTCATACAGACAGTAGGGCAAGGATAAAATGAGATTCAGAGCAACTGAATATCTGATGTCTTTGCAATAGGAAAGCATCATGAGCTTCCTGAGCATTTCTTCAAGGGAATTACATAGTGTCAGAGTAGGAAGAGATTCACGTCTGAGTTAACAAAGGAGAATCCCAAGACCTGAAGCATTGTCCCATTTCTGGCCCTTTAAATATACCTGGACTCCTACAAGACAACATATCAGGCACATAAGAACCGGTTTGCATAGACTCAGCTGGTCCAGCCTCAACTGTTCCAATTCCAGATCTTTGCCTAGGACCCGTGCTTGATCGCTTTTGACCTGCTGATGCTTCTTGACCTACTGCTGCTTCCCTGGCTCTGTACTCAAACTCTTCACACAATGTCTTTGATTAATTACTGTGCTTGATTTAGGAGAAAACAGAGTCTGGTGTCTTGGATTTCCCAGCCAGACCAATATCACTCACTGAGTGTAACCCCCTCCTTCCACCACGGCTTATTCACTGAGAAGAGACTTGCTAAAGACTTAGAAAGAGAAAGTTGATGGTAAAACTGCACCCAGAATCAGGGCAAATCATTCTGCAAATATTAAGTTCTTCCCTTCCTCAAGACTGAAACAACTTAGCAAAAAAAAAAAAAAAAAAAAATTCTGCAAGTTAACAACTTTCCTACTATTTGTAGGAGAAGGAAAGATCTCTCTAGTTCAGTAATATTTTGAAATACCAGGAGTTTTCAAGGTGCAAATCACTACACTTATATTTACTTACAGTGTAGAACCTACAAAAGAAAGATAAACAGCATAATACAACTCTAAGTAAACAACGACAACAAAAAAAGTAAGCTCACATTCTATCCACCCCTATCTCCACCATTGTCACCACCACCATTCAATTAAACACTAACGCTTTTTAAAAATCATACCTGCTCTCCAGGATCTTACAATTTTACTTGAAATGATAAGTGTAAAAACTAGAGATAAACTAATTCTCATAAGTTATTTTCAAGAATCACTTAATTCTTTAACTTTTTAAGCTCTTGTTAAAAGCATTAAAATTCTAATTCTTTTCAAATGTATTTGGAGCATCTAAGATCAACACACCATATTATTTTGGTCAATTTAGTCCACCAGCAAAAAAGCAAAGTAGTCAAACCACTGATTTAGAATTGTGCGGGTGCCGCCAAAAAAGTAAAGCAAACCGATTATATAAGGTTGTGTAGATGCTGCCAAAAAAGTCATCACCAAAATTGCCCACTTTTCATGATTGTACAAACACAGGCTTATTGAGAAAGTCCATCAACAATGATTTAAAAAAAAAAAAAGAACTTCTGTCTCTCTCCTGCTTTGTACTGTAGGGTCGGTTACTAAGAATCTCAGATGAGTAGAGAAAGAACTATTAAAAAATTGAATTCCTGTCTACACAATGCCAAAACATCTAGTAAGTCTGGTTAAAAAAAAAATGTCAATCCAGATGTTTGGCACTGCATAGACAAAACATCCAGATGACTGGCTGAACTTGTGAATAAACTGCTGAAATGCACCAGATGTTCTGGATTCTTAGGGCTTCAAGGCCTAGCAGTCCTTGGGGACATCAGGAGAAAGCAAATGTCCCCACTGGACCTTCACCTCCTGTATGCCTTCCCTGGAAACTGCAACGGGTGTGAGCAGGGTTTAAATTAAAAACGTCAACAACCACCTTAGAAAAACCAAGTGAAAAGTACAAGAAGGACATAATGTGATATCTATCTGAAATACACGTTTTGGGAAGTCACTGAGTCACACTGATCTTGAGACGTTGTGGTTGCACTTTTAAAGATTTTTTTGCCCCTCAAGACTTTCTCTTTCAGCCCAAGCTCTGGCCTGCCCTTTTCCAACCCAGGGTGCTGTGGATTTTTTTCTAGGCAGCCGTTGAAGCTGAAATGTAGAGCCTTCTCTTTCCCCATCATTTTTCCTCGTCATTGCTCCTTTCTTCATACCTCATTTTATGGCTTTCCTTTCCTACCATGTGCAAAGTAAGAAAGGGAGCATAACAATCATGCCAAGGATTCTTCTGGTACAGCAGAGAAATGGGCACTCCTGGCAGAAAAGGCTCAGTGCTGGCAATGGCCGGCCAAGCAGGAAGGAACAGCAGGCACGCGGTACAGAGATCCAGGCACAAGGAACAGAGACATTGCAGGATGCTGCCCCACCCCGAGGACACCCGAGGGGCTGGCGACCAACGGGGCTCAGAGCAGCACTTAGGAGGATGTTAATTGACAGGGTGGGACGGAACCACAGAACCCGGAGTCTCCTCCAGCCAATTTGTCTAAAATGGCGCTTGCAGGAAACTGAGGGCAACAGAAAAGAAAAAAAATCTCAAAAAACACCATGTGATTACTAAGCTCCCAACTGTATTTAAAAAACAGCTTTGGCTTCCGGCAGAAAGTTCTGCTATGCATTTAATCTGTTATATAATTTTTGTTTTCAGAAAGGGGTTTGTTTTGTTTCTTTTTTAAAATGTCATTAAAAGATTTCCTTTGTGTCAGTATTTTCTGGGCCTTCCCTGGGACAATTTATGCTGTTTTGTAAAAAAAGGAAAGAAAATAAAATAAAATAAAGAGAGAGAAAGAAATGAAACGAAAAGAAAAGAAAAGAATAGAGAGAAAAGAAGGAAGGAAGGGAGGAAGGGAGGGATGAGAGGAGGGAAAGAAGGAAAAGAAAGGGCAAAGACAGACTTATTAAAACAGTCTTTCTACTGCCACTGGAGAGGGACTTGACTCATTAGGATACAATTAATAGGATATGGGAAATGATGTGGGAAGGAAAATAGAAAAAGAAATAATTCCTCATTTTCCTCATGAAGTTGGTCCCAGTGTTTGCTGGGAGGAAGCAAATCAGAATACTAACTGGAAAGTTAAAGGAACATCAGCTGCAGTCCCACCTCAACCCCAAGACAGACGGGACACACCCCGGTTTCACTAATACTAAAAGATGGCAGAGACAGGCAGGAAAATTTAAATACAAAAATATAGAGTATTATTTTCCTCTCTTTGGATTAAAAAAAAATCCCTTCTCCTATTTCTAACCACCCCCCACCCATGTCTTCCTTTCCCCTCCCCTTACCCTCTCCTCTCTCAGGGATTGGCTTTATTTAAAAAACTATATTTCTGCCCAGGCACTCAAAAATGCTGAGTGCCTGAAGCAAAGTAGTAGAATAAGCATGTTTCTTACTGTTTCTTGGCAACTCTGAGGCCCAAGACCTGCTTCCAATTAGAGATCATGTGGCTTCAGTTTAGTATTATCATGAAAATGAAATTACCACTTTAGAAAAGTCAAGTTATTTTGGAAGTGAAAACTGCAGGTCAGAGCCCACCAAAATTCCAAAAAATTTGCTCAAGAAACATCTTGTTGAAGGGTCAAAAAGGCCTGGCTGATAAACATCCTGGGGTTGTGACTTGCACCATTCCTCCAGTGGGCCTCCCTGAGCCCTATTGTGAAGGTCAAGCTCATCGTCTTGCAAGAAAAGGCATCCTTCTGATGGTAGGTCCAAGCTCACCCTGCTTGCAGGGAGACAGCGCCAGCTTCTCAGCTCCTCTTGCCATGCTTGAGCTGCTGATCTTGACGACTCTCCCAGCTGGTACATACCTACCTTAGCTAGCTTTTTCTCTCTACTAAGGTTTATATCTTCCCTCCCCAACAAGATTGTAAATTCCTGAGAGCAAGGCCCATGTCTTTCCTTTTTTGTAGTTACATAAATTCTTAGAATAGGAAGGAATCTCGTCCAATCACTTAATTTGAAAGATAAGGCATATTAACTAGTTTCTGGCAGAAACATCGTTAGGGCTAAGGCCTCTGGCTATATCAGGATCCTCCCTGAGCCCACAGATTGCCTTACCACCAGGATGAGCTTGAGATGCTTTATTGACTAGACATGGAAAACCTTGTATACCAACACAGTGGTTAAGACCCTAGAGATTCAGCAGCACAAGGTTCAATCCCTGGGGCCTCCACTAACTACCTCTGTGATTTGAGACAAATTGCTTTACTTATTTGAGCCTTCATTTATTCATCTGTAAAACTGGGAAAATATAAATATCTACCTTGTTGGTTTACTGAGGATTAAACAAGAGAATGTATGGAAAGTACTTAGTCCATGTGCCTACAGTTGGTAAGCACCAAATAAATAGTTATTGTTTTGTTATCATTATTATTACTATTATTATTATTATTATTTGGAATGTGTTTGATAGAACCCAAACACGGGTGTGTGTGTGTGTCTGTGTGTGTGCATGTGCGTGTGTGTGTGTGTTTTATAGAAAGCTCCACAGCACGTCCTGTGAAAACATGGGTTTGTTTAGAGGAAATGGCCTGTGTCAGCTTTCTGGAACCATCTCTGTGTCAGCTTTCTGGAACAATCTCTGTTATTATGAAATTCCAGGAACTGGAATAAAATAGCAAGGGAATGGGGGAGAGAGCCAATGGGTTCTTCACAATGCAACTTGAACCAACCAGCTAGCAGGTCAATAATTTGTTGAACACACATTGTGTATCAGGCACTGTCAGATGCTTTAGGAAATTCAGGAAATGTTAAACACAGGCTCTTCAAATGTGCACACTCTAGTTACAGATACAGGGTGAATGGAAAGAGAACTAAAATTCCAGCTATGTGTAATGTGTCTCATGGGATCTATTGACAAGTGCTAGAGAAGTTCAGAAGAAATAGAGATGGCTTCCAGGTGGTGTGGGCAAGGAAGATGTCATAGAGAGGGTGAAACTTCAGGTGGATCTTGAAGGACTGGGAAGACTCAACCATGTAAAGATGAGAAAGCAGTGTTCCTCATGCTAAGGGAAAAGTCTGTGCAAAGGTCCAGATGTGGAAATTTCAATGTGCATTTAAAAGCAGTGAGACCAGACTGGCTAAAGGTAACAGTACATCTATAGGCTTAGGGAACATAAGAGTAGAAGAGTTTCTTGGAAATATACTATGAAGTGCTTTGAATGCTTTGCTTATTACAGGACCTCAGTATGGTTGTGCATAGAATGGTGCACCTTAGCATTTTGCAGTGTACAACCTAAACAATTGTACTTAGCAGTTTGGCTAACTCTTTGGAATTCATCCTGCAGGTAGCCATGAGGCACTGAAGGTTTTTGAGTAAGATGTCAAGATTTGATTTTTATATAGGATGTTGGGGACCATGCACTCAACTTGGAAGAGTTTTGGAAATGAGCAAGTCAAAAATAACTCACCACCAATTTGGGGGTGGGAAAGGAGAGAAACTGTGGTGCTTTAAAGCCCTGGCTTTTGGCATTCACAGTCTGAATACCTTTGGAGTCTGAGGAATCATAATCCAAATTAACAGCTTCTGAGCTGACTGGAGGCAAAAAAAAAAAAAACCAAAGAAACAAAAAAAAACCTTTAGAGTAAAACATATCATAGTTGACTAACCTTTATTACTGTGGGCTGTTCTAAAATTCTCCTTATCTAATGGCACAATTTCTAAGGGGGCTTAGGGGAGAAGTGGCAGGCTGTGGGGCTTCGAGGAGGGCAGAAGGAACCATGGTACTATCTAAAACTCTTCAGAGAGGCAGGAAATGAAGGAGCAGGTAGTTGAGAGGAGGATTGGGTCACAATTACTCCATTTTCTTTTTTGCCGTCTTTGAGAACAATTGTTCTGTGGCCTACATCAAAAATAGAGACCAATCCATAACTGTGCCAAGAAAAACTCCCCTGGATATAACATAACACTGAGTCTAACATGAGGTGGTGGGGGACAAGGAGGGAGTGTATCACAAAAGAAAACAATGGTGTGTGGTCCTCCTCACACACTCTGGCAATTGATGGGTAACTTTTGGTTTCACAGGTTCCTGCCAGTCCAATTGAACCCTTAGCCTTTACTCAACATCCAGGATGACCTGAGGCTCCCAGCCACACCTAGCTCCAGGGTCCACACACATCATGGCTCCCACTGAACCCCAGGGAAGACTGAAACTCAAAGGAGACCAGAGAGTTTCTGCAAGCTGGAAAGGTGTGAAACAGATGCTGGGGTGGAGGGTGCCAGAGGATGGGGATAGACATATGCAAGTTTCTGCCACCAACTTGTGGATTCAAGTTTGAGCCCTCATTTGCAAGTATCTGTGTAAAAGACTCCATTTCCCATGACCTCAATGGAACATGACTTGGCTGGCTGGACAAAGCATCCTGAGGAGAAAAGCAGCTTGCCCGGGATGTCACAGGAAACTTACAGGAGCCCTAAATGAGCCCCACTGCTCAAAGGCAGGAGGACTGTGTGGAGGGAAGGGATCCCCCAGCCACACCAAGAAAGCCTCTTCAGACCCTGAGAAAGAAGAGATAGGAAGGGAGAGCACAAGGTGGAGCATGTCTCTTCCACACACTCGAGGGCAACAGGACCAGGGTCCCCACCTCACCACTCCCCCATCTACCACACTCAGACACACCTGGGAAGTGCGAGCTGTTCTCTCGGAGAGACAGACCCAGGCAAAGCCCTGCTGACCCTGCAGCTTTCCCATCCTGGAGCCTGCCTAGCCCAGGGCAGACCCCTAACCACCCAGCCGCAAGGTGTGCCTCGGGACAGAAACAACGACCCGGGATTGCTGACAGGCAGACCAGCATCAGCGACCCAGAGCGAGGTTCTGGACAGCTGGCATTCTGCTCCACAGCTACCAACTGGGACAGCAGTGGGGATTAGTTGCATTTAACTGTTTTCTTTCATTTCTTTTAAGTGCTGCTTGGCTCATTTCAACCAGGGGCTCCTGAAGGATTGCAGAGCACTGCAGAGGCACTCCGTGTGCTGAAACAGCTGAATCACAAGAGGAGTTCCCTGAGACTCTTGCAGCTGGTCAACACTGCTCAAGGGACACACAACACGTTCCCAACTCCCTCTTTCCTTGCTTTTTTCTCATAACACAGGTGTGTATGCTCGTATGCATATCTGTGTGTATAGATGCAAATGTAGATATATAATATATAAAATCTTACAACACAACACAGTATAACATAGTAAGAGATAATATCATACAATATAATATCCTTATATACCACCATTGAGATCAAGACCCTCGATCTCAACCAACTTGTGGACAACAGTCCGTTTTACCAACCCCAGTTTGCTGGAAGTCAGTTCAGAGCAAGGTTGCTCTGAGATCTGTGCCCCTACCATCATTCTCTGAGGAAATACCAGTTGTACTTCCCATCAGTGCTCCAAATGTTCTTTGTGGGTAGATTTTTTTTTTCTCACTTCACAAAAACAGAAGCTTCCAGGTTACATGTACAGCCAATCATCAATAGGCTCCCCAGCTTGGGTAAACAGTTCATCCCAGATCACGTCTTCTGTTCAGCAAAAGCGGGCTCACACTTGCAGATGGCAGAAGAGTCTCCTCTAAGTGCCACAGGCCCTTCTGCCTCCCTTTTTAACCCCCTATTTGCCTCCTCATCTTCTCCTGCTGCTAATGTTATAAGAATGAGCTGTTCTCAATGAGAACACATGGACACAGGGAGGGGAACATCACACACTGGGACCTGTCGGGGGTAGGGGGCAAGGGGAGGAAGAGCATTAGGACCAATACCTAATGCATGCGGGGCTTAAAACCAAGATGACGGGTTGATAGGTGCAGCAAACCACCATGACACATGTATACTTAAAGTAAAATAATAAAATAAAATAAGAATGAGCTGTTCTCCCACAGTCTCACCTCCACCCATGTCTAGATGTTGATCCCTAACTCTCCTTGTACAATAAAGAAGTAAAATTCTGCCAAAAGTGCTCAAATATCTCTGGGCATTCAAATCATCCATTCAGGCCACAAAATCTGAATTTGTGGATCACCCAAGCCATCACCATCACACCTAAGTCACCTCCATCTCCTATTGCGACTACAACTCCTGATGGGCTCAATGCTACATGTGCCTGCGTCAAATTTCTTCAAGAGATCTCCCGTTTATTCATTCATTTGCAAATGTTTGTTGAACAGGCACGAAGAGCCAGGCGCTGGGCCAGCCGTGGTGGCTCACATCTGTAATCCCAGCACTTTGGGAGGCAGAAGCTGGCAGATCAATTGAGGTCAGGAGTTCAAGACCAACCTGGCCAAAATGGTGAAACCCCATCTCTACTAAAAACACAAAAATTAGCCAGGCATGGTGATGAGTGCCTGTAATCACAGCTACTCGGGAAGCTGAGGCAGAATTGCTTGAACCTGGGAGGTGGAGGTTGCAGTGAGCCGAACTCCTGCCTGGGCAACAAGAGCAAAACTGTCACCAAAAAAAAAAAAAAAAAAAAAAAAAAAAAGCAAGGCGCTGTTTGTCCTAGGCCTTGGGATCAGGCCAGTGAGTAAAACTGGCAAAGACCCTGCCCTCCTGAATCTTACATTCTGATGGGGGAGAAAGATAATAAACAAATGCTGCATAATAGAGGCTGATGAGTGCAAAAGATAAAAATAGAACCAGTGAAGAAGATAGAGAAGGACCCAGTGGGTAGCACTTCAGATGTTAAGGGGCTGGTCAGAAAAGCCTCTCTGAAGGGGAGACCCTGGCGGGGGGTTGCAGTGCAATGTGAGAGCATGGCATGAGGGTATCGTTCACCTAGGAAAACACAACCCTCAATTCTCCTTGGCAGCGGAAGGCAGTCATACAAATTAAACTCCCTTTATTATTGCAGCAGGGAACATCGATCACATGCTTTTACACCCGTCAATGCATTTGCTTCTCACAACTCCATGGGGTATGATTCACATTTTAAAATGCTGCAACAGAAGCCTCAAGAGGGGAAAGGACTACCCAAGGCCATTCAGAGAAAACCCAGTGGCAGAGCTAGATTGGAATCCAGATCTTCTCACGACCAGCCAAGCACTTCCTAGGAGAATAGATCATTTTAAACAGTCTTAACCTCGGGTATATTTTGCTTAAGACTTCCATCAGAGGTATGTGCCTCAGAACTGACAAAAGTCTGCTCAGGTATATGTCACTGTCTGTGCGGCCCTCATTCCCTTCCAGCGTGACCTAAAACTGCTGCATGGTTACAAATGGGCTAATGAGTTACTGAATTACCATAAGTATCCTACTCTTTGGTAAATAGGAGCTGGCTGTCGTCAATCAAAAACCCAACAGAAAGGAAATAAAGAGCAGCATATGCACACTATCTGTACTACATTTGCTAAAACTACCAGTCCTATGTAACTTTGGACACATCTTTTTCCATCTTTGACCTTAGTTTCCTCTTTTGTAAAAAGAACATTTTAAATTAGGTGATCACTAAGTTTCTTTTCGCTTCTGGCATCCTACAATTCTATGCAAACATATAGATTTGAGTAAGGACCCTAAGCAAGCCCTTTGGTGATGGGCCACATTGTACCTGGCTAGAGAGACTTTCCTGGCTAGAGACACTACCGTCCATGATTCATTTTCCCAACAGAGATGCTCTTCCCAGGCTAAAGCACTTCCTAAGATTTTCTGAGGTAAAGGATGAAGTATGTTGATTTTTTTCTAAATCAGTGTTCGTTGTTGATTGGAAAACTGAGGGAAGGTAAAGCCTTTGGGGATGAGGATGAGAATAAAAGGGAGGAGCAAGAAGGGGGCAGAAAACAAGAAAAGGAGAAGAAAGAAAGATAAGGTAAAGAAAAGAAGATAGAAGTGGTGGTGGTGGGTGATAGAGGGGTAGGAGCAGGGACAGGAGATGTCCTAGAAAAGTGTTTCCCAAGCTTTGTGATTTGCTTCTTGTATAAGGCACGTAGGCTTCATTAATAAGAAAGTTTGTGTGTGTGTGTGTATTCTGAAGTGTGTATTAATCATACTGGCGATGAGCAGATGAAATCAATGATTCCCCCAACTTCCTCTGAAATCTACTGGAGAAACCACATATATGATGTTTCCTCAAACTGCCGCTCATATTCATCCTTCGTGCAGTGGATTTATTAAGGTTTCCAGGACAGTTTCCTATTATGATCACTCCTCACTCTGGGATGCACCCCCAAATTCTCTTTTCTTATCCAACCCCATGACTGGTTTCTCCTGCTCTCCTGGAGGAGCAAGTTTCATGTCATCCCCTTAGCTAGCTTCAGCCAGGGAAAACTTTCACGTCTCAGCTTTCACACTTTTTCTGTAAGTGTTCTCTATGAAGCAAAAAAACACTGTTTTTCCTCTGCTTTCACACTACACCATCAACACAGAAGGCTTCTGTGACCAAATGTGTCCAAGTTTTTCCCCACAAATTAAGCAAACAATCAATTCTGCAGCAGACACCAGCTGGGTGTCCTCGAATTCAATTCAATCCTGACACCATCTACCTGGAAGTAGCATCAGATCCCGCAAGTTGAGGGTTCAGCCCCACAAGACTGCCTCCCCCAACTTCAGACACCAATCTCAATTAATAAGTTGTCACCTATACTTCTATCTGATCAGTTATAAATTGGGGACCCCATGACCCCCTTTTGGGATTTGATTAATTTGCTAGAGCAGCTCACAGAACTCAGAGAAACAGTTGGTTACATTTACCAGTGTATCATAAAGGATATTACAAAGAATACAATGAAGAGGTGCATAGGGCAAGGTGTGGGGGAAGGGACATGGAGCTTCCATACCCACCCTGGGTGCACTGCCCTCCAGGAACCCCCATGTGTTCAGTTATCCAGAAGCACCTGGAACTCAGTCCTTTTGGGTTTCTATGGAAGCTTCATTACAAAGGCATGATTGATTATAACATAGGCCATTGATGATCAATTCAACTTTCATCCCTTTTCTCCTTCCCAGAGGCTGGTGGGTGGGGCTGAAAGTCCCAACTCTCTAATCCTGCCTTGGTCTTTCCTGTGACTAGTTCCCATCCTGAAGCTACCTAAGGACCCCCAGCCACCAGTTATCTCATTAGCATACAGAAGGACACATCACTTGGGAGAGTCCCTGGATTTTAGGAGTTATATCCCAGGAAACAGGAGGAAGACCAAATACATATTTCACAATATCACATTTGTTATTCCACTTTCTTCCTTCTGGTTCCTTTTCCTGCTGTGGTCTTTTTACTCATTTTTCTAGGTGCACCTTTACCTGCACCTAGAGCATTCCAGTACTACAGAAATAATCTTCAGATTGGCTGTGTATACCTCTATGGGGAACCAAAGACTTTCCAGAGGGATACACAAATGTGAATAAATTGGGAATCATTTTCCAGATCCTTGACTCCAGAAATGCTCTTGAACTTGTTCCCCGACCAGCCTGCCATTCTGCCTCTGCACTTCCCTTTCACAGACAACATTTTCCCTACTTGACAAAACATGGCATATTTCTTGCCCACTCAGATCTTGCTTTGGAACATTACTTTGGTGAGTATAAATCTCTAGGATACCAAACAAGGGGACAATTCAATAATGCATGGCTCCTGAAAGGGACCCCTTGACAATGAAACAACGAGGTCTTTAGTAAGAATTATTGAAGGGCCAGAACCTTATTTCTTCCACAAAAAAAAAGCAATTAATGGCATAGCTCTGTGCCTTTAACTGCGTATCTATCTACCTGTCTGTGAGTTAGGAATGGATGGTTGCCATAGGTTTGCACCAATTTGAGTTGAAAATTTAAGTCAGATTTTTTTTCTGGAAAAAAAAAAAACAAATAAGACTGTGTGAACTGCCTTTGCCAAAGTGATTTTATATGACTGGACATTTTCAAAAACTGAATGAGTTCTAAGGTTATGACAAAAATATTTAAAGCACATACACAATATGTCATAAATTACAAAATTTGCAACTAGTAAACTTGTAATGAAAAACTTTTAGATGTTGTGATAGATTGTATTTTTGTTTCTATTTGCTGCCATCCTCATACTAAAACTATACTTGGGTCAGGTTTGCTCATATGATCTTCTTCTGCCCGTTGAATGTGAGCCATAGCTGCATGGAAGTTTTAAGAATGATCACATGGTTCTGGCAGAGCTATATTATCTCTTTAAAAAATTATAAACAATTTTCCATGAAGTGCTTATTTCATACTGCATGCCTGTGTCAAAACATCTCATATACTCCATAAATATATATACCTACTCTGTACCCAATAAAAATATAAACAAACAAAAAAAAATGCGTGTCCCAAACAGCAGGTGCTTCTTCCATGTGGATCCTGGAAAAAAGAATCCATGTGGAGCAGAATCACAGCCAAAGTATCAAGTAAGCAAGAAATAAGACTTTGTTGTTATAAATCTAGATTATATTTTATATATTATATGCTTAATTTTATATATTATATGCTTAATTTTATATATTATATGCTTAATTTTTATATTATATGCTGTTATACAAAAACATTACCTAATTAAAACTGACTAATATATCTGAGAGGCTAAATACCTTTTTAAGTTTTATTTAAAGAGTATGAGGGCAAATATATTACAGCCTAACATTTTAGATCAATGATCAATTCCCATTATATAAGCCACCTTTTATCCATTCTCCAGGCTTATTAATCAAATATTAGATGTGAGCCCTAGAGATACAGAAGAACACATACTCCTCAGTCTCAAGGAAATTACAGTCTGATACAGTAGAGACATACAAGCAACATACCTCACTGCCTGGTGAGGATGACCATGGATATGGATCCAGAGAACAGAGAAGGGAATGATCACATTTATATAAGGTAGAAAACACTGAGGAAGAATTACTGGAGGAGATGTAGTAGGGAAGGACATTTCAGTTACACACAAGTGCATATATAAATTCCTAAAGATTTAAAGAGACATGGTATGTTACAGAACTAGAAACATCTGATATTGCTGGCATCCACTTTTCAAAAGCAGTGGTGGGAGATATAGGCTGTAGCAGACAGATCCTAGATCCCTGCCTCCTGGTGTTCATGACCTAGTATATCCCTCTCCCTTTGGGAGTGGGATGGATCTATCACTTACTTCTAATCAATACAATATGGCAAAAGTGATGATATGTTCCTCCCATGATTCAATTACATAAGACTCCTAGAAGACTAGCCTGGAATCTCTTTCCCTTGCTGGCTGTGAGAAAGAAAGCTGCCATAAAGTAAGTGGAAGCTCATAGTGCAAGAAACTGCAGGAGGCCTCTGGTAGCCAAGGATGGCCTCAGTCCTGCCACACAAGGAAATAAGCTCTGCCAAAAATCTAAATAAATGTAGAGATGAGTTCCTCCCCAGATGAGCTTCTGATGAGACCACAGCCCTGGCCAATAGCTTGATTGCAGCTTGGTGAGCCCCTGAAGTTTACAACCAAGCTTAGTTTTTCCCCAGGCTCCTGACCCATAGAAACTGTGAGATAATAAATGTGAGTTGTTTTAAGTCATTACTTCATGGTAATTTCTTACACAGCAATAGAAAACTAAAAGACATCTAGAGCCGTGGGAAGGGGCTGTGCTAAAGAGCTCAGCTGGGAACCTTGGAAAGAACTCTGAAGGAAATGATTAAAGTAAGATTGGTAGAACTTTGACCTTTATCATTCTTGTATGCCTAATATGCTGACTACACTTAGTACTTTGATGAATGGGTGAATGGCCACCCAAGAAGTTTTCATGGAAAAGTCAGATGTGAGCAGGTTCTGAAGGAGGGCAACAGTTAGATAAGTACTGAGGAGCAGAGAACTTTCCTGTGGGGAGAAGCAGAGTGCCAGAGGTGTGGCAATGGAGTAGGGGTCCAGGAAACATAAAGAAGACCTATCGGTTAAAGAGAAGGGTGGGAGAATATAAATAAATAGTAAAAAGATGGATGGGAAAATTGGTTGGGGCCAATTTTTTACCTCAAAATCCTTAAGATCAATGTCCTGTCAAGCTCTTATGTTCTTAGCCCATCCATGATTACATCACTCCTTATTTACCATCTTTTGATAGCTTCCTATTATCTTTGGTATTAAATCAATACTTCTTCCCAACACCTACAAGCATCACCTGATGCAGCATATCTCTCTTGACTCAACACATATCCCCAAGACCCCTAATACTCTGGGCTCATTTTCTCAGAACACCCAAATTCTCCTGTCCTCCTGCCCTTGGGTCCTTCACACAAGCCAGGAGGGGTTGACAGAGTAAGGTGAAGGCACATTCCCGGCAGGACTTCCCCAAACTCTCTGCACCCCAGTTTGGAGTCCTTCTTTGTCATATGCTCTCATGACACCTGACTGCTTCATGGCCCGTACTATACTTGTAAATACAACCCCGGGGATGAGTTGTTGAGTATCTGTGGATCTCATTAGGACATACGAGACCTAGGCTGTGTTGCTCACCATCACATTCCCCAGAGCCAGCATAGTGCCTGTCACAGAGCTGGCACTCAATAAATATTGCCCCAGTGAGTGTATGGATCTATGGGTCCACTCTCTGCTGGAGTTTAACCCAGTATAGGTGACAAGAATTGAAGCTTGAAACTGATGCTTCTACCACTCACTTTGTGCTGGGCTTTGTACCCAGAACACGAGATGAAGCCATGTCACAGCAGCTTTCTACTCACCTGCCGGGGACAGAGGGGCCACTAGACACAAGGACACACCATGAACTGACAGTGCATAGAATGCTTTTACAGTCATCCCTCAACACGAGGTGAGGAAAGTCACAGGACAACTAAATCATACCCACTTCTAACAATTCCATTTCTTATTACTCTCAGAAAAGCAGTGTAAAAAAAGAATAAGGTCTGGCTTGCATCTTTGCATACTATAACTGCATAATGCTTTTATTGGCAAGATGTCACAACAAACTTATGTATTTGGTTTTTTAAAATCACCATTGATAGATAAGACACCAGGAGATTTTGACATGCGTAGGGTCACATGGCAAATTAACAGTGGAACTAAGGTTCAAGCTAAAAACCACAGGAGAGTCAACATATTTATTGAATATGCTTTGTTCAACTGTGAGCTCTTGGGTTACATCTGGTGACTTCATTCCAATTGTATGTAGACTGAGAGAAACCCCAGTCTGACAGAGGACGTATTAATTAGAATGTAAGAGGATTTAGAACGTTCTAGGGTTGATGCCAAATTCGGTGTGAGGACAGGCAGTGAGTTAAGAGGAAATGAATGGCTGAGAGGGGCGGCCTTTTTGAGAGAGAGAACAGGGGAAAGGAGACAGTTGGTAGAACTCAGCCTGAGATGCAGGGACTGCCAAAGAGGTCCTGGTGCAGGGAGAAGTGGGTCAATGTTTGGTGCTTTTAGAAACTCAGAAGAAAAGTGGTTTAAAAATGGGGCCACTACAGGCACCTGTAGTCCCAGCTACCCAGGAGGCTGAGGCAGAAGAATGGCGTGAACCGAGGAGGCAGAGCTTGCAGTGAGCTGAGATCATGCCACTGCACTCCAGCCTGGGCGACAGAGCGAGACTCCGTCTCAAAAAAATAAAAAAATAAATAAATAAATAAAATTTAAAAAAAATGGGGCCACTAGACTGGATTTAATCCTGACTTTAGGGCTTTCTTTCTGGGCAACCTCAGAAAAGTGACTAAATCTAGTTAACTAGTACCTACCTCGTGGGGTTATTACAAACATTAAACAGAGTAATTCAAATAAAGCAGAGATGGAACGCTACAGATGCTCCTTGACTAACAATGGAGTTACCTCCCAATAAACCCATTGTAAGCATTGTAAGTTGAAAATGCATCTAATACACCTAACCTACCAAATGTCACAGCTAAGCCAACCCTACCTTAAACATGCTCAGCACATTTACATTAGCTTACAGTTGGGTAAAATCAGTTAATGTAAGCCTGTTTTATATTTAGGAGTTGAATAACTCAGGTAAGACTATACCACAGAGTACAGTATTGGCTGTTTACCCTCATGGTCGTGTGGCTGACTGCAAGCTGCAACTTACTGCTGCTGCCAGGCATCACAAAAGAACCTCATATGGCATATTGCTAGGCCAGAAAGAGCAAAATTAAAAATTCAAAGTCTGGTTTCTAGTAAGTGTGTATTGCTTTTGCACCATTACAAAGTAGAAAAGAAATCATAAGTTGAACCATTGTAAAACGGGGATCCATCTGCACAGCCTGCAGATCAAATTGAGTCCACTCCTTGCTTTTCATAAATAAAGTTTTATTGGAACACAGCCGCGCCCATTTGTTTGCATATTTATCTATGGCTATTTTTACATCAGTGGCAGAGTTGAGTAGCTGCAACAGACAGCTCATGGCCTGCCAAACTGAACATATTTACTATCTGACCCTTTCCAGAAAAGTCTGTGACCCTTACTCTAACCCAATTAATACACATTTAGTAAAATACATTAGCATGTAGCCTGGAACAAAGTAAGTGCTCAATAAGCATTAGTTCTTATTATCTAATCCCATGCCGTCAGATGTAGGACCAGGTTAGGTAAGTGATTTGCCCAGGAATGCTAAGCTAGGTAGTAGAAAAGAAACAGGGCTTAAGAAAGAGGATTAGGTGCCAAGCCTGGTCTATCAGAAGACCTAATCCAAGCATAGTGTGTGCAAAGGACACAGGAAGTTCAATTCAAGGAAATCTGCATGTCAAATCCAGTGTCTTGTGAATTGAACTGGATAGAGAAGCAAATTTTATTGTAATCAAGAATAAAAAGGCTATGGACAGAAACTTTCCTAAGATGTATTTCCTTGATAAGAAAATCCAGGAAGAGAGGCCTGGAGAGAAAAGTTTTCAGAAAGGATGGCTGTGGCAAGTTACCCTAGAGTGATAAAAACCAGTTAGCAAATGTTCATCTATAAATTTGGGAACTGTCCAGTCATTGCAGGTCATGATTTACATACCAGGAAACTAGATTTAAAACGTTCTATTTAATTTGTGTTTTGTAACCCTGAAAATACAATCCAGAATATAAATAATGAAAATAAGCATAGACAGGTCAATGATACCTTTGTACAATCAAATTATCATTTAGGTGTGTCTGAGGTGGAGGTGGTTATTGTATGTAAGAAGTTATATCAGGAGTTCTTGAGTAAGCATGCAATTTTAACATGAAACAGCCAAACTAGAGACAAAAATAATTCTTGCTACTAGTTGTTTTTGTTTTGTTTTGCTTTTGCTCACCCAGTGGCGTCTAACATAGGGATGGCAAATACTATCCATGTAAATACTTGTTATATGTACTTCCACTTCTCTACCCAGAGTAGACATTACTAACCGTTCTTGGCACATTTTCTCACTGATCCAGACTGCTTCAGAAGTCTCCGGAGTGTCATGCTGTATGAATCTATTATGTAGCATTCAAGATGAAATAAAATTATCATTCCCAGATCCGTGGTACATGGTATCTAATAAGCATCTACTTATTAAATTTTTATTGAATGGTGATGAATAGATAAATGGATTAATGAATGGATGAACAAGTAGGTGATTCAACTGTAGACCTCTCTAAATGCAGCAAACTGTTTTGTTTGTTCATACCATCGATCACAAGAGAAACCAAGTAAGGTGGAGTTGGAGCAGGGTTGGGTATTTACTGGAGACGAACAATTCCAGCTCATGCTTGAAGCCTCGAAGTCATGGTGACAACTACATCTCTAAACACCCGAATACAGGAGAAAATGGCTCTGGAACCCACTTGCTGCGATTGTCCAGAAACAAGAGTTACTACAGTGGAGCCTCATTCATTTGTTTATTCGATAAATCTTCATTTCATCAGTCAGGCTCCCAGCAGGATGTGGATAATGGAGGAAACAGATAACCTCAGATGGAGTCATTTTATGAGTTTAATGAAGAGACTACTACCAAGGATAGCACAGTACCCTGAGGCTAGAAACGGAGGGAGCCATCACCCTCCCTGAGCCCAAGAGGAGCTGCTGTTTCAGTAGAGGGACTCAACCAACCTGTATGCAGGTTTACTCCTGGTTCCTCCATGGGCTGCACGAAAGGGAAGCCGGGGGCGAGGGAGCCCACTGATATAGTTCATAAAAGTCAGCTTCCTGGCCCAACGCAGGGAGGAAGTGTAGCGAGTGGACCTGGAAGGACAAAGTAGATCAACACAAAGCTGGGCAGTAGCATTGAGCAATACCTTGTCCTAGACAGTGAGGGCTCAACAGTGAACAAAACAAACAAGGTCCTTATTCATAGGAAGCTTAGAGTCTAATGGGGGAGGAGAAATGTTGAACTAATTAATATGTTAAAATAAGATGATTTCAAGATATTTTAGAAAACACAAAGCTAGTGGTACATAACAATATTATTTCTATTACATTTTCCTAAATTAAAAAATTAACCATCACCAACAGATAATGCAGATGCCAGGAGACAGCACTTGGCCTAACTGACTGTTTATTCTTAAAAAGGAAACCAGGCACTATTTTCCTATCTTGTCTTTTGATCACATGCTTGCTTCCAAAGTCATTCTCTCTTTGATAGTTTGAGAAAACAAATTTTTGGTTTTGGAACGGGCGCCTTGTTTAATCCTGGTTTCTGCAATCTTGGTAAATCAGGGAGAAAGATATGTCCAGTGGGCAACACAAGAATGTTTTATTTGCGTAAGAAAAAGAAAATAGATTTTTTTTTCTGAGTTGCAGGAATAGAGTTTTGACCATATTTTGGTGTTTAACATCCGTTCATCTCAAAAAACTTTTTTATTTCCAATCTGTTCTTGATTCTATTCAAAGAGAACTATGACATCTCTCTCCATTAATAATATTTTAAAGCTTATTATCCTATAGGCTCTTTCTTAAAGGTTAGGAAAGGAAGCTGCTTTGGCCAGAAGTTTTGGAGGTTTTCTCTGGGGGGGTACCTGAAGGTTGGCAAGTGGGTGGGGGTGGAATAGAGGAAGAGTGTTTATCACCAGGACACCAAGTTCTGATCCCCAAATCAACAAGCCATGCCCCAAGTTAGGAAAACGGAGAAGGGCTGGCTGGACTTCAGAAAGACATGCAAACAAATTTACCATACAGTGGGTTCACGATATTAAATTAAGTATTCAGCAATCACAAATCTTATAACACATTCCAGAACAATCGAGTGTGTGAGAGAGAATGAGACCTCAAACCAGCTGAGCCAGTATTTAAAGCCTTTTTAATTTAACAGAACCCATTTTTTATGGTATCCAGGATATGTTTCTGGCTTTTCAAGCTGTCACATGATCTCTTGTCCAGATGTGAGGGTGTATATCTGGGACTGGACCAGCCAAAAACCGCAGCACTTTCCTTCAGCTTGTAGCTTGTTACTGTAACTCAACCGTACTCCTCTCAGCTACAGAAGCCCCACATTAATATGTGGTACAACAACAATAACACAGGAGGGGATAAAGTTAACCAAAACATTCACATGAATCTGGAAAAGAGGAGAGGCGCGGGGCGGGGCTGGGGTGGAGAAGGAAGGAGAGCCAAGTCAGATAGGTTTATTTGTCAGCTCCACACAACACTGAAAATGAAACCTCCAAGTGTGTGGTGGTCTGAAAACTTCCCTTTTTCTCACCTACTGTGAACAGCTTTTACCCAAGGACAAGACTTCCTGGAGCTTTCTTCAGGAAATTAGCAAATGCCTCTGTTTGGAACGTCAGGTTTCAGGAACCCACAGCAAGGCCAGAAAGTGCCTCAAGAACCACAGAGTGTAGAGCTTCTCCTTCAAAGAAATTTCTGGAAGCCCAGGCCTTCACCACAGAGTGGGCAGAAACAGGAGGGAGAGGGCAACCGCCTGCCTGCCTGACTTTGCACCTTTGCCAATGACCTCTGAGGGACCAGCTCATAAAGCTGCTCAGATGGCTTCTGTCAATCAATCACATTCGTCACGAGGTTTCTTTGTGTATAAAGTGGGGACAGTAATAGAACCTGCCTGGAGGGGATGTTTTTAGGAGTAGAGGAAAGCACTTAGCATCTTCCCTGCCTCAGTGAGTGCTTTCATTCATTCTTGAATCCACAAATATTGACAGAGCACCTACTATGCACCCCTGTTCTAGAGGCCTGGGCTACCTCTCTGAACAAAACAGACAAAGATCCTGACCACAAGGATCTTACTTACATAAGAACAGGGGGAAAAACAATATAATAAACAAGAAAACAAATTCATACCTACAAAGGCAACATGAGCCAAGGCAAAAAGGGGAGAAAAAGCCTGCTCTGGAGACCGCGGCATCCGGAGAGCAGGCGCCATGTAATAAAGTGATAAGGAAGGTGGCTTTTGAATTAATTAAACAAAGCAAACGTCATTTATAATAATCTTGTCTTAATTCACAAAGGACGTCTTTCACCCCAGGGGGCTCTTTCACCCTATGTCTAGCCCTAACAAGTGGCTTCATTAGAACAGATGTGCACAGCCGGATAGTGCTGGGGAGCCTCAGAGGCCTCCCCCATTGAAGATCCTGCTCCCCTTTCTGCCCAGCCCACCTCGGAGGCTCACCAGGCCTAGAACTGCACCTCTGACTGGTCACGAGTTGGAATAAGTGGTCTCTCTTGAACACACATTGTGCAACTGGCTCTGGCCGGCTCACCCTTAAAGCAGAGAGGGTAAGGCAAGGAGAGCTCCATGTCCCCTTTCATGCTATTCTGATTCTCCTCTAAAGGGGCACGAAAGGTGTGAGCCAACAATGTATTAAGGGGAAGCCTTGTATTCTTCTTCGCCTTAACTCCCATCCTTGCAGTGCCACAGAACGGACACCGGAAGAGAATTCTATCCCGGGCCCTTCCACGACACACTCTACTTTCAGGACACTTTTCCTTCTTCCTTCGAGTGTCAATCCTTCCAAATCCTCTGTGCACTGCTCGGTTTGACTTCAGCTCCAGTGGTGAAAGGGAAGATTTATTTCCAAAACGTTCTGTGGAGAGTGTTTCATAGAAGATGTATTGTTTCTAGCAAGATCTTCACCAGGGCTGAGGAAGAGGCAAGAAATCTCCCCCAGAAATAATGCCACATTTCTTGGAAATCATTGACTCTGCAAAAGAAATAAAGAAAAAACCTGTAATCATTTCAGTTAAGTTGTATGCAGGTATCTATATTTTATGTTTAAATACATCTGGGTATGTGATACAATGCACATATACACATGTTAAATCATATAATCTCAGGGTCAGAAGGGTGCTTATAGTAGAATTTCCTCTCTTACTATAATGCACTGTGAATTATGCCTGCATTAAGTGTAACATGGGTTACAGCCAAGGAGAAATATCTACCCAGCTGCAGTCCAGCCAGTCTACTGAAAGTCTGCAGATGGCACCTGACAAAGCCAGGATTTTAATTCACAGCCTGTATTATGACAATTAAATTAATTTCAAATACTTTCATTTAGTTTAAGGTGAGTTTAAAGGCAAAGAAGTTAATAAAAGACTTACAGAGTTTTAGCAGTGGTTCATATCTCTGGCTACACACTAGAATCACCTGAACTGCGGTATTTTTAATTCATACCTATAGAGAGTCTTATTCACAAAGTAATCCAGCATGCATTACGCTAGGTTAATTTTTGCAGCAGTAAAATATTCTGCTTATAATAATGAAAATTTGTGGCAAGAAGCCTCAAGTATAATTAATATAATTTCCCCTCAGTAATGTCTAAAATGAAATCACTCTCCTCTACACTCCATACCCATACTGTGATTTTTTTTTTTTTTGAGTTGGGGTCTAGGCTGGTGTGCAGTGGTGCTGCAATCATGGCTCACTGCAGCCTCAAACTTCTAGGCCCGAGTTTCAGCCTCCCAAGTAGCTGGGAACTACAGGCACACCACCACACCCAGTTAATTTTTCTACTTTTTGTGGAGATAGAGTCTCACTATGTTGGCCAAGCTGGTCTCTTACTCCTGGCCTCAACTCATCCTCCCACCTCAGCCTCCCAAAATGCTGGGGTTATAGGCATGAGCCACCATATTTGGCATGCTCTGATATTTTTTATTGGCCTTTGCAGAGGGCCTTTTGATTCACCTTACTGCAAGAAGGTAAAGTAGTTGAAAGAATCATAGTCTAGTAATCAAGAAACATAGTCTTCTGCTCTGACGCCAATAGCTGTATGCGTCTATGTTTACCTTTCTGGCCTCAGCTTGCTCATCCATAAAATGGGCAGATTGTCCAAGGTGACCTTAAAAACCCTTCTTTTAGAAAGAGAGAATTGAGGTTGTAGAAGGAGTGTGGATTTTGGAGTCAGAGAGATAAGAGTTCTATTCCCAACTCAGTCACTTCCTAAGCAGGCGACCTTGGGCTTGTCTCTGAGTTTCAGAACAGCCATTGGTAGGCATTTATTGGGAAAATGAATTGAGATGTGGAAGCACTTTTGCAAAATAGATGCAATTACATATTCTTTTTAATTCCATTTGATTCCCTTTCTCTCCTCAGACCCCCTCCTCTTACCCTCTGAATTAACAGAGCATTCAAGTAAAGTATGAGTTTCTTTCTTTTTTTTTTTTTTTTTATTGAGATGTAGTCTCACTCTGTTGCCCAGGCTGGGTGCAGTGCCGCGATCTCAGCTCACTGCAAGCTCCACCTTCTGGGTTCACGCCATTCTCCTGACTCAGCCTCCTGAGTAGCTGGGACTACAGGTGCCCACCACCACGCCTGGCTAATTTTTTGTATTTTTTAGTAGAGACAGGGTTTCACCATGTTAACCAGGAAGGTCTCGATCTCCTGACCTTGTGATCCACCCACCTCGGCCTCCCAAAGTGCTGGGATTACAGGCGTGAGCCACCGGGACCAGCCAAGTATGAGTTTCTTAACCAAAGAAACCCATCCAAATGACAAAAGGAAATTTCTACCTTGCACCCTTTTCTGTCCAGTAGAATTATTGTTAGATTCTACCCATGTGACCCAAGAGAAACAGAATTGTCCATGCAATCGGCAGGCTCTCTACATTCAATTCACTTCCCAGAGTTGGTGATTCCCTTTGATGCCTCGCAGGCAGACATTTTAGGCTATGGGAGGGACATTTTGGAGGCAAGCCTTCCATGGAAACCTCCAAATCCCATTCTGTAGTCACCCACTGGCTTTTCCAGTGTTAGATGAATCCTACTTGTCTCAGCCACTTCCTTTAACCTCATCAAGGGCAGGCCCTCAGAGCGGCCATCTTTGGGTAAATCTATTGTTTCAGTCTTTTCGTGGGAGGGAAGAGTCTCTTGTGAGAGAGAAGAAATGAAGCTAACATATTCTTGTCATCCCTGAAAGGCCTTCTAATAGCTTGGGTGTGCTGGGAATTTGTCCAGCCCTCCGTGTGGAGGGCTTTCTACCTTGAATGAAATAATCCACTTGAATAGCCCAGTAAGTAAAATCCAGTGGGAGATAAGCCAAGAATCATTCCTTGCCGCTTTTAGCCAGCTTACAAGTTTGGTGTCTGGATTATTTTGTGAGCCTGGCCATTGGAAAAACATCAAAATCTGACTTGTTCCCTGAATGAATATGACTTGGGATGTGGGGGTGGAAGGGAGAAGAGAAAAATGAACTGGAGCTGTGTGAAATTTGACAGTTTCAGTTCACAGGGGTTTGAGTTAACTTCTTTCAGTTTCAGCTCATGCAGGCTTCCCTCCTTTGGAGAGAAGATTTGACTTTCGGGTTGAAAGAAGCTAAACGGAGCCAAAACCACATTATTTGACGTACTTTCAGGTTGAGTCGAGGAGAAGAAAGAAGTGGAAAGGTTGCCCCAGCCTTATTCCAATTTCTCCTACAAAAACTCGCACCTGGTTTACCTCCAGGGTTCTCTGTTTCCTGGTCGACTTTCCTCCCAGCTAGATTCAAGTTGAATTGTGAACCCAAACCCTTACATATTTAGCTTATCCTGGTGGCCCACTCCCTGAGCTCCAGAAGAGCAGAGCCAGTCTGAGGAGGGACAGGGCCTACCCTGAAAGATCCGTATGCCCCCAATTGTCCCTATTGCCCCTGTTTACCTTTCTAAAATCCCCCATGGGGCCAGGGACACTGATCAGCAAAGAATCTGAAGTTGAATCCCATTCCCGCAACATACTATCTGTGGGGTCTTATGTGGGTTAATCACCAGGTTGTTGACACAAACCTTAATGATTTTTTTAAGTTCTAAAATTTGTCTTATTATAATACGAAAAATCACATTTTCCCCCTTTGTGGTGAAGTCGACATATTTAGTAGAGACTCATTCATCTGTTAGTAGCCCAGTCCCCAGAAAAGTGCTAAGGGGTTTTGGAGGAGTTAATTTCTAACATTAAGAAATGTTTAGAAGAATGGGATGCTGCTAGGACCTTGAAGAGGGTGAGGATCCACAATCTGACCACAGACAGAAGACACCCTCCTACAAATGTACAAAGCTCCCCTGAAAAACAAAAGTCCCCTCACCAGCCGCAAGGACTGCAGCAATCCCTCCCAGTCCTACCCTTGTCTGACTGAGGCCATCATTCAGCCCAGATCACATCTGTCCACTCTGAGGTCTTGGCCTGAGGAAATGGGTCACAGAGGGACCAACAACCCTACTCCATGTTACCTGGCATTTCCAAATAGAAGGATCAAGGGAAAGAAGGAGAGGGAGAAATATATAATCTTCCACATAGGGAGAATAACTGCTTCTAAGGTTGTTTCCATTTCCAAAAATTAATTTGCATATGCCCTGAGAAAATTCCTGCTGCAGGTGGAACTACTTTAGGTAGTGATCACTTATTGGATGGAAAAAGAGAGAGCAGATAGAATCCAGAATAAGAAGAGGACCTCTAATGAATACGGATGGGCCCCAATCAGTAAGACTGTGGTTTACCAGATGTTTTAAGTAACCAGCATGTCCATATTACATAGTTAGAAGAGACTTAGTGAATCCTATCAGGATGGTTTTCGGGGGTTTTTTGTTTGCTTTTTCTCTAGAAGAAAAGCAGCTAAAACTCTCAAAGTCTGACCTGAACTCAGTATTGAATCAAGCTGACCTTTGATGACATAGGTCACAAAAGCTGATTCCACAAGCCACACATGGTAGGCAGCTCTCATATCTCAGATGACTGCAGACAGCCCAGTGGCTGAGCAGCTGAGGCGCACATCCCCACTGTGCAGGTAGGAAGACTCTACCCTGCTACCAGGGCCTGCTAGACCACGGCTGCAGGAAACAAGGGTTTTGGGAGAAGGAGGTAGTTCTAATAAAACACCCTGAGGCACAAATCCAAAACGCTTTTTCGCCTGGATCAAAAGACTCCCTGTTATCAAAGCAAAGGTTGCAGGACTGCCTTTCTCCAAATTCCGTAAATCCCCTGCATCAGTAATTACTAATTATCCCCCAATAGCTAGCTATGCCCTCTCTCTTCCACACTACTAAGATCCATGATTTTTTGTGCGGTGCCTGGATGCCAGATTAAAGACCATATTTCTCAACCTTGTTTGCATTTAAGTGTGACCATGTAACTTAGCCCTTGCCTTTGTGATTGAAGTGGTGTGTATAACTTGCTGGAACTGGTTTAAAAAGCCAGGTTGTGCCCTTTCCTCCTGCCTTTTTCCTGCCCATTGGCTGGAATATAGATATAATGGTTAGCACTCCAGCAGCCATCTGGGACCATGAGATAACCTAGAGAAGTCACACATAATGGACGGCTAAGATTAAAGATGCCTCTACCTCTGACACCATGAAGAGCCATTGGAGCCCTGGACTGACCACCTCCAAACTTCTTGAACATAAGGTGTAAATAAACTTCTATCTGGTTTAAGCTGCTACTCACAGCTAAGCCTAATTGTAATTGATAAATTCGCTCAATAGGTTACGTATTTTCTCCCTTTATTTCCTCTTCCAACAATTTCAATTATTCAGTTAACACAAATTAAAATACTAGCTAGCATTTATAGAGTGCTTCTTGTGGCCAAGCCACTGGTCTAAGTGCTTTATATGAATTAATTTGTCACAACAACATATGAAGTAGGTACTTTTTTCTGTCTGACAATATTTATTTTTATAAAATATTTTTTATATTTTATAAAATATTTTATAAAATGTATGCAATAGCAAAATATAAGAAACCTATATTGGTAGGGGAATAATTAATTGTGTGTGCATGTGTGTATTAAAAGAATTATGCAGTTCTATATATATTGATATAGAAAATTATCCCAGGTATAGAGTTAAGAAAAAAAACCAAAGTATCAAAATGTATTTTTTACAAATCAGAAAACCGAGGCATAGAGTGCTTAAAGAACTTCCTCGAGGTTACTTGTAAAAGCTTCTTGTAAATGATTTGGTATCTGAATCCAGTTTATCTGATTTTAATTGTGAAAAATAATAGAGAGGGAGGGTTGACCTGGGTTTTCACCCACCCAGTGAGGTTCATAGGGACAAAGGAATCTATCCACTGAGCAGAAAATTGGATCAGATTACTTTTGAGATGCATTCTAGTTTTCAAAATTCCGTAATTCCATGAAAGGGCAACATTGTAAGATCCTTAGGTAACCAATAAACATTCACTTATATGCCCTACACGTCTCTTCCAGGGGGAAAAGAGTGAACTGTTTTAGATATATTTTCAATTTAGATATACTATGTCAATGCTTTTGTTCCAAGAGGATTCTAGAGTCATCATAAAACTCAGTCAGAACTTTCATTTCTCCAAGTTTCTGGTTAATCAAGTCTTTTCTCCATCCACTCAGGATTCATTCAGTCAAGAGCAACTAAATTCTTTCATATTCAAGTCACTGTGCTACATGGTCAGGGATATTTAAAGATAAAACAAAACAAGATAAAGACATGACATTCTCCATGCCCCGCAAAAGCCTATGAACTGCTAAAAGGGTCCTATAGAAGAGTCTTAGGCTTGAATTCAGAAGACCTTGGTTTGCCTGGACCTTAGGAAAGTCATTTTTTCTCTTTGAGTATGTTTCTTCATATTTGAGTTGGGATTGATAAGACTTAGCTCAAAAAGTTAGAAGAAAGATTAAGTAGCAAGAGTAAAACACATTGTAAATCAAAAAGTGTTATAAACACGTAATTCTTCACTGCTCTTCCTAATCTATGCACCACCTTCTCATACACTTTCTCTGTTATTAATCCCTCATTACAATGCTGTGGGATATGTAACAGGGATAATATTATCCCTATATGACAGTTGCCTCAGAAAGAAACCAAGATGCAGAAACATGAAGAACCTTGGCCAAGTTCACACCTGTTACATAGCAGAGTCAGCTTTTAGAGAAGATGCCAAAGCTGAAATCCTGGCTGTGCCATCTCCACAGAGTGAAGCAACAGAGAGGGAACCTGGTGATTAAGAACATGGTCTCTGCACTATTCGCAATAGTAAAGACATGGAATCAACCTAAAAGCCCATCAATGACAGATTGGATAAAGAAAATGTGGTGCATATACACTATGGAACACTATGCAGCCATAAGAAAGAATAACATCATGTCTTTTGCAGGAACATGGATGGAGCTGGAGGCTATTATTCTTAGGAAACTAACCCAGAGACAGAAAACCAAATACCACATGTTGTCACTTATAAATGGGAGCTAAATGATGAGAACTTATGAACACAAAGAAGGAAACAACAGACACTGAGGTCTACTTGTGGGTGGAGGGTGGGAGGAGAGAGAGGAGCAGAAAAGATAACTATTGGATACTAGGCTTAATACCTGGGTGATGAAATAATCTGTACAACAAACCCCTGTAACATGAGTTTACCTATATAACAAACCCTCACATGTACTCTTGAACCTAAAATAAAAGTTTAAAAATAAATAAAATAAATTTTAAAAAAAGAACCTGGGTCCTAGAGCCAGACTCCCTGACTGTGAATCCCAGATCCACCACTGCAACCCCTAGGACTCTAGGAAAGTGATTTACCCTCTCTGTGCCTTAGCTTCCTCATCTGTAAAATGGGGATGTGATAAGATCACAGGGCAATGAAGGTTAAGTGAGTCTCTGCAATCTTTTGCTCATGTATTGGAAGTTTTATTTTCAAATCTCTCCATTACAAATGACACCTTTTCTAAAGGACCGTCCTGTGCCAGGTTCAGAGGAGCTTTGAAGTTCGTTGTCCCTTTTTGCTTATCCTTCCTTCGGTTCATGGATGTCTGGTGGACACACCTTTAGCCATGGTCCAAAACCTCAGGAGGGAAAAGGACATTACAAGAAGCACATTGCTTCCTCAGCTGGGAAGCCAGAACCGCTGGCTGTGAGCTCACCCTCTGAGGGGAATTTCCACCTCTGAACAAGAAAGAGTAGACTCCACTGAGCACCAGAAGCAAAGTAGGAAAGAGAGACCAACCCCTCACTGTCCAAGCTCGACTCTTACCATGAAAACACTCCCTGGCTGTACGCAGACACCCATGGCCACACTGGTGTATACATTTACATTAGAGCGAAGCGGATGAATTGGCTCAATTCACTAACACTCTTGTTTTATTTGGAGCCATGAGCACTGGGCTGCCAAGTGAAATGGCTGTCTTAGAAAGCGCTTGTGTATTTTAAAGAAACATTTCATGCATTTTAACCAGAGATTTCCTCTGTGTGTTTATTTCCAATAGTGTGAGTGCCAAAGGGTGGTCAGTTTGCTGCATCTCATCTGTGGTTGTTGGGGTAAGATTAGGGGCCCGCCTGAGGACACTGAAAGATGGGAGACACGAGTAAATTGGAAGTCAGTGGGGTTCATCTATTCCTCATTGTTCAGTGGGGGGCAGGATGTTGGAAATTCTTCCGAAGTCAGGGTGCTTGCAGATGGTGTATTTTATGCAAGCCATCATTGTAATGCTTCCTGTTTGAATACTGCTTTGCAGATTAGAATTCCTTCATACACACTCTGCCAGTCACTAGGCAGCAGGAAGTCTGCTGGTCTTGTCTCTTTACATCCTGGGGTGTGTGTAGGGTGACCCTATGCTCGGATAGGGTGCACAGCCTGACAATGACAGGAGCCACGCCTTTATAAAACAGCTACCATGTCCCCAGCATGTAATCTTTGATGGGTGACTCAACCTCCCTCATATTCCTATGTAAGGGCTTGTGAGGATTAAATGAATTAATGTGTGTAAAGAACTTAGGACAGTACCTGACCCATGACAGTCACCTGACCCAATTGAAAATGTAATAAACATTAATGAAAATCACAGTGATGAAGTTAACGATGATGATAGCAATAGTGACAATGGTGATGTGAGGATGGCGAGGATGGTGAGGACACTTCGCTCTCCTCCTTTTTGGTAAAATAACAATAACAGACTCCAGTCACTTAAGGCCAGGAAGCCACCTGATGGGCGCTTTATAACATTGTATCTAATCTTTACAACTCCTATCTTATAGTTGGAAAAACTGAGGTTCAGAAAGGTTAATGAACTAGCCTGGGGTCACAGCACTAGTCAAAGGCAGAGGATTTGGATCTGTCCATCTTCAATCCATGCCTTTTCTTCATGTCACACTGTGCACATCTCCATGTCACCTTCCGGTCATTGGAGTCACCTGAATACTTCCTTTTAAAAGTTTACTTCTGGACCATTTATCCTTCATCTCTGCATTTTTGTTTCACATTTATCTTTACTTTTATGCCACCTACCAGCTTATATTCCCAGGCTTCCTGTTGAGTATATCCCTCATTTGCAAAGTGTCTTGTGAAATTCCAGAGTGTGTTCTGAGGTTCCAGGCTACTTCAATACCAGCTTGGAAATCCTGGGTTACTTGGACAATGTATTGATTGGAAGTGACAATGGCATAGGATCCATTTCAGCAGCCTGTAGAAATTGAGCTGCTGGCATGTGCCAGGCAGAGTCCCACATGCAGGGACAATGGCTCCATTCTCACAGGCCTTCATTCTAGAGCATGATACATGCAAATCCCAATACATACAAGAGAAATAATTATATCATCTCTATTTCACCAAAGCTGCATTCTTTATGGGGAAAACCGTACATTTTAAAGCGTTCATGGTTTTGGCCCAGTCTTGAATTCAAAATAGCAGAATCCAGACCCTGCTGGGAGAGACAAGAATAGGGAGGCCCAGGTTCAAGTCTTGGCTCTTCTTTTCTTATCTGTGACCTCAAGCAAGAATTTTCCCCTCTGATCTTCACATTATTCCTCTTCAATAAAGATAATACCTAATGTCTCCATAACAATGCCTTGCTTTTACCTAATACTTTTAGCCATCAAATATGTTTCACATCAGTATTTCATTTAATCAGGCCAAACCTGGCCACCCAGGTCATGTGAAGCATCGACTCCCTGGATCTCCCTAGAGTGCAGTAGCCAACAACCCACACACCCACCACTGAGTGGCCCCACCACCCCTTTGTGCAGATCAGGGCAGAGAATTCTAAGAGAAGAACCCTGACACCACCAGATATGCTGGCTGAGGATGTCTTTAAGTGTACGCACCTTAGAGTGCTGAATTCAATTCTCACCTCTTCACTTGCTAGCTGTGTGACCTTGGGAAAGTTGCTTGACTTGTCTGTACCTTGGTTTCCTTATTACTAAAGGGGAGTAATCATATTTGGGGTAGTTTTAAAGATTCAGTCAAATAATGTATATAAAGAATTTAGGACACCAAGGAATTAAAAATTGGTATCTTGAAAATAACTAATTCTTATCAAGTAGAGTGAAGAGGAAGAAGAAAGGGGGCTCAGGAGAAATAGGAAGTGTTCAACATACCTTGAACATTGACCCTATGAAAGGACATGGTAATGTATCCTTGCTTCAATCACCCACAAACAGATGGACACCTTCTAAATGTCTTGGGAGGGATACAAATTGACTAATTTTACAGGTGGATAAACAAGTAATCACTCAGAAATACTGATACTGACATCACACAAATAGCTAGTGAGTTTCTTGAAGAAGGGAGCTACATGGATCTTATTCACCACTGTATCTCCACCCCTTCCCTGGAAGGTGGCTGTTGCTGGGTATGTTTGTTGTTGCTTTGCCTGCTTCACCAGGCAGCATGTCCCTCCCAGAGGAACAGTGAGTAGGAGGTGATGCCAACAAGTGGGCATGGCAACAGAGAGCTATCAAAGTTATTAAAAACCCTACTCACCAGGCTACTCCTGTGTCCCTATGGCCTACCAAGGATATGAAATCCCACAGCCTCTTCCGTGGAGCTCTGAGCTTCAGCCTCACCTGCCTCCACACTAGGAAGAAAGTGTCACCACCATGCAGTTGTCCAAAAAGCATTCCTCTCATGCAAACGGCCTCCTCCCCGACCCACCAGCAGGAATGATGCCTAATGCACACCTCCAGGCTTCTACCTCCATCTCACTTTTTACTACCATCTCAACTACCATCCAATAACTCCCCTATGGTGACACTTCCTTAAACCTGGAATTCCTCCTTCTACCTTAAATCTCAGGGATTAAGACTCTGGTGGCTCCTGACTGATGCCACTTCTTGGCCTAATCTTGCTCCACTCTGGGGCATTGCTCTCCCCTCCTCACATGCCTCCCTTTTACTCATCTCACCCTCCAAGGCCCACCCTTCCTGAGGTGAGGGAGTCCTGAAGGATGGACCTCTAAGGTGGACGTTGCAAGACCCAAGCCAAGGTCACACAGTTACCGGGGCCCTTAGGCACAGCCACAGTAGACAACAGTAGAAGGCAGTGAGGACTCAGGGCACAAACAGGACAGAGTTAGAGTTCACAGGAAAAACAGAAGAGATTGGAGGTTTCATGGTGAAGGGGCCACATGAGCTCAGTCAATAGCCAGGAGGATTTTGACAGGTCCAACTGGGTATAGAAGGAGATGCCCCTCTGGGAAAACCTGAACCAATCATTACATCTGAAAAAGGACTGGGGTACATGGGACTAGCCTGATGGTGAGACAGAGACCCAGATGCACCGTAATGGAGAGTGACAGTTCCCTAAGACACCTGGAATCTTAAAAAACATGGGTTTCAAAGCCAAATAGGCATGGGTTTTACTCCTCCCTCTGCTCTTTTAAGCTACAGCACCTAGAGCAGGTCACTTAACCTCCCAAGCCTCGGTTTCCTTATCTCTAAAATGGGACTCTCATTATCCCAACAGGATTGATAAGGAGATTAAATGGCAAAATGTGCATAAATCCCTAAGTCCTGACTCTGGCCTATATTCTGAGTGCACAAATGATTCTCCACTGCCTTTGGGATCAGGTGCAAACCCCTTACCCTGTGACTGTAAACCTTTACACAAACACCATTAGAGTAATTTAATTTTATACTCAGAAATTTATTTTTTAAAATGATTTTCAGAATACACACTATAAGATATAAAGCTCAACAAAATCTTGCTGGTAGAAATATACATAAAAATTTACAGTCCTGTTCATAGCAGGGGTCAGAATTTGGCCGGCATAAAATTGTCGTGCTCCTCAGTAGAGGATAAGAGTGTATAAAGGAAAACCCTGGACTCAGGAGTTGCCTCAGGGTCCCTCTGACTGCAAGATTCAAAGTCTCACTGGAGCAAGGCCAAGAGGAGTGGAAGACAGAATCATATGCCTCTGAGCCTGAAAGGGATTGAAGAATGAGTATTGTCATAAGGATTTGTCTTCCACACACATTTTGCGTAAGTCTGGCTCTGGTCCCAGGCCACACTGCAACAGGAAGAGCCATTTAAAAGGGGTAACAGGTTTTAGAGGCTGAATTGCTTCTGTCAGCCTTGTCATAAAAGGGGCTAAGAAAATGCTGGAATTCAAATGACCATCCATATTCTAGAACATTCCAGAATCTTCCCAGGAGTTCTCAAGCCACTAGCCAAGCTGAAACATGCCAACAAATATTTAATGGGAAAAAAACTGTTGCCATCTTTTGCTTTCAGAATATCTGCCACACATTTCAGGACCTGTCTTCCACCTTGCCCTCTATCTCCCCTCCCACTGGAGCCAAGTGCTCACGGGATTCTGGCAGCTTCCTCTTCCCTCACACCAAGTTCTAGCCTTCTCAAGAACCAAGCACCTGCCACCACTGCTTCCACTGGCTGGACTTCCAGGGGCACCCTGCTCTTGGTTGGGATATGATGAAAACTACAGTGATTGAGAAGCAGCCAGGCCTTGGCCTCCTTTCCTCTGCCCAGAACATACATCTCCTGTCACATCTGCCCACCTGATTGACCACAAGCCCCTTTCTGCAAGGGCAGGCTAAGGTCAGAGCCAAGACAGCTGCAGGAAGAAGCTGTATGGCTTGGGGATCACCACCTGGGCTGCCAGTGCACTTCGGTCCTGCTGATGCCTGGACCCTGGTCGGGCATCTGAGATGCAGGCACTGGAGCTCAGCTGGCAACCCGGCCTCTGATGGAATTAAGCCCCAGTGAAATCTGAGCTCCCTGCTTCTTGGGCTGTGTTGACTCTGTGTGCACCTGTCCTATTCACATCTGTGCCTTCAAAGAAGCATGTAGGATCAGGGAAGAGGTGCCTCAGGCCAGTCTGGGGAGGTGCCCAGGAAACTGTGCCAGGTGCATACAAGACACCATGCTCACAAGGCCAAGGGTGGGAATATTGGGTGGCCCAGGTAGGTCATAGCCTTGAGCCATGGACACGCCCTCCTCCCATCCCTAACCTGCGCCAGCCGTCTTAATAATGCCTGTGTGTAGACAGCAAGGAGGCTAAGTAAGAATATGGACAGTTCAGGGAAACTTGTCCCCGAAACTACAGAAAGAATCTAACCCAGCTTTGAAGAGGTAGAAACGGACGTCATCTCCTCTCATTAACTTCATTGTGATGGATTTCAGATACCTTCTCTGTCCACTCAAGGAGTAGCTAAGATAGTAAATGATTCCTGAGGGCAGATAAACTGTTTCAGCAAGAGCACTGATCCCAGACCCGAAGACAACACAGGGATTTCCCTGAGTACAAGCCTCTCCTCCCAGAGCTCCTGCTCCAGCCTCCCACTTTGGCCCTGTGGCACCCAAGATGGCAGCCCTGCAGCAGCTTCTATGCCAAGACTGATTTGGCAGAAAAGCCCCTGCCTCTGGACTGGCCCAGGCCCAGACTTATATTAATAACTGTTACATCATCACATTGACTGGCTGGGGGAAAGTGAATGCTCTTAGGATTGGTTGGCTAAGGTTCTGAGTCTTGCATGGTCTAGATGAAGAAAGAGCTTTCTTTTTCAAATCCGGTTGAATTATGGTTTTATACAGTTTCAGCTACAACTCCTTTTTTTTTTTGAGACAGATTCTCACTCTGTCACCCTGGCTGGAGTGCAGTGGTGTGATCTGGGCTCACTGCAACCTCCATCTCCCGGGTTCAAGCAATTCTTCTGCCTCAGCCTCCTGAATAACTGGGATTACAGGCGCATGCTGCCATGCCTGGCTAATTTTTTTGTATTTTTAGTAGAGACGGGGTTTCACCATGTTGGCCAGACTGGTCTCCAACTCCTGACCTCAGGCAATCTGCCTGCCTCCGCCTCCCAAAGTGCTGGGATTACAGCGTGAGCCACCACGCCTGGCCTACAACTCTTTTCCTAATACTTACAATGCAACAGGACTAAGATCCATGTTGACTATAACCAGGAACAGCGCAGAAGGCAGTGTGGTGACCCCCACCTCCATGGTGCCTACTTAAAGGACTCTAATGGCCCCTTAAAAAACTCTCTCCTGAAGACTTGTCACAATCCAAGGAATTACCATCTTTGGAGTTTCATTCCTTTGGGTTAAGATAGTGTCCTCTGTCAAAATATTAAAATTTCTGGGAGGGATAGCACATTGAGTATCAGTCTCCAGCATCCAAGAATTCATTTATCACACTTTCATCACCCTCACCCCGATCATCGCTGGCTGTCTGGCACTGCTCTCCCCTCCTTCCCATTCATCTTGTCCTCTTCTGACAGCAATTGCTTTTTAAAACAGCCCATATCAGTCCCTGTCGCTTCCCTTTCTAAAATGCTTTGCTAACTCCCCTTCATTTACAAATACAACTCCAACTCCTTAGGGTCCTTAGAATTGAGGGCCTCTTGTGGTTTGGCCCCTGCAGGGAGCTCATGGCCCTTCAGTTGGCACACCCCACCCATAGCGCCTTATGCTGCACACCGGGCTCCCCAGCATTCTTCTCAATATCCAGGCCCTTTCACTCCTGTCTTCTCCCATGCACTTCCATTGGCCTTCCTCCACTTCTCCTCCTGAAGAACTCCACCCCACCCTTCAAGAGCCTGATATTTTTTCTGGATTGTGCTGCGTTTCCACAGCCCACCTCACTCTGGGCACTCTGTCCTGCCAGTCTCTTCATCCCAAAGTTCTGGAGACCGCATTTGTGACATGGTCCCATGTTATAGGAATATAATGGGTATTATACTCCTTTATGTGTGTCTGTGAGTGCATAAAATGGATATAATAATATTTCTTTCCCCTTTTCAACTGGGAGCTCTTCCTGGGCAAGAACTACATCTTATTCATTGTCCCAGCACCTGCTACATAGCCAGCCTTCCACAAACATGTGTTTTCTTCCACTCCGACCGTCAGCTGGGAGATTTTTATATGAGAAAAGGGAGCAATGTGGGGTGAGGGCAAGGAGTGGAGTAGGATAAAAGCAGTCAGTACATTATACATTGGCCTAAAGACCCAGGCAGCTACGTGAAGCCTGGATGAAGGAGAGGAATCCTAAAAGGCCAGGACCCAGAACAAATATCACCAACCTAGTCATGTTCTCCAGGGCCAACCAAAGCTTAACAAACAGTGGTAGTAGCTACTTAGAGCTTTTTTTTCTTCTTTTTTTTTTTTTTTTTTGAGACGGAGTCTTGCCCTATTGCCCAAGCTGGAGTACAGTGGTGTGATCTCAGCTCACTGCAACCTCTGCCTCCCAGGTTCAAACGATTCTCCTGCCTCAGCCTCCCGAGTAGCTGGGATTACAGGCACCCGCCACCACACCCAGATAATTTTTGTATTTTTAGTAACGATGGGTTTTCACCATGTTGGGCAGGCTGGTCTCAAACTCTTGACCTCGTGATTCGCCCGCCTTGGCCTCCCAAAGTGCTGGGATTACAGGCATGAGCCACCGTGCCCAGCCTACTCATAGCTTTTTAAAACCTCTCTGCTAAATTTTACATTACTTCTTTGATTCCCAAGTTACTTAGTAGTATGTTCACATTTCCAAATGTGTGTGTTATCCTTTTGTCGTTAGTTGCTAACTTAATTGCATTGTAGTCAGAAAACATTGTCTATGTGTTCCTGATTTCTTTATTGCCTAAAATGTGGCCAGTTTTTATAAACATTTACACTGGGGAGAATATGCAAGCCCCAAGTGTAGGGAGCAGGACTCCCTATAGGTTCACCAAATGGATCTTGTTCATTGAGTTGTTCAAAGGCTCTTCAGCTGTACTAACTTGTGGTCTGATGGATCTAAAATAGATGTGTTCAACATTTCCCACATTGATGGTGGGATTCACGGTCACTCCTTTTAGTTCATTCCACCTTTGCAAACTTATCTGTTCTCACTTGCCTCAAAGAGGTGTCAGCTCCAAGGAGGAGAGGGTTCGCAAACCACAAAGCTTCATGTGCAGGGTATCACTGGTGAAACTTTTTGCGGCACCTATTATCATCTTGAGAAGAATAAAAGCCTTTTCAATAGCTCTGTAGGTCTTCCTCTCTCACCTTCATTATCATCACTCCCCATCATGGAACACATACTATATACACAGGCTCTTCTCACTTGATTCCCGGTTTTCTTTGGAGATGCCATTAGTCACAGAGGGAAGAGCCTTGCTCAGATTCCTCATTAATAGAACTGCAAAACCTGGAGCAGAGCCCAGGTTGGCCTGCCTCCAAAAGCTATGCTTTTATGATGTTTTTTTCATTGCTTAAGTTGTTTTTCTAATAAGGAAATATTTCATATACATATGTAATAATATACATAACACTATATAGAAGGTATAAAGAATAACAAAACAAAACCCATGCCCCCACCACAAAGCCTAACACATAGCCACTATAATTGCTTTTAAATCCTGTGTGCCCTCCCAGTTCTCATTCCCTTCACCTCTTCTCCAGAGTAAACACTTTCCTGAATTTTATGGGATTTTTATCACCTTGCTTTTTTCTCAATAATCTTACTATCTATGTACATATACACATATACACATATGTGTGATAATATATTTTTAAGTTTTATATGATTCTGAATCTCATAGAAATGAGTTCACATTACATATACTCTTCTGCAACTTGGGAGTTTCATCTGTGTTGATGGGCTGGAATTCATTCCTTTTTACTGCTGTATAGTATTCTACTATATGAATGTACCACTATTTATTCAGTGTTTTTTTTTTTTTTTTTTTTTTTTTTTTTACCATTGATGGACATTTAGTTTGTTCCCACTTTTTGCTACAATGATGGTGCTATAAGCATTCTGATCCCTTGGTGCACACATGCAAGAGTTGCTCAAGGGTATAAATACCAAGAGTGTCCCTTAGTCAGCTTGGGCTGCCATAACTGAATACAGACTGGGTGGCTTAAACAACACAAATTTATTTTCTAACAGTCCTGGGGGCTAGAAGTCTAAAATCAAGGTGTGGGCATAGCTGCTTCCTGGTGAGGGCCCTCGTCCTGGCTGATAGGCAGCCTCCTTGTCTACCTATCCTCATATGATGGAAAGAGAAACAGCAAGCTCCCTGGTGTCTCTCTTTTTTTTTTTTTTTTTTTATTGAGATGGAGTCTTGCTCTGTCGCCCAGGCTGCAGTGCAGTGGCACGATCTAGACTCACTGCAACCTCTGCCACTTGGGTTCAAGTGATTCTCGTGCCTCAGCCTCCTGAGTAGCTGGGATTACAGGCATGTGCCACCACACCCAGCTAATTTTTTGTATTTTTAGTAGAGACGGGGTTTTACCATGTTGGCCAGGATGGTCTTGATTTCCTGACCCCATGATCTGCCCACCTCAGCTTCCCAAAGTGCTGGGATTACAGGCATCAGCCACCATGCCTGGCCTTTGGTGTCTCTTTTATAAGGGCACTAATCCCATAATGAAGGCCCCACCCTTATGACCTAATCTAAACCTAATTATCTCCCAAAGGTCCCATGTCCAAATACCATCAATGGTGGAGAGATGACGAGGGGCTTCAACATATGAATATTGTGGGAGACACCATTCAGCCCACAGCAAAGTGGAGCTGCTGGGTCATTGTGCATACATCTCTTCGGCTTTACTAGATATTGCCAAACTGTTATCTAAAGAAGTCAATTCAAAAGCCACGCTCAAGACCTACTTCTTCCTAACTCAGCCACTCACCTCCTTCAGTATGCCTGCCAGGAGCATCCTTGAGCCAGATTCGACATTTTTTCTCCCTAAGAGCTTAGGAATTTTTCATGTGTCATGACCTGTTTCTCTCCCCTGCTCCCTCTCTAACTGGTTTTCTCTTCCCTCACCTTGAATGTCTCTTCTCCTGTCTCCCCAGCAATAACACTGGCTAAAACACACCCACACTCCACCTGTGCTCCCTTCTGGAGAGAAGCCACACCCTCAGGAATGTGGAGTGCTTCCAGGGCAGAGCATAAAGTAGCATTTGTCTCTCAAAGACACCAAAAGAAATGGTGTCTAAACCTTCTTATAGTTAGCCACCAGGAATGAGCCAGGCATTTATTAAATCAGTGGGCGCTGAGACTTATAGAGGTGGAGGAAGTCCAGGAATCATTATCTAGTCCAGCCCCCATCCCAGGAGGAAACAAAGGCCCAGAGGAAAGTGCTTTGCCCAGCGTCACCAGGCCAGTGAGGTGAAGCTGTCCTGGAACCCTAGCTCTGTGTTGCTAAGCAGAAGTTGCCACCCAGGCAGCTTGCAGGAACAGAGGTAATAAAATTATGCTATTTCTGGGCTTTGCATGCAAACAGCTAGTGTACAACATAGTCTAAAATTGTTAAAAAAAAAGATTTGCCTGTTCAGGGAATTTATTATTGAGGGCTAATTTTAGGCTCAGCCAAATTAAGGAATGATCAATATTTTATCACAAAGGGTTTGTTTATAGCAAGTGACAATTAATGTCTTGTTAACCACTTTTCCTTCATGCATACAGTAAGTGTTTATTGAGCAGCTGCTACGTGCCATATTCTAAGCATCGATAACATATCAGAGATAAAAATCAGGTGAAAATTCCTGTCTTTCTAAAACTTACTTTCTTGATTATTATTATTTTTTTTTTTTTGACAAGTTCTTACTCTGTCACCCAGGCTGGAGTGCAGTGGCGCGATCTCAGCTCACTGCAACCTCCACCTCCCTGGTTTAAAGGACTCTCGTGCCTCAGCTTCCGGAGTAACTGGGACTACAGGCGTGCGCCACCACACCCAGCTAATTTTTGTATTTTTAGTGGAGAGAAAGTTTCACCATGTTGGCCAGGCTGGTCTCGATCTCCTGACCTCAAAGTGATCCACTTGCTTCAGCCTCCCAAAGTGCTGGGATTATAGGCATGAGCTGCCACACCCGGCCTCTAGAGCTTACTTTCTAATGGGTGATGACAGACAATAAACAAGCCAACAAACATAGAAATATGTGTGTGCGTGTCTGTTTGTGTGTCAGGTGCCAGGAAGCACTATGAAGAGGAAGAAGTAGGGTAAGAGAGGGTGGAAATGCCAGCCAGCAGAGGGTGCTGTCATAGCTAAGGGCACTGCGGAAGGCCCCTGGACTGCCCTATTAGAGCTTTGAACAGAGGGAGAGGAAGGATGCCACATGGGAAACGCACCCCAGGTTGAGGAAACTGCAAGAATAGAGGCCTGAAACGAGAGCCCTCTTGGTGTGTGCAGGGAAAGAGCATGGAGATCGTTTGCCCCAAGCAGGGTAAACAAGAGGGGGCCTAGAAAGAGGCGAAGTCAGAGAGGTAATGGGGGCTGGATCACATAGGGCCTTGGAGGCTGTGATCAAACCTTTGGAACTAACTTAAGTGGGATGAGAAATTCTATCAGTTTCCTAATGCTGCTGTAACAAAGCTATAAACACACATGCTTAGTGGCTGAAAACAACACAAATTTAATATCTTACAGTTCTGGAGGGGAAACGTCTAACACGGGTCTTACTGTGTTAAAATCAGGGTGTCGGCAGGGTTGTGTCCCTTGCTGGAGCCTCTCGAGAAACCCTTTCCCTGCCTTTTCCAGCTCCCAGAGGCTGACTGCATCCTTTGGACCTTGGTTCCCTTTCTCCATTTTCAAGGCCAGCAATGAAGGGTCAAGACCACCTCACTTCACAACTCTTTAATTATTCTTCCACCCCCACAACCCAACTTCTCTGACCTCAGCCTGGAAAGGGTCTCTGCTCCCAGGGACTCATGTCCCCAAGACATGTCACCCTAGGTTGTGTTGGACCCACCCAAGATACTTTTTCCATCTCAAGATCTATACCGTTCATCACATCTGCAAAAGTCCCTTTTGCCATGTGAGATAACACATTCACAGGCTCTGGGCATGAGGCTGTGGACATCTTTGCGAGCCTTTAATCTGCTGACCACCATCTACACTGCAGGGTTCTGGGTAGACAGAGGAGTGATGTGACATGACCTGCTTTCCAAACAGCTGCAGGGCTGGGAATGGGCCACAGGAGGCAAAGGTGGAGGCAGAGACAACAGTGAAGCGGCTACAGCAGTTACTCAGATGAGAGGGGAGGGTGGCGTGGATAAGAGCAGTGGGACTGTGAGGAGCAGTCTTATGATGGGTATATTTTAAAGGGAAAATCATTAGGATTTCCTGACAGATTGGACATGGAGGGTGGCAGGAGGAGAAGAGTTAGGCTAATTCCATGGATTTTGTTCAGCGCATGGGAGAATGGAATTACTGTTCATGGGGAAGGCTCCCCACAGAGGTGGGAACACATGACCTCATATAATGATTCCACTATCCAAAGTTCAGCTATGCATCCACTCTGGCCTCCCAGCCTTCAGGATCTTATATTTTAATCAGGGAAAAAAGACATACAAGATAACAGAATTGATTATTTACTGAAACATCAGGACTTATTCCTACAAATGAACACTATCTCCAAAGCTCTCATCTTGGGAATCCATACACACTTATTCCAAGGCTGCCGCCAAAAGATTTTTGGAATCTCTTTCTAGGAATCTAGTTGATTTATAGACCATAAAAGAAAATCGGCCTTGTCATTTCTCCCTCCAAAGGTAAGTTTATAAAAGCATTGACTTTATTCACTGGACCTCAACTTCCAAAAATTGAAGCCATTTCCCCCAGGATGACCATCTGCTACCACAGAGGATATTCACATGTCCAGCTGTGCTGGTGTCATTAGAAGTCAGCTACAATTTCCAGGCAGGACAAATTTCCATCCACACACCAGCACCCCTTCACTGGAAGTGAGAACTACCGTCCTCCTGGAGCTCCAGTTTTTATGCTGTTAACATTGGGCAGGAGGTGAAGGGGGCGCAGATCTTCTTAACAGCCCAGCACTCATTTGGATGTAGATTCTGGCATAATATGGTTTTTAAATTGTGTTATTCTGCAATGGTGGATCATCCACATATCTTTAAAGAGACATTTGAGCTAATCTCAATACCAGGTATATTTATGTTCTCTTAAGCTACTAATTTGTTCTGATGTTATCGTCCCAGTAAATATGTAACTAATTGTATTTCTTGCTTGATTCTAGAGGCTAGAAAATCCTCCAGACTGAGATTGCTCCATTGTAAAATGTGGGTGACAACAGTATCTTCTTCATATGGTAGTTTTGAAGAGGAAGTCACATATGTCACAGAAAGCACTTAACATAATACCCAAGAAACTCTTGAGGTATCCTGGACATGATTGTTATTCTGCATCCTCATGTGTGATCACAGTTACTAGATCCACAGCCCACCTTTTGTTTTTCCTTAGAAGAACCTACTTTTTAGCTCCAACTGATTTTGTTGCTTTCTTCTCATTCTTGCCCGGTTTTCCTAAAGTTCCCTTTGAGTAACTTGACTGCCCAGTTGGGTGGGTGAGCAAGGTCTTCTTTTCCTCCATTCCCATCTCTCCTCTACCTCCCAGGACCATACCAGAGGCAGGCAACAGTCCTGGCCAAACCAGCCTCCTCTGCTTCCTTCATGACTGACAGACAGCTGGACTTCACCTGCATAGAACGACACAGGAAATTTATAGGCTCAAGGTGGGACATGGTCTTTGCTGCTATGTGGGTACTAAGGAGGAGAGGCAGGGTCTATCCATGTAAAATTTTGAATGTCCATCCCTTTCTATGGAAACCAACCCCCAAGTTTTCTATCAACCTGAAAAAGAAACACATGCTAATGCCAAGGGACTTTTCTTCTCCCACAGAGAATTTTAGGAACAAAAACAGAGGGCTCCTCGAGTCTATAGCTCATGCTTAAAATCTGATTCACCAGTGGCTCAATTGTTTGGAATTTTAGTCCAATGGAGGAGATAGTTTTGACCAGAAGGCCCTTTAGAAGCACTCTCCCACCCACTGAATTACAGTCACTCATTTTCTCTGGTTGAATAGGTTAGAGTGGGCCCCGGGGCAGCTTGAGGCTCTTCTCCACCCCTTCTTTCCCTTTCTTCCCCACTCTCCCCAACCCCACTCCACCCTTAAAGAGGAATCATATACCCCAGGTGATCAGATCATCGCCCAAATTAGATAACAAAATAGATTTAAAAGTGCCTCACCTCACTCTATGCCTGGCACATCATGGGTACTTTATGAATGTCAGTTTAATTGTGTTTCCCATCTCCCACATTTGTCCACCAAAACTATACAGTTCAGACCCCAACAGACCATATGCCAACACTCCAGTAATGAAGCTCCCCATCCTACGGAGCCTTCCCAGCCCGTCTATTCCATCTCAGTACAGCTGCTGATGGACCAGCCATGCCTGTCTTTCTTCCTGAGGCTCCGGACTTTGTAGAAACTTCCAACCGCTTGATTTGACAAATGACTTTCTGAGTGGAGGGAGGTTTTACATTTAATACATATCATAAGGGACATCAGAGCTATGCTCAGGAGATCAAATACTTTCTTCAACTAAGAATGTAAGCATTATCCCTATTAATATCTTTCCAACAAAAGCCCTGTGCTCCCCACCCCTGTTCCTCTATGATCTCCGTTTATTAATGTCGCAGGCCCCTCCCCTGTCAAGCTGTCCTCACCACAGACTCTCATTCCAGCCTGATGTCTACCCTCTGTAGAACACACTTCCTTGGCAAGCATTTAATGCAAGAAAAAAAAATCCTCCATCATCATAAATTGTAAAATCAAACAACTGAACACCGTCCCCTGGGAAATAAATTCTGAAGAGTTAAGAAGGGAAAAGAGAGGGCTATGATTATTTTAATCCTATTCCAGATGCCCAGGTACTCTCCCCAAACAAAACCCAAATTAAACATGAGCCTTATTCAAAGGGAAAATGACAACACAAGTGCAGAAAACAACATTTGGCAAATAGTAGATGCTCAATTAATGTTTATTTAAAAATAAGTAAGTGCATAGGTACAAAGCAACGCTGTGCACCATGTTCGACCAAGCCCCAGCCTGACCAAACAAAGTAAGTTATTGAAACCAGAGTCCCCACACTGAGAGCATGCTCTGCTGTTCAAAAGCGCCTTCATGCTCATTAGTTGCTATGACTAATGCAGCATATCGAAGCTTGCACCTGGCCTCGAAGGGATGTACCTCTCGGAGGTCCCTCAAAGAATGGAATAATACAGACACCCACAAACACTGAGAAAATCCTGTTCTCACAAGATTTTTGAACCATCTAAAGACTTTAAGACCTCTATCCTTACTACAAACATTGCTGAGATTAGGAGCACACTGATTCATGATCAAAACTGGAGTGAATAAAGACCTCTTTTTTACCACCACCAACAACAAAAAGTGTCAGAAGGGTACTGACATTATAAGGTGGATACTTCAGATGTAGAGGTCAAAAGGGCAAAAATGTACCAGCCAGAAAATTTCTTTTACTTAGTCAATCGAACCCTGTAGTCAATGACAAAGTCATGTATCTCTCTGGGCCTCAGTTTATACATCTGTAAAGTAGGAACAAGGAGGTTGGCTCCACCTACGTACAAGGGTTCTTGAGAAAATAAAATTAGATTGTGTGAAAAAGATCTTTGAAAAATCAAAACCTATACACATAAACCAGCCACAATAAGTAAAGGACAGAAGATGTGAAAACCAAGGAGAGATCATTCTTGGTTTTGAGTTAAAGGAGGTGTCCTTTCCCAAGACGGTACCAGGTAATAGGAGCAACAGCGATGAGGTCATCACAGGTCATGTCCTGTCATCAGAGGCAGCGTATCACAGGGTCAGGGCATACTGCCTAGGGTCAGAGCCTCCACCGTCCTGGGTGTGAATACCAGAGCTGCCATCTGCAAGCTAAATAATCTCATGCTGGTCTTTGGCCTCCCAGGTCCTTTGCTTACTTGCCTGTAAGGTGGACTAATATCTTCTCCCTCCTAGAAAACTACTGTATGAATCCAATGAGGTAACTGAGGCCAGAGCATGCAGAAGTGCTGCACAGATGTCAGCTCGGCCTGAAAGCACATCCTTCAAAGAGAACATTCCACTCTCACAGACCCTCTGAGCGGGAGAAGGAGCTTCCTTGCAGCTTCCTGTGTGAAGTTTTCTCAGGTTCTGCTTCATTGCTCTGGGTTTCCTCCCACCACCCTCTCTGTGGCACCTCCACAGCCTCGGAGGGTCGCATGCTGGGAGGCAAATGGCCCTTTGCCTCATGCCCTGTCCCCCACTGTTGGAGGTGGTGCCCAGAGGGAAAGAAGAACAGCCTGGTATGGTGGCTGGCAGCTGGTGGCTGCCTGATCCGGATGCCATCTCTGGCCCAGATGGCTCTAACATTTTCCAGTAGCCCCCAAGCAGTGCCCTAAGCAAAAGCGTGAATCAGGTGAGATTCTCCTGCATGGTTTTCCCATCTACATTTCAGTGTCCTCCCCTCAACAAGGCCCAGATTCCCCCAAAAGTGCTGTACTAACTTGTTCACTCCTGACCACATCCTCCCATCAAATCCTCCTTGGACTCATAACTCTAAGACCCAGAAGGAAGGTAGAGATCATCTCATCTGGATCCTAACCTGGGTCCCTGAGCCCCCTAAATGTCCTAGCAGGCCATAACGGGAGTCCTAGAGGTATTCTTCGTATTTTTAAAGCCATTCATAAGCATATGAGTGTGCTACACATGAGACCAGACAGGCTAATTATGCCTCAGGTGCTTTGCTTTTGGATGGAATTATATCCACTCACTGTGTTCATTCTAGTTAGCTGGTGTTAAAGATTCTGATTACAAGTTTGTCATTTTAAATGTCAACAATTCCTCTTTCAGTAAATGTTGCTTGTGTCATAGACAGGCTTTTTTGTCTAAAAAAGAATCAATAGAGGAAAAATAATAAAAGGGCTCCTTTGAGGCAAAGAGGTGGAGAACCAAATCACCTCCCCATTTTACAGATGAAGACATGGAGTCCCAAGTGTTTCCCAAATTCATGCGGCTACTCTGGGGCAGAAGCAAGAGTTTAGCCTTGGTGTTTTTCCTCCTGCTCCAGCACTGCTTGTACAAGCTGTTCTGCCACATCCCAGGTTCTGTCCTCTGCTCGCAGCCCTGCCAATTATCAAGCAGCACCTAATAAGAAAACTACTGTCTCATTGGCCAAGTGATGTATATATGTCAACAAGTCTTTCCTAGAACTGTCCTGTCCATCAAGTAGCCACTAGACACATGTAACTATTTAAATTTAAATTAATTACAATTAAATACAATTCAAAATTCAGTTCCTCAGTCACCCTAGCCACATTTCAAGGACTCAGAAGTCACATGTGGCTGGTGGCTACATATTAGACAGTGCAGACATGGCTCATTTCCACCATTGTGGAAATTTCTACTGGGCAGACTGCTGTAGATGCACTTGACTCTAATAGGGAAGGCCCCAGCCCTGTGACTGGGGAAGACATGAAGGTGCTTCTCATGGTATCAGGCTCCCTGCCTGGACTTATGGTCTATGGATCACCAATGACCTGGGGCCAGACCATTTCTGACCCCATTCCCTGGGGTCAGTTGCAACTGCAGTAAGTCCACCCAGGTCAGAGAAGGAGATCTTGCAAGAGAAACAATCAGAAGGATCACCTTCTCCTTAGACAAGCCCTGTGGTTTCCATGACCAGAAACCACGTTCAAGGTTCAATCACTCTGAATATACATGTCACTCTGTCACATGAGAAAGAGCACTAAAGGGGAGTCGGGAGAGGTGGGGTTCCAGCATAAGTGTTGCCTTTTACCAGCTGTGTGCCTCCAGCAAGGCCCCCCTCTCTGGCCCTCAATCCCACACTAGGTAAACAACCCAATCTTCTGGAGTCCTAAAATTCCACACTGACCCCATCATCATTTCATTCCTCTCTCTCTGGTGTCTTATCTTTCTTGGATGTGTGTGCATTTACAGAATGTTTCATCTTAATCAAGGAAATAATAGAGAAGGGAGGGGAAATTGCCTTGGCGACTCCAAAGTGTGTGTTAACATAGAGAAAGAGCTCTGAAAACCTTCTAGGGCAGCAGAGGCTGTAAGGGTGCTGTTTTCCATGCAAGAATCCAGTAGAGGGGGATGTTGCATAGAGGCGAATTCCTAACAGCCTTTGCCTTCAGCTTGTCATTGTTAGTGCCCAAGCTCAGAGGGGAGGAAATGTCTTTTTCGTCCTTGCGGGACCTCACATCTACTCTCTGTGTACCAGGACTCAATAAGTCTCTAAAAGCCTCTGGATGGACACAGGAAAGCCGCTGGTGTTCTTTCTGTGCATTTAACCCTAATGAATTTTCCCTTCCCATTTCCAAATTACAAAATCAAAGCTATTTTCTCAGGTGCCATATTTAGCAGCTGTCAGAAGTTGGAATCTGGCAAGATCAACAACTTTTGAATAGCTCAAAATTCGCTAAAGTCCCAGATGGGTTTTCCCCTTCTCTGCCCTCCCGCTCCCTTCTCAGAGCCAGCTTTCAGAGTCCACCTCGGGCGCCTGAGACCCAAGCAGTGTGCCTCTTTCAGTAAAGCATGGTTTTAAGGAAATAAAAACACATTTCCCTTTCACATGCCTCATTGCCTTATTTTCCCTCTCATTTTGACAAAATGGGGCTCTGCAGTCCTCCTCCTCAGATGAAGGCTGATTAGCAGCCACGGTCACTAATCTCTCACCATCTTCTTCTAAAAATGAGACTCACCCAGCCTCAGCACAACAACTAAGAGCAAAAGGTTCATCGGAATTTCCAACTCCTGTGATTTCTCCCTTTGGTTCTTCAGAGATAACGGTGAGAGTGAAAGATGTAGAGATGAGAGTAAGACACGCAGAGAAGCCCTGGCTATGAGCGCCCATAGTGGGCGTGGGGCAGCAGCCCTTGAAACTTCACAGTGAGATTCCACAGAAGGGATCTTTCCCTTGTAAATGTCCCACTTACGGCTTAAAGTTCAAGAAGGTAGGCCTGGATCCAGCCTCACCAGCCTGACCCTATGCCAGGCTTTCTGCAGCACTGGGAGGGAAGGGTGGAGAATGCTGAAGACAGAGATCTCCGGCAGTCACACCTTTCATGGAAAACAGAGACACCTGTCTTGATAGGTGAAGCTGTGGATGGTGGCTCAGCTGCTGTCTCAAAGAAAATGTCTGTGATAGGTGGAGGGAGATTTTGTTCCCCAAGGTTGGTTCTCCAAGCTGAATAGACAAAGGTGCAAGAAACAGGGAAATTCTCAAGCAAAATAAGTTGTATTTGCCGGAAAGTCTATCTGAGTGAGAATTCTCAAAATATTTTCTAAAGCTCCGAACTGTTTGGAGAACGTAGCCACAGTATATACAGAAATAAATGCCCCATTTTCATTAGAAGAGCCTGTGTGTATAAAGGGACGCATCCAGGCTTTGGGGCCAGACATTGGTTCAAATCCCAACCCTGTCACCTTCTACTCAGATAACCTCAGACAAGTCACCTAGAACCACTGAACCTCCGTTTTCTCATCTCTAAAATGTAATGGCACCTACTTTTACAGACTTATTGCAAGGAATAAATAAGATAATCTATGTAAAAGCACTCAGGGACCAGGTGAGGTGGCTCACCCCTATAATCCCAGCACTTTGGGTGGCCAAGGTGGGCAGATTACCTGAGGTCAGGAGTTCAAGACCAGCCTGGCTAACATTATGAAACCCCGTCTTTACTAAAAATACAAAAATTAGCCGGGCATGATGGCGGGTGCCTGTGATCCCAGCTACTCGGGAGGCTGAGGTGGAAGAATCACTTGAACCTGGGAGGCGGAGGTTGCAGTGAGCCGAGATCGCGCCACTGCACTCCAGCCTGGGTGACAGAACGAGACTCCATCTCAGAAAAAAAAGCAAGCACTCAGCACCATGCCTGGCATATAGTCAGCACTCGCCAGATGTTAACTGCTATCATTACATTGCTAATAAAATAATACCACAACATTCTTCTGAGTGTAGAGGTACAGACATACAAGAAAATCCTCTCTTTCTACAAGAAATTTCCTCAGGATTATAATTCTGATGCCTGTATGACTTAAGACTAACCCACAAGAAAATGTCATGGGGGACTGTGATACATACTTCCTAAAATTTGTTTCCTGTTCTACCCAACAGCCCTTGTGTTTTTGGAGTTCTAAAACTGAAGCCATGTGGTCAGTATAAATGGCAGAGTATTAATCAACTGAAAATAAATATTTCTGAGATCCAAGGGCAATAAAACCCTGTGGAAGCACCCACCCCCTACCCATTACTCAAATTCAGACACAAAGAGACTGCGTCTGTCTTCATCCTCACCATGATGACCCTTCATTTCAAGCAATGGAATATTTACAGCATCATAGTGGAGCTTGGGGTACAAGTGGGGCATGGTGCTGATAGCCCTGTGTTCGGTGGGACACTGCCCTGGTGGTGGCAACTGGTGCATGCTTCAGTTCTCCTCCTTGATCCTCAGCCACGCTCAAGTCGGTGTTTGCTGCGCAACTCAGCGTCGCTGCTGCCCCTGCTAATGAGAATTACATTGTCATGTAATAAGTACCTTCCTTGAGTCCATGAAAATAAAAAAAAAGTCTTAAAAAGAAAGGAAGAGCATCATTTCCACGTTTGAGGACCTCAAGATTGGTTAGAAATTAACTATGACACCTGCCCCAAGTGGTCAAGATGTTGTCCAATAATAAGTTGTCACCAGGCTGGGTGCAGTGGCTCACGCCTGTAATCCTGGGATTTCGTGAGGCTGAGGTGGGTGGATTGTCTGAGCTCAGGAGTTGAGACCAGCCTGGGCAACACGGCAAAACCCCGTCTCTATCAAAATACAAAAAATTAGCCGGGTGTGGCAGCATGTGCCCGTAGTCCCAGCTACTTAGGAAGCCGAGGCAGGAAAACTGCTAGAACCCGGTAGGCAGAGGTTGCAGTGAGCCGAGATCGCACCACTGCACTCCAGCCTAGGTGACACAATGAGACTCTGTCTCTAAAAATAAAAATAAAAATAAAAAAGTTGTCACCAATAATTGAAAAGTGGGCTAGTTTATTCATTCATTTCTAATCAAGCAGATGCCACAGTGTTATTTGATACTAACATCTGATCTTTGATACTAATATCTGACCTCTCACTTCAAAAATTGGGAAATATTTCTTCACATGGTTCCTCTGACACCGTGAGCCAATGGCCTCTTGCTGGGCACTCATGAGGTATAGAGCCTAACATTATTAGCTTAATAATAACAACTTTTAAAAACCTAGAGAACAATAAAATGAATAAAGTGCCTCAGATATTGCACTTAACTCCGTTCCCTAAGTCAGCAGCTACAACAATGCTGGTTTGAGTTGATTGATCCAGTTCATGGGCAGACCTGAAGCCGGCTCAGCCCCACATTTAGGTAAGATCCGAGGGGCGCCAAGAAACTTACCCTTGGTGGTGGCATTCCAGTAAGTTATTCATATTTTGAGTGAAGGGAGTGGGAGTTTGGAGCTTTGTTTGTTTTACCTTTTTGTAAAGCAGTGGAAACCCTCTTTCAAACAAAATCTCTGAGGGCCCCTATGTAGACGATACTAGCGCATTCTTAAGTAGTATTTACTGTATGCCAGATGTTTTAACTCATTTAGTCCAACAATTCTACAAGGTAGATACAGTGTGCTGTTACTGTTCATACTTTACAGATGGCAAAATTAAGGCACAGAGAAGTTAAATGATATGCCCAACATCACACAGCTGTAGGTGCTAGAGCTGGGTTTCCATCCTGCCTGGTCTGGCTCCAGAGCCCACCCTTTCATAGATCACACTGTGTGACCCCAGTATAGAGTGTTTTTAAGGAGGCGTATAAAATCAGAACAGCTCTGGCTGGAGCTCTGATAGAGGGCGGAGGGTTCCAAGCTTTCTATAGTGACCCTCAGGTACATCCAAGGAAGATGAGGACTTCAGGAAACCAGTGGATTAAGACTTTATCTACCTAAGATCACTTTAAGATCACATTTACTTCTTGAGGAGTAACAAATTAGTGCATTAGTAGGAATCTATTTCCAATTACCAGGGTCTTTAGAGAATGAAACTTAGGTAAGTGGTGACTGGGAGTCCCTGGCTACAGGGCAGGGATATGGAGAGCACACGGGTAGAGGGAGTGCTGGACTCGAGTCTGGACAGTAGGAGGGGAGGGGGCTGAGAGAGGCAGTGCCTCCAGGACAACCAAGCCTCTACTTGACAGGCAAGCTGGAGGTCAGGCTAACAGCAGTGCTTGTGACCAGTATTTGAAAGGGCCTCCGGGCAAGCCACTCTCTGGGTGCTGAACACTAAACAGCAGGTTGGTCCCTGGCAGAGGCATAGCGTGACCAGAGCCGTGGGGGTGGGTGAGGAGAACAGTCTGACGTGAGAGTGTCAGGGCTCCCCCCATGAGGTGACACTCAAAGTTTCAGTTTTTATCTTGATAAAAAGTTTGCAATTTTCACAATTGCAGAACAAATAGAACCATGACTCATATTTCACAATTTGCCTGGCAAATTCACTATGTGATCATGTTTCTGACAACTGCATGTTTTCCAGGGGTGAGGGGACATCAGGATAGAACATTTGGCCCGAGGGGCATGTTATAATGGGGGACAGTGGGACACACATTGCCCCCACTTCATGTCTTAGGTTCAATACCAGAAGCCAGTGATTCATGCTGTGCACAGGTCTCAGTGGACCTGGGAGTACATCACAAATTCTGAGGTATCCATGTGTATATTTTACTGTCTGATTTTTAATCATCTCTGAGCCACATTTTCATCCTCTGGAACTTCACGGGATAAATTACTTGAGGTTCATCATTTAAAAATTTTTTTTGAAATTTGAATAGCATAAGTTTGAGTAGCAACTTTCAAGATAATGTAATTTAAGAGATGATGATACACGTGATGAAATGTGACACTTTAAAGGAACAATTAAAACACCCATTGAAACTGAAAAACCAGAGTTTCGCCCTCCGGTTTCTAACTAAGGAATTGAGTCAGAAGTTCTGTAGTCTTCTGTGGAAGAAATAGACATGAGGGCCAACTCTGTGTCACCCGTAGATAACACCTAGTACCACGTCAGCAGCATGAGATAATGAATTATTATTTGTCAAATGAATGATAAGTACATAGACGCAAATACATAAGCATACAGTCCACACCAGCTGAAATACAGGGCCCAGTCTTATTCTTAGGAATCATTTCCCTATTCAACATGCTAATAATATTTGTTCCTTTTTTTTTTTTTGAAACGGAGTTTCGCTCTTGTCGCCCAGGCTGGAGTGCAATGGCACGATCTCGGCTCACTGCAACCTCCGCCTCCCGGGTTCAAGCGATTCTCCTGTCTCAGCCTCCTGAGTAGCTGAGATTACAGGCTTGCGCCACCATGCCCAGCTAATTTTTTTGTATTACTAGTAGAGATGGGTTTCACCATGTTGGCCAGGCTAGTCTGAAACTCCTGACCTCAGGTGATCCATCCGCCTCGGCCTCCCAAAGTGCTGGCATTATAGGCATGGGCCACTGCGCCCGCCCATTTGTTCCTTTTTAAATAAGCGTTGATTAATCTTGGAAACAAGGTTTATATAGACAGCAGAAACTTATCTTGCAATGGTTATATCTCACATTCGTTGAGCACCTTTTACTCAGATCCCTTGAAATGGTCCAATTTTTGATTCTCAGAGCACTAGTGGGCTGTTAAGCCCCAAGGTAACTGTGATATTTTCCCATATCTCCCAAACCACCCAGTGTGGCAAGTGTAATTTTGTTCATTTTAGGAGATGAAGAATTGAGAGACATCCAAGCCACAAAACAGGAAGGGACAGAATTGAGATCCTAGGCCAGGTTAAGCCCAATGCCCGTGGTCTTTATATCAAGGGCTAACAGCCTTAGTGAAGATGGGGGTGTCTGCCTGCCCCTTCTGCAATGTCAGTACCGTGAAGGCTCATTGAACCTCAGTTTTCATCATGTAGAAATTTGACCCCTTCAGTGCTGCAAGGGCCTCCCAACAGGTCCCAAGTCCATGCTTATTCCCACCCAGGCTGCCCCCCACCTTCAGCCAGAGTGATTGCAAGTCTGGTCAGGTCACTCCCTTGTTGAAAACCCTTTAAGACTGCCCATTACATTCAGAATAAAGGCCCAAATCCCCACATGCCAAAAGCTCCTACCTGACCAGCCCTGTCCACCCCTTTGGGCTCCCCTGCTTCTGCCCAAGCCCTCTGCTCCCCAGACATGGGAATCACTTTCTCCTTCCTGTCACAGGGCCTTTGCATATGTTGTTCCATCTCCCAGAGGGTTCTTTCCCACCACAACACCTTCCGCCTTTCTCTTGTCTTAGCTTAAATGTCCCTTCCTCAGAGAGGCCCTTCATGATGACCTTCTGCAGTGCATTCCAGAGCACCCAGCACCCATCTTTCATTTCACTCATCACTGTTAGATCAGGATAATGGTTTACATAATTGTTTGTTTCATGTCTGTTTCACACATTGCCCAGAGGAGGAGGTATGAATTAAATAATACCTGTGAGGGCAGGAACTCTGTCCATCCCACTTATGTCTATGTTTATTACCAGTGTCTGCTTCAGCACCGGACATGTAGGAGATGCTCAATAGATGCTTATTCCATCCATGAGGCAATTCATCACCAAATCAGGACGCTGCTAATCTAGTTTTAGGCCCAAGATCTTGTAATCTCCAAGCATGTTTACCATCTGATATCTGATTGGTTCTGAGTTTTATCAGAACCAATGTGTGAGAAGCTGGTGGAGCTGAAGTGTAACATGCATTACAGGAAACCACTTACCACTCTGGGATCCCCTCTCCCCACTATGTTTTAATAAGCTTAATAATAGCGACAGCTAACATTTATTAAGTGCTATGTTCTCACCAGTACCTTAAGAGACTTTCATACAACCTAAGTCCACATGGCATGATCTTTTTAACTTAAGCCAGATCCTGTCCAAGCTCTGTTCATCTCCAGAGGCTCCATCTCACTTACAGTAAAAGCCCAAGTTCCAGGCATGGCCTGTAAGGCTCAAAGGGTTTGCTCCTCTCTGACCTCATCCTCAGCACACTCTGCCCATTTCACCGGGCTCCAGCCACACCAGCAGCCTCCCTGAAGCTCCTAGAATACACCTGACAGCTTCCCCACAGGGCCTGTGTGCCTTCTGTACCCTGGGCACGAAATGCTCCTGCCCCAGATCGATGCAGTTCTGGCTCTATCATATGCTTTAAATGTCATCTTCTCCACGGGCCTTCTCTGACAGCCATCCTGTACTCCCTCAGCCCCTTTCTTGCTACGTTTTTCTCCATCACATACCACCATCTAATATACCACTGCTATTACCTGTCTGCTCATTCATTGTCTGCCTGCCCCCTCTGCAATGTCAGTGCCACAAAGGCAAGGATTGTTGCCTATTTAGTTCACTGCTGTGTCCCTAACTGCCTGGTGCATACAAGGAGCTCAACAAATGCACATTCCATGAGTAGATGTTCTCATTTCGTCCTGACATTAATCCTGAGAGATACACACATCACCCAAATACCTTCCTTGCCACCTTTTCTGCCAAGTCTACTACTGCTCCTGTACTTTGCTCACTGGTGGCAGAAAAGACAACCAGGAAACTCAGACCTCGAGACATTCTGGGTTCACACCCTCACCCCTACAAAGCCTGTCTGAAACAGGTGCCCTGTTTCAATTTCCCACTTCTCTAGTCTAGCCAGAAGTGAGTTTCCTTATGCATCAGTCATTCATTTGTACGTTGTTTTCCCGACATTTGCCAGAGACGGCGGCCCCAGGTGAATGAGGTAGGCCCCACCCTTGGGGAGCTCAGAACTGAAAAGCTACCTCCATCTCTCAATGGCCTCTTCAGATTCTTCCTGCTGCACCATTTTCCTGCTCATTTATTTTTCTAATTTCAAACATAGATTTTGTTACCTTTCAAAATATGAGGCATTTAAGAAAAGCAGCATTTTAAAATAGTGCTCATGGCTAGAACTGAGAGAGATTCTTTCACATCTCCCTGTCCCTACCTCCAGGGGCGAAAGAGGTGCAGCTTGTTCTCAAATAGAAAAATTCAGCATTTTTCCAAAGCAGGCAAGAGTTATGTTTCTGCACGTAGGACAGGTTCTGAGCCCTGGGATAGTGGTGAACTTCATCATTTTCATTTCAGATGCCATTTCTCTGGATTCTTTCCCCAGCCATGACTGCTCGGCATTGCTATTAAATCTTCTAAGCATTTTGCCCAATAAACACCCAAAACATGCTTTTCACCCTTGCACCCACTTCCTGTCCTGCATCTACCTCTCCATCCCTTCCACTAGCTTCACATCTCTGTTGTTTTCAAAGTTGTCCCTTGTATTCTGGGCAACCCATTTCTTGTTTCATCAAACCATTCTGTTCTCAAGTCCCTTCCTCTCTTTAAATCCCTCTTCAACCATCAGCAAAATCTGCTGCTGCTGCTTCCTCACAAGGAGGGCCCCTCCACCTCGACACCCTGCCCTGAGAATCTGAAGGGGAAGGAGTAATAGTAGAACTGAAATTAAATGTCAGTTTCAGCTAACCTGAGCAAGGCACACTTTCACCAGAGGGGATCACAAAAGCAAGGGATGAGGACTGCTTGTCCTCTGCACTTATAGACTAGACTGTCAGGGTCAGCACCTGCTTCTGAATAGACAGGGTACGGACTTGCTTACCCACTCAGATTAGAGGAACTATCAGGGCACCATACACTCATTAGTTCATTAATGCAGTCCTTCACGCATGCAGCAAATAGTGATTGCAAGGTTTATTTCTTTGACTGCTGGAGGTTTTATAGTCTTTCAGAATGCCGTATTACATTGCAAATATTCTTGAGGGGTCTTATGTCTTTTTGAATGAAATTTAATTTGATACAATTCAGTTCGTCCATTTGAACTTCCATAGCATTTTGTGACATGGAAAAGAACACTGGACTAGGGTGAAAGAGAACTAGAGAAAAATCCAGCCTATTCTACTTACTGGCTGATTAACACCAGGAAAGTCACCTGACTTCTTCAAGCCTCAGTCTCCCTCGTCCATTAAATGGATGTGATACCAGCTACCCTACCTATATCATGGGAGTTCTGTATCCCATGTACAATCAGCAATCAGCAAGATGCCTGATATACAGTGGCCTTTCCAAAAACATAGAGGAAACTGAAGAGATTCCAATTAAAATCAATCCGTGGTAACAAAGGGCCTTTTTGTTGAGTCAAGCATTACAGAAATGAAAGCTTCATCTCTACTTAACAAAATTTTGTGCATCCTTCAAGGCCTAAGTGAAATGCAGTTTTATTCATGAAGTGGTCCCTCCCTCCAACCCCAAGACAGAAAAGAGCCAAGGAGATTGAGTGGCATCTGGGACATAAGGCCACACCTAGGAAGTGCAGCTCCCTGGAGCAAAGCTCTTGAGAGTTGCCAGGAGAAGGGATTCACTGCAGAAAATGGAGTTTGTAAACCTAGGGCCTGCCAGAGAGGAAAGACAAACCAAGGACCCAGACTGAAAAAGAAAAGGAGGGCTCTCAGCCATGGAGAGCAGACATGGAGCAGAGAGGAGATTTGAGAAACAAAGTTAGGTGGTGTTATGGAGCAAGTAGAGTGGTGTCCAGGGGCAAATAGACACTGAGTGCTTGGAATATTCTCCTGCAGCTGAATCACGCTGGACAGAAACCATCCCACCCTTTCTCAAATCCCATAGCACTTTGTACTTCTCAGGGCACTGCCCAAACTGCCTGTCTTTACGAGTCTTTGAGGATGTGCGTATCTTCCCTCCCCTACCAGAATATAAATTCTTTGAAGGCAAGAGCCAGGTCTCACACCCTTTGTACACCCTTCCCAGCCCACACCTAATGCCTAGACCAGTGTCCTGCATATGATCAGTATAATAAATATTTGTGGTGGATTAATAAAATCATTACACTCTTTGGTTTCATATATGACCAAATAAAACACGACCCAAAATACTACTGAACCTTAAAAACTAGTTGTGCACAGGTACCCTGGAACTTAAAGTACGATAATTAAAAAAAAAAACTAGTCTACTCCTGTAGCTTTATCAGCTGGGTTTTGAACTTTCTCTCTATCCTTGAACACTTTACAGCATACTTAATTTTGTTATATAACAAAATCACTGCTCACTTAACTATGTGTTTCATACCAAAGAGTGTAAGCATGAGTACCATTTATTGGACATAATAGCAAAATAGCTACCTGTTGGCCAAATGCATTTGCCACCCCTTCAGAGTGTAAGCTATTGCTAAAAGGTGGCTGCTACACTAAGACTACATTTCCCAGCTCTTCTTGCACTCGGGGGAGGCCACGAAACTAGTACTCATCAATGGAATGTCAGTGAAACTAGATAAGTCTCATCTCTAGGCCAGGAATTTTAAGAAACAGTTAAAGCTTCTACACTCTCTCCTTCCTCTTTGCCACCTGGAAGCAGAGACTTTGAGGTTTCAGGGGATGCAGAAGTCACAAGATGAAAGCCACAATCCCTGAGTGACCACAGGGAGAAAAGCCCTCTGCTTTCTGTATTTAGATGGACAAAGGGAAATTGCAAGATGGAAGCCTGTATCCCTGAGTCACCACATGAAGGAAAGCTCCAGCTTTCTCCATTTGGTCTATCACATAGGCAAGAAAAAAACTTTAATTATGTTAGCCACTGGAATTTGGCATTTAATTGTTAGAAAAGCTAGTGTCACCTTAACTAACACAACTACCTATTGTATGGCAGGTGATTCACACAAATTACTTTCATAGAACACTTGAAACAGTCTTGCATGGTAGGTATGATCACTATCCTTTTTATTTTGCAAATAAGTAAACCAAGACACAGAGAGGTTAAGTTACAAAGGTTAAGTTAAGAAAGGTTGTCACAGCTAGTAGGTGCTGGAGCTAGAATTTCACTGAGATTTGTCTGGCCTCAAATGCTGTGTTTTCTCCCACGACATCATACTACCTCTCATTTATCAGTGATCTTAGACTCTGCCTTTGACATCATTTTTAAATTAGGGGTTTCTGGCCTGATTCTGACCTACACTTTTTAGAAGCAGTTGACATATATGTCTCTGCTTTCCTTCACTGAACTCCGACCATCACCTGGAAAAATTATGTCTTCCAAGCCCTGGAGTGTTCCCAAAGACTTTAATTTCTTCCTCACCTGTTTTGACACAATTCTTTTACTATCAGAATTGAATTCTTTCTCTAAGCAAATATTTAAGCTTTATACTGCTTGACTTCCATTTTTTCACCAGTTGGGAAGGGTAAGAAGACAATTCATTCTGGGTTTAGAGTGGGGGACAAGAAAGAGAGTGGGGGAAAAGGGAAATTGTATGGGTTCATCAAATCCTACCTGGTCCTTGCTTGTTTCAGAAAACCCTCTCAGACATCTTGTTGATAAAATTTATGCCACCCACGATTATGTCTGTGTTAGTTCTGTTTCTCTCTCACTTTCCTACTGAGGGATAAAAAAGTTCAAATGACTTATCCAGAGTCATACAGTATCAGTGGACAGAACTGGAAAGCAAATTATATTGACATGAAAAGAAATAGAAAGTAAGTCAATACATAAACTCATCTGCAAAAAGGAGCTTGTAGAAATTGGGTACTTTTTTTGGATTCTTTACATATAAAATGCCAGTTATCCAATGTAGAAAGAAAAAAGAGTAGGCAGCCCCAATGTGTAAGTAATTGAAACCAGCTCCTTTAGCTACTGGGTGAGTAATCTTTCTAAAATGTATATACGTGTTGACTTCTTAAACCATATTAACTATTCTTAGTGACTCAAGATAAAAACCAATTGTTGAATTAGATTGTTAGAGGATGATGCCTTCAGAGGATAATGAAGAAAACAAGGCTTCTTATACTAAATATTCTCGAAGTATTACTGGTTCAGTGCACTCCAGGAGAGCAGAGATTTTGTCTTTAGCTAAAGCACCTGGACCTGCCTGGCACATAGTAGTTGTGCAATAAACATTTGTTTAATGATTGAATAAATGGATGAGTGTTTTGCTTTCTAATCATTTCATCTCCTCCCTTTATATCAGGTTCTTTGTTGTCATCATTCCCTATGCCCTTAACTTGCTATTTCTAATCTGTTGTGGGTCGAGAAACTTAAAATAAATTACATAGATAAGAGAAATTGTAATATAGCTCAGTAGAACTTCTAGAACTTTCTGCATGATGGAAATGTTCTATGTACCCTGTGTACTTACCACTTTTGAACATTTGAAGTACAGCTAGTTTAGCTAAGAAACTGAGCTTTAAATTTTATCTAATTTTAATTAATTTAAATTAAATAAAATAACTTTATGTGACCATTGGGTACTGTACTAGACAGCACAGGTTTTGAACTAAGTGCTAAATAAAAGAAGGACTTGTCTGAGGGCCAGGGGATGGAGATTTTGAAAACTGTGCAGTCTTTTTTTTTTTTTAACTTCCACCCTGTTATGAACGAGTAATGAAGCAGGTCACAGGGCTCTGCAGGATGCATAGGAGTGGAGTTGGGCAGGTTGATTTGGCTCAAGTTGCACAGTTTTGCCTCAGTGATAATATTTAGAAGGGCTGAAAGTGACAAGTGGAAAAAGCTCTGTCAGGGATGTTCAGAGGCCAGGTGAAGCCAGAGGAAAAAGCTGGTCTATTCAGGGAGACATCCAGCATGACCTGACACCTTCTATCCCTGATCACTCAAGGCGGACAGCACTGCAGTTACGTGGAGTTGTGTTTGTGTTTGTTTGTGTGCATTTTTTTTTTTGAGATGGAGTTTCACTTTTGTTGCCCAGGCTGGAATGCAATGGCACAATCTCAGCTCACTGCAACCTCTGCCTCCCAGGTTCAAATGATTCTCCTGCCTCAGCCTCCCAAGTAGCTGGGATTACAGGCATGCGCCACCATGCCTGGCTAATTTTGTATTTTTAGTAGAGATAGGGTTTCTCCGTGTTGGTCAGGCTGGTCTTGAACTCCCGACCTCAGGTGATCTGCCTGCCTCGGCCTCCCAAAGTGCAGGGATTACAGGCGTGAGCCACCTCAACCGGCCCATTTGTGTGCATTTTAAATCCCCAGACTTTCTCACGATATTTTTTAACACAGGGCTTCAAGCAATCAGTATGGTTTAAAAGCTCTTCTGTCTCTATCCTAAAGAGAAAGAATCACCCTACCTTAGTCAGGAGGTCTATTATCTGACTACTAAGGAGCATTTCTGGAGCTTCTATGTCCTGCAGGGATGATTTGGAGGCTTTCTGAGTAGAATGGAGGCAGCTGTGCTCACTGGAGGGAGTCCACCCTTTGCATCTTTGTCCTAGGTTCCCCTGGAGCTAGAACAATCTCAGCCATCTAGACCTCAAGGAACTCACACTGAATTCAATGTCTATTGTCTGCAGAAATGGCATCTGCCGATCTCTATGCAGGGAAAGAGTCTCAGTGGCTGAATATTGTCACATACATATCTTTTTTGCTGGTCTAGAGGACATTGCTTATATGCGACCTGCAGGCGCACACCACTGATCTCACCCACTTACTTCCTAATAAAAGAAACAAATTTGGTCTTAACCACACACACTGTAGCACCAGGTCCTGTTTCATGATCAAATCCATGCAATTCTTCTGTTTTCAAAATATATATCTATATCTATGCATAGATATAGATGCATATGTGTATGTAATATAAAAGCAATAATTGATCATTAAAGAAAATGTAAAGATGAACAAAGGCATTCAAATACCCTTATCCAAAGACAACCTCAGTTAACACTTTGTTGTATTTCTTACCTGCCAGTCCTCTATGCATAGATGAGGGATTTTCCCTTCTTAACCTTGTTGCAAGCGTTTTATATTCTGCATCTTTCTTTTTGTTATATCATGAGCATTTTCCTTGTAATCATACAGACTTAGCAGATATCTTTTGTAAAGCCTGCAAAGTATTCTGTTAAGTGGAGTTAACATACATACTTAATCATTCCCCTCTTGGAAAAGCATTTATTTTCTAACACTGCCCTTTTATAAATTATGATAGCAAATAATTTTGTGTTCAAAGGCTTGTCTCCACACATACCAGCTTTGGAATATTCTCCTTGAGATAGAAGCGTAGAAGTAGAATATCTGAGTCCAGAGTCATGAGCATGTATTAAAATTAAAGTCACATATTTCCAAGAGTCAAGGTTCAGGGTAAACGAGCAAAGCCAAGTTCACAAGCTGATAATCATTTGACCTCAGTATTCTAGCTCAGAATTTCCCAAACATAAGACCTGCTGCAACAGGAGTGCCCGGGCATTTATTTACAACCCAGATTCCCAATGAAATAGGAGAGTTCCCTGACCCCCTCCTGGGACTTTTGACAGGAGTGTGGCTCATTTGCTTGGCTGCAACACCTCAAACCCTTTACAGGAGGGAGAGCATGCAGACGGGCAGGTGCAGGAGCCGGGGTAAGCGCTTTTGGGCTCCGGCCTCATGGTAGCATCTAGGGAGGTGTTACAAAAATGCTCTTTCAGTACTTACCAGCCACGGATGGCTAAGTGGTAAACCAGCTCAGTGTATAGTCAGGGTGCCGTCCTTTTATACCCTGCCCTCTTGGTACCTGGGTCCTTGTTTGGTGGCCAGAAAGAATCAGGTCACATGGACTTGAAGGATGGTGAATATGGGGATTTTTATTGAGTGAAGGGGGTGGCTCTCAGTGGGATGGAGTGGGAAAATGATCTTCCCATGGGGTTTGGCTGTCCTGCGGCCAATCTCCTCTCTGACCATCCCCAGCCAAGCTCCTCTTGATGTTCAGACACTCCTTCTCTTCTCTCCTTCTCTGCTACACCAATCTGCTGCTCTGCTGCTCATGGAGTCTGGGGTCTGGGGTTTATATGGGTACAGGATAGGAAGGCAGGCATGGCAGGCCAAAAGGCCACATTTGGGTATGAAAACAGGAATGCCTGTTCCCATTTAGGGCTGCAGATTTCCAGGCTTCAGCATGGGGCCTTTGCCAGAGACCTGCCCTCTTCTGCCCAGTATTTCCCTGCCTTCTGTCTATATTAGCAGGACCCACCTCAGACTTACTGATTCGGAATATGCTGGGTTGAGCATGAATGGAATGCTAACAGTCTCTAGGTGAGTGTTTAATAATCACTGCTTCTGGACAAAGGAACCTCCAGGCAGAAACACATTTTGAGGAACAACTTTACAAGCCCTTCTGTTTATCTGCGATTAAAACTGCAGATAACAGGCCTAATCCTAACCCTGCCACATGGCAGGGAAAAAAACTCATAATAGCAACCAGTATACTTCTTAGTTCCTTATTGTACTCATTTAATCATCACATATAAAAATATGAAAATTCACATCCCACTGATCAAAAATGCTTCGCCTTATATGACCTTTGGAAGTTAGCCATTTCCCATGTAGATGTTCACTCTTTTTCTCAGTATTTCCCTCACTAAGACTGTCTACAATTTCCTCTGCTAAGACTCTAGGGTCTTATTTCCTCTTTATTGGAGGATAGAGAGTCTCATCTGTTTTAATTATAAATCTCAAAGACTTCACTAGAATTTTAGTAATATAACAATGCCACCAAATCTAAAGTATTTGGAACCGTTGATGAGATCCTCTAAAAAAGAAAAGCAAACCTGACTTAAACCCAGGATGGGCAAAACACTCAAAACTCACCCTCTCCCTGAAACCCACTGTGTTTCCATGGTGTTCCTTTGATCAGGGAACAACGAATTCACACAAACCAAAATTGAGAAACAAAGAAAGAGAAATCATGTCAAAAGCAGAGACCAATTTTGAAGCATTCAGGAGGACATGAGGCCAAGATGGGTGTGATCCTAAAGGCTACCACCCAATAAGGCTTAAGGGGAACAACTTGCCTCCCACATCTTAGCCCTGGGTCAAAAGTCTCTTTCTCAAAGGAAGCACTACAAAGCGGTGAAAAGGTGTCCTTTGTGAGAAGTTCTAATTTGTCTTTTGTGAGAAGTTCTAGTGCTACTATAAATCACTGTGGACCATAAAGAGGGCCTCAGTGGAGGTGTCCCTGAGCTGCTTGAACTTGATGAGTCCTGAAAAAAAGAAACTTCCACCAACGAAGGTCAAGGGAGGACTACGATCCATTTTTAATCACTTGAAGTGGTTAAAGGGCAATAGCTCTGGTGGCACAAAATCACCCAACAAAAATGAACCTGGCACCTGTGCTGTCCTGGTAGCTGAGAAATTTTTAAGGAAGCATTCCTCAAAAGCAGGATGCATTGAGACCCAGAGGCTGAGGTTCAAGGTTAAAGGGTCCAGGTTGGGAAAGAATGACATTTAACTATCTAGTTTCCTTTTTTTGTGTTTGTTTTTTGTTTGTTTGTTTTTTGACAGTGTCTCACACTGTCTCCCAGGCTGGAGTGCAGTGGCGCCATCTCAGCCCACTGCAAGCTCTGCTTCCCGGGTTCAAGTGATTCTCCAGCCTCAGTCTCCAGAGTAGCTGAGAGTACAGGTGCATGCCACCAAGCCTGGCTAATTTTTGTATTTTTAGTAAAGACAGGGTTTCACCATGTTGGCCAGGCTGGTCTCAAATGCCTGGCCTCAAGTGATCCACCCACCTCGGCCTCCCAAAGAGCTGGGATTACAGGCATGAGCCACCACACCCAGCCTAGCTTCCTTTTAATATTGGCCTAACAGTCAGCCAAATCCAGATGAGTCTGGTATAAAAATGAGAAGATAGCCAGGGCTGCTGGTGACCTGGTGAGGTCATGGATGTAACTTCAAATTAAGAAAGTCACTCAGGTTTTAAAATCGCCCTACCCACCTCTCCAATCATCCTCAGGCTGTCCTGGTACAGTACACCAGCTCCAGCATCCAATTCATAATTGCTCCCAGATGATAACAGAGGCAAGGGAAGAGAAGCCAGGAGCAGGCTATCATGATATAGCTCATTTTCCAACTTCATATTATTAAGACGTCCCTTCTCTTTAGAATATAAAAGACCCAGAGAATCCCAGGCCTGACCTCCAAAGATTCCTAGGGTGGAGCCCAGGAATCTGTGAGGTTAGCAAGACCCCATCCCTACCAAGGGATTCTGATATTGGTGGTTTAAGGACTTACCGTGACCAAAACCCTCTCCCAGAACCCCATGTCTGGCTCCACTCATGGACCCCAAACAGAACACATGTAGTCAGGGTTGAGCAACCCGGAGATAAGCTCTGTGCTCCTGGGGTGAAAAGGCCATGGTTTTGTGGTCGTTCTTTTGGAATGCATTGCAGAAGGAGGACTAAGCATTTGTTCTTCATGCACGCAAGCTGATGACTCAATTCTGACAGCAGGCTTCTTGTAAGACGGCCTCCGCCAGGCTCCATAAGCAAAAGATTTAGTCAAGTGTGTTAATTCAGGTAGGGCTGTAATTAACTGACTATGGCTTCATCTCACCCTCAGAGTGTCCTTTTTAGATTGTATTATTGTTCCCAAATATTAATTCTCCTCTCTCCACTCCACCAGAGCTGCTGCCAACACAGCTTTCAAGCAATATAAGCAAGAGATAAATGTTTATTCTTTTAAACCATTGAGTTATTGAGGCTGTTTGTTATTGTAGCAAAAACTGGCTAACATAACCCTGTTTTGACAGGTACAGGAGTAAAGGACATTCTTTCACCTAACATACTTATTTTAAAGACCTACTGTGTGTCAGGGATTATTCAAGAATAAATGTTCAAACCTTACAAATACAGAATTTGACCACACCTTCCAACTCAGCTTTAGTCTCTTCTTCAATGGAAACAAATCATGTTACTCTTCTACTTAGAATTCTTCAAGCATTCTCCAGCTAACTCAAATTAAAGCTTAAGTCCTCTATAATGGCCTGCAGGACCCTACACACAGTCTGGCTCTCATATCCCCCATGACCCCATTTTCTACTACTCCCTATGTCCACTTTTCCAGCTGCCCTGGCCTACTTGCTGTTCCTTGAATACACTGAGCATGCTCCTACCTTAGGGCTGTTGCACCTGCTGTTCTTTCTTCTTTGGCCACTGTTCCCCACAATATGACAGGGCTCACTTCCTCACCTCCTTTAATGTCACCTATCAAATGTCACCTTCTCACTGAAGCATTCCTTGACCACCCAATTTGAATTGTAACTCTCCCCATGCCCTCCCTATACCTCTCCCCACCACATCTCTCTCCACTACACTCATCACCATCAAAATGGTGTGTATCAGCAGTTCTCAGAGTATGCTGTACAAGCCCTGAAGGTTTCTGAGACACATCAAAAGAATTTTCGTAATAACATGAAGCCATTACTTGTCCTTTTTCCCTTGCAGTATATGTCCTTTCTCTCTTACACTTGCAGTATGTCTTTTAATACTCTGAAAAATATACATAAAGGTCTTTTGCCACCTACCAAACTATGACAGTTGTCTCAAGGAAAAGTACTTGTATTATTGTTTGAGTTGCAAGCTGAACTGGCTGTTTTCTTTTTTTTTTTTTTTTAATGGATTTTTCTTTTGATCTTCACAGAAACCCTTTTTAGGGATTAATTGTTTTTATTCCCATTTTATGGTTGAAGAAACTAGAGCATAGAGAGTTTAAGCAAAATGCTTGCCTAATAAGCACCAGAGCTAGGATGAAAATGCAGGTTTATTCATTAGTTACATCATTAAGTTACCTTTAAAATTCTGGCTGGGTGTAGTGGCTCACGCCTGTAATCCCAACACTTTGGGAAGCTGAGGTGGGCGGATCACCTGAGGTCAGAAGTTCGAGACCACTCTGATGGTAGTTTCTTTTGCTGTGCAGAAGCTCTTTAGTTTAATTAGATCCCATTTGTCAATTTTGGCTTTTGTTGCCATTGCTTTTGGTGTTTTAGACATGAAGTCCTTGCCCGTGCCTATGTCCTGAATGCTATTGCCTAGGTTTTCTTCTAGGGTTTTTATGGTTTTAGGTCTAACATGTAAGTCTTTAATCCATCTTGAATTAATTTTTGTATAAGGTGTAAGGAGGGGATCCAGTTTCAGCTTTCTACGTATGGCTAGCCAGTTTTCCCAGCACCATTTATTAAATAGGGACTCCTTTCCCATTACTTGTTTGTTCAGGTTTGTCAAAGATCAGATGGTTGTAGATATACGGCATTATTTCTGAGGGCTCTGTTCTGTTCCATTGATCTGTATCTCTGTTTTGGTACCAGTACCATGATGTTTTGGTTACTGTAGCCTTGTAGTATAGTTTGAAGTCAGGTAGCGTGATGCCTCCAGCTTTGTTCTTTTGGCTTAGGATTGACTTGGCGATGCGGGCTCTTTTTTGGTGCCATATGAACTTTAAAGTAGTTTTTTCCAATTCTGTGAAGAAAGTCATTGGTAGTTTGATGGGGATGGCATAGAATCTATAAATTACCTTGGGCAGTATGGCCATTTTCACAATATTGATTCTTCCTACCCATGAGCATGGAATGTTCTTCCATTTGTTTGTATCCTCTTTTATTTCCTTGAGCAGTGGTTTGTAGTTCTCCTTGAAGAGGTCCTTCACATCCCTTGTAAGTTGGATTCCTAGGTATTTTATTCTCTTTGAAGCAATTGTGAATGGAGTTCACTCATGATTTGGCTCTCTGTTTGTCTGTTATTGGTGTATAAGAATGCTTGTGATTTTTGTACATTGATTTTGTATCCTGAGACTTTGCTGAAGTTGCTTTTCAGCTTAAGGAGATTTTGGGCTGAGACAATGGGGTTTTCTAGATATACAATCATGTCATCTGCAAACAGGGACAATTTGACTTCCTCTTTTCCTAATTGAATACCCTTTATTTCCTTCTCCTGTCTAATTGCCCTGGCCAGAACTTCCAACACTATGTTGAATAGGAGTGGTGAGAGAGGGCATCCCTGTCTTGTGCCAGTTTTCAAAGGGAATGCTTCCAGTTTTTGCCCATTCAGAATGATATTGGCTGTGGGTTTGTCATAGATAGGTCTTACTATTTTGAGATACGTCCCATCAATACCTAATTTATTGAGAGTTTTTAGCATGAAGGGCTGTTGAATTTTGTCAAAGGCCTTTTCTGCATCTATTGAGATAAACACAGGCAACCTACAAAATGGGGGAAAATTTTTGCAACCTACTCATCTCACAAAGGGCTAATATCCAGAATCTACAATGAACTCAAACAAATGTAAAAGAAAAAACAAACAACCCCATCAAAAACTGGGTGAAGGATATGAACAGACACTTCTCAAAAGAAGACATTTATGCAGCCAAAAAACACATGAAAAAATGCTCATCATCACTAGCCAGCAGAGAAATGCAAATAAAAACCACAATGAGATACCATCTCACACCAGTTAGAATGGCGATCATTAAAAAGTCAGGAAACAACAGATGCTTGAGAGGATGTGGAGAAATAGGAACACTTTTACACTGTTGGTGGGACTGTGAACTAGTTCAAGCATTGTGGAAGTCAGTGTGGCGATTCCTCAGGGATCTAGAACTGGAAATACCATTTGACCCAGCCATCCCATTACTGGGTATATACCCAAAGGATTATAAATCATGCTGCTATAAACACACATGCACACGTATGTTTATTGCGGCACTATTCACAACAGCAAAGACTTGGAACCAACCCAAATGTCCAACAACGATAGGCTGGATTAAGAAAATGTGGCACATATACACCATGGAATACTATGCAGCCATAAAAAATGAAGAGTTCACGTCCTTTATAGGGACATGGATGAAACTGGGAACCATCATTCTCAACAAACTATCGCAAGGACAAAAAAACAAACACCGCATGTTCTCACTCATAGGTGATTGAACAATGAGAACACATGGACACAGGAAGGGGAACATCACACTCCGGGGACTGTTGTGGGGTGGGGGGAGGGGGGAGGGATAGCATTAGGAGATATACCTAATGCTAAATGACGAGTTAATGGTTGCAGCACACCAACATGGCACATGTATACGTATGTAACAAACCTGCACATTGTGCACATGTACCCTAAAAGTTAAAGTATAATAATAATAAAATAAAATTTAAAAAAGTTCGGGACCAGCCTGGCCAACATGGCGAAACCCTATCTCTACTAAAAAATACAAAAAAAAAAAAAAATTAGCTGGGTGTGGTGATGGGCACCTGTAACCCCAGCTACTCAAAGGCTGAGGTACAGAGAATTGCTTGAACCCGGGAGGTGGAGCTTGCAGTGAGCAGAGATGGTGCCACTGCACTCCAGCCTGGGTGACAGAGTGAGACTCTGTCTCAAAAGTAAATAAATAAATAAATAAAATTCTTTCCATGTATAACACGCCATGACTATACCACATTGTAGAAGGTCTATGGTGATCACAGACCTCTTGTGGTTAACGGTGTTTGAACTTCAGAGTTACATAAATATAAGAAATAGAAACAAACGTATTGGGCACCTTATATGCCTCTTTTCTAGACAATGTCTCTTTTAATACCAGCCTCGGTTTATTCCTTCTGGAATTCCAGTTAGATATTTGCTGGATATTTCCATTTTATCCTCCATGTATTTTAATCTCTTTCTCTTTTTTTGCTGGATTCTGTGTAATACCCTCAGGTTTATCTTCAGTTTGCTAATTCTTTCTTCAGTTTTGTCTAATTATCTGTTCAGTGCATCCACTGACATGCTTTTAATGCATTAACCATACTTTTTATTTTTATAAGTTCTATATTTTTAAGTCTGCCTATTCCTTCTCATCTTATTATATTTTCATCATTATTCATCTTGTTTCTTACATTTTTTAAATTAATTAATTTATTTTTTCCATAAGTTATTGCAGTACAGGTGGCGTTTGGTTACATGAGTAAGTTCTTTAGTGGTGATTTGTGAGATTTTGGTGCACGCATCACCCGAGCAGTATACAGTGTACCATAGTTGTAGTCTTTTCTTTTATTTTTTTTGAGACGGAGTCTCACTCTGTCGCCAGGCTGGAGTGCAGTGGCGGCGATCTCAGCTCACTGCAAGCTCCGCCTCCCGGGTTCACGCCATTCTCCTGCCTCAGCCTCCCGAGTAGCTGGGATTATAGGCACACGCCACCACGCCAGGCTAATTTTGTTTTTGTATTTTTAGTAGAGACGGGGTTTCACCGTGTTAGCCAGGATGGTCTTGATCTCCTGATCTGATGATCTGCCTGCCTCAGCCTCACAAAGTGCTGGGATTACAGGCATTAACCTGCGCCCCCGGCCCATAGTTGTAGTCTTTTATCCCTCACCCCCTTCCCACTCTTTCTCCCAAGTCCCCAAAGTCCATTGTATCATTCTTATGCCTTTGAACTAGCTGTTTTCCTTATGCATCACGTTTTTACTTGCAAGAATGACTACTGACAGACAAGGTATGGTTACTCAGACTTGAGTATTTGACAGACATTTTCTGAAAAATAACTAATGCATTTGTTGCCAAGGATAAAATATAGGCTTTCTTGCAAACATTTAAAATTTTGTAAATTTTATATCTGTCACTATTCAATACTTAAAGTCTTTTCTAATGAAATTGGTGATGATATTAATAAATGTGATTTTGGGGATTGGATAATAAAATGTAGTAACATTTGAAAGATTTACGTAATTTGGTGAACTTATATTTTTCAAAAGATCCATTCACAATGCATTGATAAAACACTCATTCAAAGTGCAACATAGACCAATGGATTTCAATAAAACAAAATGTTGTTATAGTTTCAGATTCAACGTTGCAAATGACCTTTAAGAAACAACTACTTGTTGAGTTCTGGTGTAGTAGCAAAGAAAAGGACTCAACAACTAAATGAAAAGGCTCGTAACATACTCCTCTCTTGTGCAACTATATGTCTGCGTGAGGCTAGATTTTCTTCATATACTTCAGCCAAAACAGTACATCAACACAGATTGAATGCAGATGCAGATATGAGAATCCAGCTGTCTTCTACTTGTAAATTAAAGAAATCTGCAAAAAAAGACTTTTTAAAATATCACTCTTTTCTAAAATGTTGTTTGGGAAAAAACTATAATTTTTCACTAAATATATGTCATTTGTGCTAAAATGTAATGGGTATCTTATTATTACTTTTAAGTATTCATATAGATGCATTTTTAATTTCTCAATTCTAGTTTCTAGTATTGTAAATATCAATAGCGATAACTTTTATAAATGAAAGTTCTTTGAGGTCCTCAATAATTTTTAAGAATATAAAGGGCTTCTGGGACCCAAAATTTTGAGAACTGCTGCTGCATATAACTCACTTATTGCTGTAACTATTTTTCATCTTCCTCCATTACAATGCATGCCATAATATGGCAGGAGTTGTTTCCTGTCATCACTGAGTCTCCAGAGTTTAGAATAGTGCCAGGCAATTGTAGGTGCTCAGTAAAGATTTGTTGAGTGAATGAATTAATGCCACTCGACAGCAACCTCCACTTCCTGATGCCTGTGTGCTGACTCTCCTATGAACCTCCCCAGGGCACAGAGTGTGAGGTTGAGCTAAGAACCCCCACATCCATTTATCTGTTGTAAGATATTTTCCAACTTCCTGCCCATTCCAAATCAAACCGATCTCACCCATTCTGAACTCTCCATGCACTGGCCTTCTAACACTGAGTGCACACTATGTCCTCAATCATTCATCCTGGCCCTTAAGGCCACCACTTTGCCTTGTTTATATGCAATTCCTTTTCTTCCCCTCAGATTGTAAGATCCGGGAGTGCTGTGTTTCATGGTTCGCCTATTTTCAACTCTAATCACAGTACATAGCACTGAACAGGTATTCAATAAATGTTTTTTATATAAATGAATAATATACAAAATGAACACTCTTTCACCTGAATATGCACGTATATACACACATTGAGAATACTTATTTGTTTCCAGCAGCCAATGAAAACCTTTCTCCAATGACAGCATGGTTCCCATACCTTTCTTTCCCTATAGCTAAGCCCTTCCCTTGCTCCCAAAAGTTCTCTAGCCAACCCTGCCCTCAGGCACACCAGTGCAACAGTGCAGGTGACTCACTGTCAATGCCTGTTTGTAGGACATCCCTCAATGGTCAGTGCCCCAGTATCCAGGCTTCTGCCTCATAGCCACAGGTCCAGTAACCAGGCCTAGGCATTGTTCCCTTGCAAGAGTCCTGGCCTCCGTGACAGTAGCATTTCTTGAGCATCCACAATGTGTCATGAGCTTGGTCATAAATATGTATAATCCCCAGGCATCTCAGCAACATGATAGTGAAGAACCACAGAGAACATGAGATAAGGACCAAGCCTAATCAATTTGTTGTATCTACACACCCACAGTGCATGCTCAGTCAATATTTAGTGAATAAATGGCTGAATGAATGAATCCTACGTGTGTGTTCACATCCCATTGTACATATGAGCAAACAGCCTCACAGAGGTTATGCAGCTCATCCATCATGTTGCCAACCCCTGCATATATTCAGGGCCACCAATGGTCTACACCCAGTGGCTTCCCCCACAAGCCTCTGTCCACTCAGGCAAACTGGTTTTCATGTCACAGACCTTCTTGGTCTTGGTGGATTCCACTGTTCATTCAGCAACAATCTCTCAGTGTCAGCCAGCTGGGACAAGTCACCTCAGTCCTTCCAACTCCTGTCATCCTTAGCAGACCAGGCAGGGGCATTTTCAAAGTACCAGTTAAACCTCTTGATTTCAGCTGGTTGGTCCAGACTAGCAACCCAGAGAGCAGGACACCTAGTGCAAAGAAAGCCATTCTGTTCTCAACAAGTCTGCAGCTAACAGCACTTCTTTCAGTCCTCCTCAGTTTCTGTTGCTGGAGGAAGAAAGATAAAGGAGGCTGGGAAATTCAGGCCAACCTACTTGCTCATATTGCACCCAGGCTCCCAGTCTGTGGCTGCAGCTTTTACTGGAAGGTAATAGACATGTGACTTGGGCAAGGCTACACTAGCTAATGCTTTGCTTCCTAAGTGCTCCTAACAGCTGCAGTTAACCAGGGAAAATGAAGCTGGAAAGGATCACGGAATGCCAAGGTTTGCCACTTTCCCCAATGCCCAGGCCCCCCATGGCCTGGCCACAAGCATCCTTTGCCCAGTTATTGCCCTGACAGCACAGGGAGCAAGTGGCCCCTTGTGCAATCTAACAGTGCGGCCAGCTGAGAAGAGCCAGGGCCCCAGACAGAATGTGAAGGCCTGGACAGGAGCATTCTTAAGCCCTGTGGAGCACTGGCCTGGTCAAGGGACAGCACCTACTTGGCCACAGGAGTAAAAGCATGGGAGAGTTGGGCCCTTCCCCTGAAGCCTCTGCACACAGGAGGCTGTGGGGCCTTCAAAAAAAGAAGAGGAAGGAAGGAAGGAAGGAAGGAGGGAAGGAGAAAGGGAGAAGGAAGGAAAGAAAGAAAGAAAGAAAGAAAGAAAGAAAGAAAGAAAGAAAGAAAGAAAGAAAGAAAGAAAGAAAGAAGAAAGAAAAGAAAGAAAGAAAGAAAGAAAGAAAGAAAGAAAGAAAGAAAGAAAAAAGAAAAGAAAGGAAAGAAAGACGGAAAGAAAGAAAGATGGAAAGAGAAAGGAAAGGAGAAAGAAAGAAATCTTGTATTGCTTTGGGTTGTTTTCTATTTTAAAAAGTGATATATTTCAATAGTAGAAAATTCAAATAATACGTAGAAGCATTAAGAAACTGGGTACAGTGGCTCATGCCTGTAATCCCAGCACTTTGCTGGGGTCAAGACAAGAGGATTACTTGAGGCTGAGAGTTCAATACCAACCTGGTCAACACAGCAAGACCTCATCTCTACTAAAAGTAAAAGAAAAAAAAATAGCCAGGTGTGGTGGCATGCCTGTAGTCCTGGCTACTGGTGGGGATGAGGTGGGAGGATCCCTTGAGCTCAGGAGGTCAAGGCTGCGGTGAGCTGTGATCACGCCACTCAGAGTGACAGAGTGAGACCCCATCTCTAAAATAAAAAAAGAAGCACTAAGAAGAAAATTTAAGTTACTTGTTACCTACTTGTCATCTAGAAATGACTGCTGTGGACATTTTGTACCAGTCCTCCTGTCTTTCTTCTGCATGTGTCTTTATTATAACATATTGATGTCATAATGTTCCTACTATAAACAGACTTTCCACCAAACACTGCATAATAAGCATTTTCTCCACCATAATAAATAATATTTTCTGATTTTTAAAGCATACAGAATATTCCACCATCATCTGGAATTTATTTAACCATTAATTTTTTTAACTATCCCCTATTATTGAACTTCCAAGTTGTTTTCCTTTTTTCTATTCTAAGCAACATGCTGATTATCTTGAACATAAACTGTGCCCTTCTTCAATTACTTAATTAGAAGGGTTGCTAGAAATGGAATTATTGGGTCAAAATGAACCCACATTTAAAAAAATTTAAGAAACCTTACTAATGTATAATTAACATACAATAAGTTGCATGTATTTAAAGTGCAAAATTTCGTAATTTCTGACATATGTATATACCCATGAAGCTATTGCCACAATCAAGGTGATGCACACATCTGTCACCCGCATATGTTTCTTTGTGGCCCTTTCTAATCCCTCTCTCTCTCCCCTTCCTTTCCCCATAGCAATGACTGCTCTGCTTTCTATCACTACAGACTAGGTAGAATTTTCCAGGGTTTTTTATAAATGGAGTTACCCAATACATACTCTTTTCCTCTGGTTTCTTTTCTTCAGCATAATTATTTGGAGATTCATTCATATTATTGCATCACTAATTTATTCCTTTTTAGTGCAGAGTCTTACTCCACTATATAGTCAGGAAAGTGCACCCATTTTTAACACTTTTGATGCCTACTACAAAACAGACTGTGGGGGCTTCTTGAGGCTCTTTATCACAAAAGCATGGACATTTGGAGCTGACCACCCCCTCCACTGAAAAGCTAGGATTGAAATTCCATTTGTTCCAATTGTACCATTCTGTCCCCAGAACTGCATAGCCTCTGACCCTCCCTAGTTCCAACATCCATTACCAGGAAAAAGGAAAAACTCCAGGAACCAAGAAAAGACCCAAGAGAAGAGGGGCCGGCAAGGGCAGCAGCAGTGTCACTGGAGCCCTGGTACCTCGTGCCTCAACTCTCCAATCCCAGAAGGGACCTACTTCCTAGGTGCTGCTCTGCTCCCAAAGAAGCCGGCCCTGAAGCAGTGGCCTGAGCCATCACACCGTGGGCAGTCATGGGGGTGATGAGCAGGGCACAGGGACAAGACAGGTTCTCAGACCACACAGACAAGTGCGTGTGAGGTCTATTTGCGCTCCCTGTAACCTGTAACCCTGCATGAACGTTGTACTGGTACAAATAGAACTATAAAACAGGGAGGAAAAAAAGACTGCATTTGCTTCCCTGCTAGACCATGAAACCACTGAGAGTCGGATCTGTGGCTGACTCATCTTGCTTCATGGCTTCTTGCTCTGGTGGGTTTTCAATCCGCTTTTCTCGAAGGCTATTGACTACATTTTCTTTGAAATAGCTCAGCTCCTGCCCAGCACCAGAAATCAGGCGACCACAAGGAAGATGGCAGGGGGCTGGGGCCTGCCCTATCCCTACACCCGTCCCATAAACTTCTCTGCTTCCTTCAACATGCAGTTGCATGTCTTTTCTTTAGAACCACGTCCAAACTCCCCAGGTGGAGTCAGTCATGCCCTCAAGCTGCCTGTTTTCCATTGCACTGGGATTATTTGCTTAACCATTCAGCAAGCTTATTGGGGGCCCACTGTGTGCTGAGTACTGGGCCCTTCCGCTCGTGGAGTCCAGAGTCCAGTGAAGCACCAAGGCTCAGTGGAGATGACTCCCATGCCAGGGGTCAGGAGCAAAGATGGAGCTGTGCAGAGGACGCCATGGGCCCACTGAGGAAAGATGCCTCTCATGGAATGGACAGGGAATCAAGAAAAACCTCCTGGAGGAATTAGGCCCTAAAACAAACCCTAAAGAACAAAAAGGGGTTATCTAGATGCAGAAGTTAGGAAAGAGGCAGGGTCCAGACTGCGTGGATCAGGGAACAAAGGCAGAGAGGCAGTGGGGTCAGGGGAGAGATGTACAGAGGGAAGAATCAAATCCCTCACCCACCAGGAGAACGGGAGGCCGGCCAGTCCAAAAGGGCTGAAGGATCTGGCTGGTGGTGGAATAGCAACTACTGAGGGGCAAGGCAAGAGAGGCAGGTAGGAACCAGGCACCAAGAACTTTGTACTCCATGTAAAATGGGCAAAAGGGAGCCACTTGAAAATCTGAATGAGCAACTTAGTTAGAAGTGTATGTGAGGCAGATTGTGTGCTACAGTATGGGAGAGGGATTTCTGAGGGTGACACCAGATCAGACACACTAGTTATGGGGGAAGTACAATAATCAACAGAAGAGGCATTAAAGGACTAAACTAGGGGAGTGTTGGCTGGGATGCAGAGTAGAGATGAGTATAATGGATGTTCAGAAGGTAAAATTTGTAATACTTGATGTTCGATTCCAATGTGGGGACTAAGGGTGAAAAATAAGTCGATAGTGACTCTTGAGTTTCCCAAGTGACACACATGTGGATGGCACCTTCCCATCAATTAGGACAGACATGGCTTATTCACCACTCCATCCCCAGAGACCAGTACAGTGTCTAAGATATGGCCAGTGCTTCATAAACGTTTCTGAATGAATGAATTAGTCTAAGAACAGTCCTGCCTTACCTACTCCAAGGGGGCACATGCACAGAGCACAGAGTGAAAGATGTCCTGGATTTGGGTAGCTGCAGACCCCGCAGGGAAACCCTCAATGTAAAGATGGTCTCCTGTCCCAATAACGTGAGCTTTACAGAGGAGGATGCCAGCAGAGGACCCAACCATATCAAGGAATGGAGGATAGCAACGAACACAAACAGTCATGACTTGGATCCTTGCTGCATTCAGACCATTGGCAGCTCAAGGCTGTGGAAGAAGGAACATAGGAGCTTGACCCAGAGAGAGAAAAGATTTGGAGATTTTAGTCAGCAACAGACACTGAAGGTGGGCAAGGTCAACATTTACAAAGTTATGACGAAGGCCTTTAAACAAGGAGATTCCTACCATCTTCTTAGTAGGAAGTTGTCGTTGGAGGTCAATGAAATGGAAGCCACTTCCTGCAAAAGGGATCTTCCAGAACTGTGGATCCCCTTCCCTGAAAAAAGGTAAGATCAAAAACTATGATAGATTTAAAGAAGTTTTAAATTGATTGTGTCTAACAAAGTTTCCAGAGCATAAAGTGGACCCTTGGGTTTTTGTAGCACGTCCCCAGTATGGGGTGGGATAACTGAGGGCTTCCACACTCCAGCCTGTCCCTTTTGTTTTTTGTCAAGAATTACAGCATGGGTTTTATGAAGCCCACTCAGAGCCCTCCTCACTGAATATCCTTGGACGTGTTTTTAAACTTCTCATTCCTCAGGTTCCTCATTGCACAAAAGGTGTGGTAATACCAACCTTGGAGGACTGTTATGGGACTGAATGAGATAATAGACGTCTAAAAAATGGCAAATTTTATTATCAGAGGCATCACTGTTATTATCTTACAGTAAGTCAACCTTTCTGAGTTTCACCACAAAAATGCATGATCAGGTTTTTGGAGAATTAAATTAGATAATGGAGAGGGATACATTTTGTGCACTGTAAAGAATTCTGTAAAAAGTAAAATGATTATTGTTGTGTGGGTATGAAGAGGGAAAAACAGTCCCCTGATTCTCCTGGAGAGACTGAGGGCTCTCACCCAGAGCATGTGCATTTTTATCTTTAATTCAAAGCCTATGACTCAGGTTGGAGATCTGCTTACTGGACTGCTGGAAAGCTAGGCTTAGGACTCCCCTGCAGGACCACCCAGGAGTCTGAGCAGCCACAGGATGCCAACATCTTGTTGACTTAAGAATATGAACCATTGGAATGTATTACACCTGTCTGTCCTGGCTACCTAGCCTTTTAGTCCTTCAAGGTGTTTAATTTAATCTGCAGAACTCTATACAGTGGGACCCTCATTCCCTCTGAGGTTACTGCTTGCTTTTATAACATTAAGCTAGGAAGTTATAAAATTGCAGAGTGTGGGAAAAATACCAAGATCCTAACCTTGGTTTGACCACCTACCAACTGTGTGGTCTTGAGAAAATCATTTCACTTCTCTAAGCCTCGATTTCCTCTCCTATAAAATGGGGCTTATAATCCCTGTTTATCTCTCATAATTTTTATGAGAATCAATAAAGTATTCTGTGCAGTATAAACAATTGTATAACATAAATATATAAAAGTATTCTTACTACTTCTGCTATATCAGTTAGGCTAGGCTACATTATTCTTCAATAAATACAAGACTCATTTTTCATTCATGTAAAGTCAGGTGTAAATTGAGTGGCTCCTCAGGGCAATTCTCCTCCATGCAGTGATTCAGGGATCCAGACTCCACCCATCTGGAGATGCCAACATCTGAACATCTGGTTTCCAGAGTCATTGTAGCAGAGGAAGAGAGGAGTGATGGTTTGCCAAGAATTTTATTAAATGTCATGCCTGGGAGTGGTTGGACATCATTCCCACCTATATTCTATTGGAAGCACCCAATCATATAGCCCCAACATAATTACAAGCAAGAGTGAAAAATGTAGGGGAGTCAATGGAACAACTGGTGAATACCAGTGTCTTTGCTACACCTGCACTAATGACAAATAATTTACAGTTTAGGAAAATGCATGACAAAGAACAAAGAGCTTAAAATCAAACAAGCCTGGGCTCAAATCCAAACTTTGTTACTTGCCACCTATATGACTTTGAGCAGTTTGGAACCCATTTCCTTATATTTCAAATGGGGGTATTATGGAACCTACCTTACAGTTTTGCTGTAAGGATTATATGAGATAATAAGTATAAATCTGACACATAATTGCTTAATAAATGGTAGCTGTTTATTATTTTTCTCTTCTCTTAACTTTGAAACTGCTGATTCACTTCTGTGAATATTCTGTGGCAACTTGCGAGAAAAAATTTAAGTGTCTGTCACACTCACCAGCTCCCACCTGAGAAACACTTTATTGCTACTAAAACCTGATTAAACTGAGCTTCAAAAAAGAAGCAGTCATCTGAGAGGTTATTCACCGTCAAATAAGCCTCTTGTACTCTGCTCTGGGCATCAAGGACCAGGGTTCCCGCTGTACCATAGAGGACCTGTGTGCAAATTAGAAAAAAAAGCCCTTCCTCTTGATGTAGAATAATCCCATTGGCCCTACTGCTTGATAAGTGTGGATTTCACTCACTCCTCAGCCTGGTACCCTTGGGCAGTGACCAACCTGCACAACTGTACCCACTGGTCTGCCAGGGATATATAAACAAAAACATCTAGTCATGCTCTTGAGGAGGCCACCAGAAAGCTCTGGGGAGACAGACTTATAACCAATTGACTTCACTCCACTTTAGAGCAGAAAGGAGAGAGCAGACAATTTTGTGGGCACAAAAGGCAACAAGTTACCCTTTATTCCTTTTCTCTCTTCCTATAAACAAGACTGTCCTGGACTGTGGTGACTTTCTGTCTTGGTTGGTCCATTCAGAGTCAAAAAGACTCAGTGTCTTTGGTCTCGCTGAGTAAAGGCTGGTCACAGTCCAAAGTACAGAAGTTCAATCATTATAGTTAGGTCTAATTGAGACACACATCCAATCCTTCCTCAGGAATCCTGAATAACCCATTTTCAAGTCCCCCCCACCAATCTCTTTGACTAACAGGTTGTTTTACTTTGGACAAAGTTAAACCTTTCCTTGCCTCAGTTTCCCCCAATACAGAATGGACATGGGGTACTAATCAAATGTGTATTGAGGGGAATCTATTAGGAATACTGTAAACTTTCAAAAATATAAACCGACATAAATGCATGGAAGTCATTGTTCTTTTATGTATGGATTAATGTACTTGCATAGTAATTCACAATGATATTTTATGTGAAATATCTTTATTTGTTCTAAGCAGTTTCTTCAAATAAGGATAAAATAGGCTCTAGAGTGTAGTATTAAGAATTACAATGGGCCAGGCATGGTGGCTCACACCTGTAATCCCAGCACTTTGGGAGGCCAAGGCAGGTGGATCACCTGAGGTCGGGAGTTCAAGACCAGCCTCACCAACATGGAGAAACTTAATCTCTACTAAAAAAACAAAATTAACTGGGTGTGGTGGCAAATGCCTGTAATCCCAGCTACCCGGGAGGCTGAGACAGGAGAATCCCTTGAACCCAGGAGGCGGAGGTTGCAGTGAGCTGAGACCGCACCATTGCAATCCAGCCTGGGCATCACAGTGAGACTCTGTCACAAATAAAAAAAAGAAGAAAATGAATTACAATGAACTGCAAGTAAAAGAATTAAAAAAAAAAAAAAAAAAAACAGTGGCATAATTAGTTGAGAAGTCTTATTTTTTTCACATGTAGCTAGAAGTGAAAAAGGAGGCAGCCCATGGCTGGTACTGTAGTCATACCATCAGAGACCCAAGCTCTTTCTGCTTTCCTCTCAATCATTCTCAGCTTGTGCTGGCTCCTTGGGGCCATAATATTTTCCAGCATCAGATTTTTATTCCAGAAAGGAAGAAGGAGAAGGGCAAAAGGACTCCCCATCCTCCTTCAAGGAACTACTCAATATTTCACTTGCTTCTCATTGGCCAAAGGAATGTCACATGACAACTCCTTTCTACAAAGGAAGCCAGAGAATGTAGGTTTTTAGCTGGGCATGTGGTTCTGGCAGTAAGAAAAAGCAGGAGAGTGGATATTGGGTAGACACCTAACAATGTTCAGATGTATTTGTGACAAGTTGATTGAAACAAGGGGAAAAGGAGTGATTAAAAAAAAAAAAAAAGCATATGAGGCAATTCCCTAAATCAGTCATCTACTTCCACAATAATGCTCCCTCGCAGTAAAAAAACCTCAGGGACATGCAACAGTAAACATCTAGGGTCAGCTGGAGGTCAGCTAAGTGGCTCTGCTAATTTTGGCTGGGCTTACTCATATGTGTGAGAGTCGGCTGGCAGTTGGCTGATCTAGACTGGCTTTGACTGGAGCAACAGAGATGGCTCAGCTCTGCTGCTCAGTTTCTCTTCCTCCAGCCGGCTAGCTTGAGCGTGTTGTCATGGCAATGGCAGATACACAAGACAGCAAAAGGAAACACACACAGTCTCTGAAGTTCTATATGTGGAACTGATACTTACACTTTACCTTGTTGGCCAAAACAGGTCCATGATTAGGCTCAGAAACAGCATTGGACAGCAATACAGATGTGTATGGTGAAGGACATAGATACAGGAGGGATGAATAATTAGGGTCATTTCTACACTCTGCCATATCCCCTCTCTATAGATTCTTAGACCTAGTAGCTAAAAGAGGCATTAAGTGGTTAAAAAGGATTCTCTAGAAAGCAGAGTTTATCACATTCACATTCACTCAAAGATCTGCTGTTTAAAGAGTCATGTCCCAGCAGTATGATTGCATGTTTTAAAATTATAAAAATAATATCCTAGATATTTAGAACACCAACACCACGTTTTTGGGAATAACACCCTAAAGGAAGAATTTTCTTTAGATTATTAAAACTTTACAATATTGTTTCCAATTTTTTATTTTGATAAAATACACATAACTTAAAATTTAACCTCTTAAAGATTTTTCAGGGTGTATAGTTCCAGTGGTTTTAATACCTTCATTCATAATGTTGTATAAATATCACCACCACCCATCTTCAGAACTTTTTCCATCTTGTAAAATTGGAATTATTTACCCATTAAACAATAACTCTCAATTGCCCCCATCCCCTGGCAACCACCATCTCTATTATTTTGAATAGTAATTGGCAGATTTAGATTAGATCTAGTAATTTTATACTCAAATAATTACCTCATATAAGTGGAATCATACAGTATTTGTCTTTTTGTGACTGTCTTATTTAACTTAGCATAATGTCCTCAAGGTTCATCCATGTTGTATCCTGTGTGAGAATTTCCTTCCTTTTTAAGGCTGAATAATTTTCCATTGAATGTACATACCATTTTGTTTATTCATTCTTCTGTAGAGGAACACTTGGGTTGTGTCTGCATTTTAGCTATCATGAACAATGCTGCTATGAACATAAGTGTACAAATATCTCTTTGAGATCTTTCTTTCAATTCTTTTTGGTATAGACCTATTAGGTTGGTGCAAAAGTAATCGTGGATTTTGCTATTTCTTTTAATGGCAACAATCGCAATTACTTTTGCACCAACCTATAGATGCAAAATTGCTGAATCCTATGGTAATTCTATTCTTAATTTTTTGAAGAATCATCATACTGTTTTCCACAGTAGCTGTACCATTTTACATTCCCACCAACAGGGCACAAGAGTTCCAAATCCTGTGTATCCTCATTAATACTTGCTTTTTGCTATGGTGTTTTGATAGTAGCCATCCTATTTGGTGTGAGTGTTACCTCATTACGGTTTTGATTTGCGTTTCCCTAATGTTTGGTGATGTTGAGCCTCTTTTCATGTGTTTATTGGTTATTTGTATATTTTCTTAGGAGAAATGCCTTTTTTTTTTTTTTTTTTTGAGACTGAGTCTCACTCTGTCACCCAGGCTGGAGTGCAGTGGTGCGATATCGGCTCACTACAAACTCCACCTCCCAGGTTCATGCCATTCTCCCACCTCAGCCTCCCGAGTAGCTGGGACTACAGGTGCCCACCACCACGCACAGCTAATTTTGTTTTTGTATATTTAATAGAGACGGGGTTTCACCATATTAGCCAGGATTGTTGCAATCTCCTGACCTCATGATCCGCCCACCTCAGCCTCCCAAAGTGCTGGGATTACAGGTGTGAGCCACCACACTTGGCCCAGAAATGCCCATTTTTAAATTAGGCTCTTTGTTTTTGAATTTTAGTTCTTTATATATGCTGGATATTAATCCCTTATCAGATGCATGATTTATACATATCTGCTCGCATTCTGAGAGTTACCTTTTTACTTTGTTGATGATCACATTATTTCTTACAGCTAATTTTGAGGGTGGATTGTCTTCCCAGAAAATGGGGAGAAATAATGTCTCAATTTTTTAAAGGTAGAAGACCCAGGATGAATAAAGTTTCAGGTCTAAGAGGAAAAATATAAATTCTTAAGCTATAGAAATGGTCCTTCACCTGATTTTGTACCTCACAGTAATGTAAAACTGAACCTGTTTCAAAGCCACCTTTTCTGTACAGTGCTGCTATTGTGCTGTGGGTGGTACAAATTTAGCCAACCCTACAAAATCCACTTCCCTAGACACATTCTGCAAGGTTTCTGTGACCGCTAGTGGTAAAGCACCACAATGGTGCTCATCAGTCAAACATCACTGCCGGTAGTCTCATTCCTCCTGGAGGCACACACTGAAAGAGAGAACTTTTCCTCTGGGGTCCTGTGCTTATGTGTTCATGGTCTTGTAAGTCACAGCAAAGAGAGAGAAAAACACAGGAGAAAATGAAAATGTCCACAGGAAACAGCCAACTGTACAGAGACAGTGCTTTGGGAAAACCTAAATGGGACTTTATTTCTTTACAGGGGGAAAGAACAAGAATGCAGTCAGCTCAGGTTTATACCAGGATAAAGTGAAATGGGTGGAAAGATGTGTGAGTTCTACCTTAGGTAAGTTGGCACCCCTCAGTTTCCCCAAATGAGCAGGTGGAACTGGGTGAGCCTGCGGTTCCTTCCAGTCTTTATAGTCTGTGTTTGGGGAAAACCAGGAGGCCACCAGCACAGAATATTTGCGTGGGGCCATGTGTGTGTCCTCCCCAAAGGGGAGAAGATAGCAGGGAAGCTCAGCGTCGGGGTGACCAGGAAATAGTGAGAGCTCCCAGCCCAGGAGAGCAGGCCCCTAACAACGAGCCCTTATGAGGGGCAGGTACATGTACACAGTGTGTCCCTGAAATGAGCTGTCAAAAGGAGGGGAAAGAGTACCCTGAGGGTGTGTTTTGGAGAGGAGAGTGGTAGAGAAGGGGGATTCAGAAAACAAACTTTGCTTTGGAACTCCAGAGGAATAAGGACAGGGAATGCCCTCCAAGTACACGTGGACAACATTCACAGCAGATACCCTCAGCTCCCAGATCCAAAGAGGGTAACCATGTCCAACAGGGATGACCAGGTGGCATTTCTAAACCTCATGTGCAGTTCTAAGAGGAGACTCCATTTTTTTTTTTTTTTTTTTTTTTTTTTGAGACGAAGTCTCACTCTATCGCCCAGGCTGGAGTGCAGTGGCATGATCTCGGCTCACTGAAACCTCTGCTGCCTGGGTTCAAGCAATTCTCCTGCTTCAACCTCCCGAGTAGCTGGGATTACAGGTGTCTGCCACCATGCCAGGCTAATTTTTGTATTTTTAGTAGAGATGGGGTTTCACCATCTTGACCAGGCTGGTCTTGAACACCTGACCTCATGATCCACCCGCCTCAGCCTCCCAAAGTGCTAGGATTACAGGTGAGAATCCATTATTATATTTAATATTTCAATGCAGGGACTCAGAGCCCTTAAACTGCTTGGACCTAAAAAACCATTCATGGACCACACATGACCTGATCACTCTTGTTCCCTTCCTGTATCTGTGACACAGACAACAAATGCCATCACTTCTCGGCCACAGGTGGAGACCCTGGCCAAGGATACATGACCAAGGATACACGACAGAGCTACAGATCAGTCCTGAACAGAAATGCAACAGAACAGCCTCTTGTTTCCTCAGCCACACTTCTAGACCGAATTTCCTGCCCTGAAATGCTGTCCACAGCCAGGCCAAGGAGCGGAAAAGAGAAGCCTTTTAAAATTAGCATACTAGCATATGGGGCGGTGGGAGGAGGGGGATGAAAAGAAGGATCTTGGAAGAGCTCCAGCTATTTTATTCCTGTTTTTTCATTCCAGTTTGGAGATCTGGGACACATTGATTCACAACTTTATAGTTCTTATTCAGCATTGATTTATGGGCTGACCAATCTGGGCCTAATCAGTCAGAGAAGGATTGGGGTTTTTTTGTCCAATAATGTTATATTTATGAGTCCATGAAGTGCACCGTGGCTGCAGCCCTGCCTGGAGTCAATAGAACAGAACTTCTAAGATCTCAGAGAAGGGGGTTCCCAGACCATTTTCTGCCCCCATATCATGCTTAAAGCTCCACTGTACATTAGAGGCCCCTGGTGTCATCTCACATTTAAACTCCAAACGGCTTGCCTGTAAATCTTCAACAACTGTGAACAGCTATGACAGTCTCGAATGTCCGTGGTTCTGTGCATCTGTCACTCTTATTTTCTTCTTTCCTTCTCTGACTGTGGAAGTAACTAACCCGCAGCTGGATGCTCACTGGATATTTCACAGCTGCGGAGACCAGGGCAGCGTTTGTTCACTCAGAGAAGCCCAGCCAGGGCTGTGCGGAGTTCAGCGGGTTATCATGTGCTTCCGGCTTGATCTGTGGTTATTCTGGTTCAGTGACTATAAAGAAATGAGCAGCCTGGCTAGACAGGAACTAGTTGAGAAGCCTGTCGTGGAGGGGAGGAAACAGAAATACTCAGATTGCAAGCATCTTTATGTTTTTCTTTGACGGGAAAGACATTTTCCCTGTCACACTCTTGGCAGCTGTCTGTTCTCAGCCTTCAACTCTGGTTAGCCCCAGCCGAGTCATTTATTTGCAGGACACCTCAGGCAACAGTGTCCCTGCCTCCCTGCCCTACCGTGGGTACCAGCAGTAAATGTCCATCACCAGCCTCGGCTCCCTAATTCACCTGACAAAGGATTCCACTGCTTGATTTATCCTGAGGAGAGAAAAATTCAGCAACAGCAAGAAACTTAGAAAAGCCATAGGCATCTGACAGACGAAGGAAGAAAGCTGCCAATTCTGCATTTCAGAGTCTGAGCCTATGAAGCCAACCAGATCTACCTATAAAGAGGGAGTCTTGAATGTCCTAGGAAGACTGCCAACCATTACTGGGTGAACAATCAGACAGGTCATCAAGTCAGGGATTGGCAAACTTTTTCTGGAAAGGGTCACATGGTTAAGTATTTCCAGCTTTGAGGTTACATACAGTCACTGTCACATCTTATTTTTTCACTACGACTTAAAAATGTAGGCTGGGCACGGTGGCTCACGCCTGTAATCCCAGCACTTTGGGAGGCTGAGGCAGGCAGATTACGAGGTCAGGAGATCGAGACCATTCTGGCTAACACAGTGAAACCCCATCTCCACTAAAAATACAAAAAAAAAAAAATTAGCTGGGCGTGGTGGCGGGTGCCTGTAATCCCAGCTACTTGGGAGGCTGAGGCAGGAGAATGGCGTGAACCTGGGAGGTGGAGCTTGCAGTGAGCCAAGATTGCGCCACTGTACTCCAGCCTGGACGACAGAGCGAGACTCCATCTCAAAAAAAAAAAGTAAAAGTCATTCTCAGTTCACAAGCTGTACAAGAGTAAGTCACTGGTCGTGGTTTGCTCACCACCCCTCACCCCAACCCGTGGTTTAGACAAACTAAAATTGTTTTTTATTTTAAATTTTGTATCCACTCCCACTGTGCATACATGCATGTGCATGAGCGTGTGGCCTGACAGCTCCAGGCAGTCCCAACGCGCCACACCTCACCTTCCTAGGGTAGAAGTAACACTGGGTAACTCACTCCAGAGAGCCAAGACGCGCTATAGCAGAAAGAACACAGGCTTCAGGAGACATGAGGATTCCTCCCAGCTCAGTGCTGCATCTGTTCTGTGCCCTGAGCCCGTCTCTTGCCCTTTGTGACCTTCCGAGATCCATTTGCAGGGTGAAGGGGGTCAGGCCAGATGATGTCCAAGCTCCCTCCCAAAAGCGATATTTCCTGTAGGCATCCCAAACCCATTTAGGACCAAATGAGGATGTCAGAGAAAGGAATGGATACAAATGTCTTCTATTTGTTCACTCTAGCTCAAAGCACAGCCAATTTTGAGGTGACCACCCCCCACATCAGAAAACCCCCTTTGGGAACAGAGTGGCTGGCACAAGCTCTGCTCAGAGAGACCTGGGAGGAATGCTTGTCAGCCTGGGGGTGCCAGCCACCCCTGCCATGCTCACCATGGAAACAAGCCGTGCGGCCCACACACCAGGCCAAGAATCTGGGCAGCTTGAAGGAGCCATGCCATTGTGGGCAGACACCGAGGCTCCCAGAAAACAAGCAAAGGCGAGGCCTGGAAGCTGTAGAGGAGACAGGTCATCATGACCTTCCCTCCCGGGCCACTGCCAGACTGGCCAGCAGACAGGTCTTCATCTCCATCCAGGCAGCCCAGGCATCCCTCAGGAAGTAAGAGACGGAGCTCACCGCTGCCAGCGTGGGCCCAGGGACTGCTCCCTCCATCAGCAAGTATTGGGTACCAGCTACACGCCTAGATGGTGTTGGGCATTATAGGGACAGGGTGGACAGGATACCGTGCCTGCTCTGGAAGGAATGGCTGGGTCGGAGAATTAACACCCTCCAGTGACCACGTGGGCAGCAGAAACTGTACCTTGTGCATTTTGAAAGAAGAAGCTGGAGCTGAGAGCCTTGAAAGATGTTCCTGGTGTCTCTCAGCAGGGGCTTTGCACGTGTACTTTATGGAAATGGTTTGAGCCCACGGGGCATCCTGCCAGCCACATCCATGAATGCAAAGGTTAGAGTCACCATGCTTGAGCAAAGGAGTAGTGGAGACCTTGCTTTGTAGGAGGCTTAGTAATAATTTGGTAGCAAGGGGAGGAGCCAAGGTGGCCGAATAGGAACAGCTCCGGTCTACAGCTCCCAGGGTGAGCTGTAGAAGACGGGTGATTTCTGCATTTCCATCTGAGGTACCGGGTGCATCTCACTAGGGAGTGCCAGACAGTGAGTGCAGGCCAGTGGGTGTGCGCACCGTGCGCGAGCCGAAGCAGGGCGAGGCATTGCCTCACCTGGGAAGCGCAAGGGGCCAGGGAGTTCCCTTTCCGAGTCAAAGAAAGGGGTGACGGACGCACCTGGAAAATCGGGTCACTCCCACCCGAATATTGCGCTTTTCAGACCGGCTTAAAAAACGGCGCACCAGGAGACTATATCCCACACCTGGCTCGGAGGGTCCTACGCCCACGGAGTCTCACTGATTGCTAGCACAGCAGTCTGAGATCAAACTGCAAGGCGGCAGCTAGGCTGGGGGAGGGGCGCCCGCCATTGCCCAGGCTTGCTTAGGTAAACAAAGCAGCCGGGAAGTTCGAACTGGGTGGAGCCCACCACAGCTCAAGGAGGCCTGCCTGCCACTGTAGGCCCCACCTCTGGGGGCAGGTCACAGACAAACAAAAAGACAGCAGTAACCTCTGCAGACTTAAATGTCCCTGTCTGACAGCTTTGAAGAGAGCAGTGGTTCTCCCAGCACACAGCTGGAGATCTGAGAACCGGCAGACTGCCTCCTCAAGTGGGTCCCTGACCCCTGACCCCCGAGCAGCCTAACTGGGAGGCACCCCCCAGCAGGGGCACACTGACACCTCACATGGCAGGGTACTCCAACAGACCTGCAGCTGAGGGTGCTGTCTGTTAGAAGGAAAACTAACAAACAGAAAGGACATCCACACCGAAAACTCATCTGTACATCACCATCATCAAAGACCAAAAGTAGATAAAACCACAAAGATGGGGAAAAAACAGAACAGAAAAACTGGAAACTCTAAAACGCAGAGTGTCTCTCCTCCTCCAAAGGAACGCAGTTCCTCACCAGCAACGGAACAAAGCTGGATGGAGAATGATTTTGACGAGCTGAGAGAAGAAGGCTTCAGACGATCAAATTACTCTGAGCTACGGGAGGACATTCAAACCAAAGGCAAAGAAGTTGAAAACTTTGAAAAAAATTTAGAAGAATGTATAACTAGAATAACCAATACAGAGAAGTGCTTAAAGGAGCTGATGGAGCTGAAAACCAAGGCTCGAGAACTACGTGAAGAATGCAGAAGCCTCGGGAGCCGATGCGATCAACTGGAAGAAAGGGTATCAGCAATGGAAGATGAAATGAATGAAATGAAGTGAGAAGGGAAGTTTAGAGAAAAAAGAATAAAAAGAAATGAGCAAAGCCTCCAAGAAATATGGGACTATGTGAAAAGACCAAATCTACGTCTGATTGGTGTACCTGAAAGTGATGGGGAGAATGGAACCAAGTTGGAAAACACTCTGCAGGATATTATCCAGGAGAACTTCCCCAATCTAGCAAGGCAGGCCAACGTTCAGATTCAGGAAATACAGAGAACACCACAAAGATACTCCTCGAGAAGAGCAACTCCAAGACACATAATTGTCAGATTCACCAAAGTTGAAATGAAGGAAAAAATGTTAAGGGCAGCCAGAGAGAAAGGTCGGGTTACCCTCAAAGGAAAGCCCATCAGACTAACAGCGGATCTCTCGGCAGAAACCCTACAAGCCAGAAGAGAGTGGGGGCCAATATTCAACATTCTTAAAGAAAAGAATTTTCAACCCAGAATTTCATATCCAGCCAAACTAAGCTTCATAAGTGAAGGAGAAATAAAATACTTTACATACAAGCAAATGCTGAGAGTTTTTGTCACCACCAGGCCTGCCCTAAAAGAGCTCCTGAAGGAAGCGCTAAACATGGAAAGGAACAACCGGTACCAGCCGCTGCAAAATCATGCCAAAATGTAAAGACCATCGAGACTAGGAAGAAACTGCATCAACTAACGAGCAAAATCACCAGCTAACATCATAATGACAGGATCAAATTCACACATAACATTATTAACTTTAAATGTAAATGGACTAAATTCTCCAATTAAAAGACACAGACTGGCAAATTGGATAAAGAGTCAAGATCCATCAGTGTGCTGTATTCAGGAAACACATCTCACGTGCAGAGACACACATAGGCTCAAAATAAAAGGATGGAGGAAGAACTACCAAGCAAATGGAAAACAAAAAAAGGCAGGGGTTGCAATCCTAGTCTCTGATAAAACAGACTTTAAACCAACAAAGATCAAAAGAGACAAAGAAGGCCATTACATCATGGTAAAGGGATCAATTCAACAAGAAGAGCTAACTATCCTAAATATATATGCACCCAATACAGGAGCACCCAGATTCATAAAGCAAGTCCTGAGTGACCTACAAAGAGACTTAGACTCCCACACATTAATAATGGGAGACTTTAACACCCCACTGTCAACATTAGACAGATCAACGAGACAGAAAGTCAACAAGGATACCCAGGAATTGAACTCAGCTCTGCACCAAGCGGACCTAATAGACATCTACAGAACTCTCCACCCCAAATCAACAGAATATACATTTTTTTCAGGACCACACCACACCTATTCCAAAATTGACCACATACTTGGAAGTAAAGCTCTCCTCAGCAAATGTAAAAGAACAGAAATTATAACAAACTATCTCTCAGACCACAGTGCAATCAAACTAGAACTCAAGATTAAGAATCCCACTCAAAGCCGCTCAACTACATGGAAACTGAACAATCTGCTCCTGAATGACTACTGGGTACATAACGAAATGAAGGCAGAAATAAAGATGTTCTTTGAAACCAATGAGAACAAAGACACAACATACCAGAATCTCTGGGACACATTCAAAGCAGTGTGTAGAGGGAAATTTATAGCACTATATGCCCACAAGAGAAAGCAGGAAAGATCCAAAATTGACACCCTAACATCACAATTAAAAGAACTAGAAAAGCAAGAGCAAACACATTCAAAAGCTAGCAGAAGGCAAGAAATAACTAAAATCAGAGCAGAACTGAAGGAAATAGAGACACAAAAAACCCTTCAAAAAATCAATGAATCCAGGAGCTGGTTTTTTGAAAGGATCAACAAAACTGATAGACCGCTAGCAAGACTAATAAAGAAAAAAAGAGAGAAGAATCAAATAGACACAATAAAAAATGATAAAGGGGATATCACCACCAATCCCACAGAAATACAAACTACCATCAGAGAATACTACAAACACCTCTACTCAAATAAACTAGAAAATCTAGAAGAAATGGATAAATTCCTCGACACATACACTCTCCCAAGACTAAACCAGGAAGAAGTTGAATCTCTGAATAGACCAATAACAGGAGCTGAAATTGTGGCAATAATCAATAGTTTACCAACCAAAAAGAGTCCAGGACCAGATGGATTCACAGCCGAATTCTACCAGAGGTACAAGGAGGAACTGGTACCATTCCTTCTGAAACTATTCCAATCAATAGAAAAAGAGGGAATCCTCCCTAACTCATTTTATGAGGCCAGCATCATTCTGATACCAAAGCCGGGCAGAGACACCACCAAAAAAGAGAATTTTAGACCAATATCCTTGATGAACATTGATGCAAAAATCCTCAATAAAATACTGGCAAACCGAATCCAGCAGCATATCAAAAAGCTTATCCACCATGATCAAGTGGGCTTCATCCCTGGGATGCAAGGCTTGTTCAATATACGCAAATCAATAAATGTAATCCAGCATATAAACAGAGCCAAAGACAAAAACCACATGATTATCTCAATAGATGCAGAAAAAGCCTTTGACAAAATTCAACAACGCTTCATGCTAAAAATGCTCAATAAATTAGGTATTGATGGGACATATTTCAAAATAATAAGAGCTATCTATGACAAACCCACAGCCAATATCATACTGAATGGGCAAAAACTGGAAGCATTCCCTTTGAAAACTGGCACAAGACAGGGATGCCCTCTCTCACCACTCCTATTCAACATAGTGTTGGAAGTTCTGGCCAGGGCAATTAGGCAGGAGAAGGAAATAAAGGGTATTCAATTAGGAAAAGAGGAAGTCAAATTGTCCCTGTTTGCAGACGACATGATTGTATATCTAGAAAACCCCATCGTCTCAGCCCAAAATCTCCTTAAGCTGAAAAGCAACTTCAGCAAAGTCTCAGGATACAAAATCAATGTACAAAAATCACAAGCATTCTTATACACCAATAACAGACAAACAGAGAGCCAAATCATGAGTGAACTCCCATTCACAATTGCTTCAAAGAGAATAAAATACCTAGGAATCCAACTTACAAGGGATGTGAAGGACCTCTTCAAGGAGAACTACAAACCACTGCTCAAGGAAATAAAAGAGGATACAAACAAATGGAAGAACATTCCATGCTCATGGGTAGGAAGAATCAATATCGTGAAAATGGCCATACTGCCCAAGGTAATTTACAGATTCAATGCCATCCCCATCAAGCTACCAATGACTTTCTTCACAGAATTGGAAAAAACTACTTTAAAGTTCATATGGAACCAAAAAAGAGCCCGCATTGCCAAATCAATCCTAAGCCAAAAGAACAAAGCTGGAGGCATCACACTACCTGACTTCAAACTATACTACAAGGCTACAGTAACCAAAACAGCATGGTACTGGTACCAAAACAGAGATATAGATCAATGGAACAGAACAGAGCCCTCAGAAATAACTCCGCATATCTGCAACTATCTGATCTTCGACAAACCTGAGAAAAACAAGCAATGGGGAAAGGATTCCCTATTTAATAAATGGTGCTGGGAAAACTGGCTAGCCATATGTAGGAAGCTGAAACTGGATCCCTTCCTTACACCTTATACAAAAATCAATTCAAGATGGATTAAAGATTTAAACGTTAGACCTAAAACCATAAAAACCCTAGAAGAAAACCTAGGCATTACCATTCAGGACATAGGCATGGGCAAGGACTTCATGTCCAAAACACCAAAAGCAATGGCAACAAAAGACAAAATTGACAAATGGGATCTAATTAAACTAAAGAGCTTCTGCACAGCAAAAGAAACTACCATCAGAGTGAACAGGCAACCTACAAAATGGGAGAAAATTTTCGCAACCTACTCATCTGACAAAGGGCTAATATCCAGAATCTACAATGAACTCAAACAAATTTACAAGAATAAAACAAACAACCCCATCAAAAAGTGGGTGAAGGACATGAACAGACACTTCTCAAAAGACGACATTTATGCAGCCAAAAAACACATGAAAAAATGCTCATCATCACTGGCCATCAGAGAAATGCAAATCAAAACCACTGTGAGATACCATCTCACACCAGTTAGAATGGCAATCATTAAAAAGTGAGGAAACAACAGGTGCTGGAGAGGATGCGGAGAAATAGGAACACTTTTACACTGTTGGTGGGACTGTAAACTGGTTCAACCATTGTGGAAGTCAGTGTGGCGATTCCTCAGGGATCTAGAACTAGAAATACCATTTGACCCAGCCATCCCATTACTGGGTATATACCCAAATGACTATAAAGCATGCTGCTACAAAGACACATGCACATGTATGTTTATTGCGGCATTATTCACAACAGCAAAGACTTGGAACCAACCCAGATGTCCAACAATGATAGACTGGATTAAGAAAATGTGGCACATATACACCATGGAATACTATGCAGCCATAAAAAATGATGAGTTCATGTCCTTTGTAGGGACATGGATGAAATTGGAAATCATCATTCTCAGTAAACTATCGCAAGAACAAAAAACCAAACACCACATATTCTCACTCATAGGTGGGAATTGAACATTGAGATCACATGGACACAGGAAGGGGAATATCATACTCTGGGGACTGTGGTGGGGTGGGGGGAGGGGGGAGGGATAGCATTGGGAGATATACCTAATGCCAGATGACGAGTTAGTGGGTGTAGCGCACCAGCATGGCACATGTATACATATGTAACTAACCTGCACAAGGTGCACATGTACCCTAAAACTTAAAGTATAATAAAAAAAAAAGCTTCACAATTATAAAAAAAAATAATAATAATGATAATTTGGTAGCAAATGCCCTTGGACCTTGGGATACTAATACAGTCACCATAGAGACCTATAGAAATCCTTGCATTTTCTAGTTCTCATGCAGAGTTGGTTGTTGAAGTCAGATGATCTAAGGGGACGAGAGAGGAGGGTGATAACATACAGTAACAGCCAAGTCACCTTGTACATGGAACGTGATTAATCACATTGACCTTAAAGGGCCTAGGAGCCACTGGTGCTTCAGAGCCATCACGTTGGACAGCCCACCGGCTTCTCTCCTCCTCTTTCCTGCACCTTGTCCTCTCCTTCAGCACCTCCTTTCTCCCTCCCCACACGACACTGATGCTGTGGCTGATGGGGGATGAGGGTATTGGTAAGGTTCCTTGTTTTCCAGCTTTCTGCTCTAGTTTCCTGGCATTTTCTTATTTTTCAGAGACCTAGTGCTTCCAGAGAGCAACTTTGCTGCCACCCGGCGGGAGACCCACTAGCCAAAGGCGGCTCAACAGTTCCAGGGCTTTGACCTGCTACCAAGAGGAAGTCTAACGGGAGAGGCAGCCCCAGGTGGTGGTACAGCCAGAGCCCTGGAGACAAACAGATCCTGTCTCCGTTCGGTACCAGCTATGTGACCATGGGCAAGTCACTTGACCTTTTTGTGCCTCAGTTTCCTGATCAGTGAAATGGGAGTGATAGGCCCTACCTCCTAACCTTGCACACAGGGTTACTGAAAGGAATAAATGAGATCCTATATGTAGAGCACATAGCACAAGGCCAGGACCTGATAGGAACCCAATAAACACTTGTGCAGATGTCCTTTTGGTAAAGGAAGACGGCCAAGGGCCAGTCCCTGGGAGGTATGTGGCTATGATTAGAACGTCTGTGTCTCCAAAATCCATATATTGGAACCTAAGACTCCATGTGATAGTATTAAGAGGTGGGGCCTTCTGGGAAGTGATTAAGCCATGAGGGCTCTGCCCTTATAATGGGCTAGAGGGAATTGGCAAGATGTTTCTCCTTGTGCCCTTTCACCTTCTGCCATGTGAGGATGCAACAAGGGGTGTCATCTTGGAAGGAGAGACTAAGTCCTTACCAGACACTGAACATGCAGGTTCCTCGATCTTCCCAGCCCCCAGAACTGTGAGGAAATAAATTTCTGTTGTTTATAAATTGCCCAGTCTCAGGTATTTTGTTATAGCAGCACAAAAATATTAAGACTTATCTGCCTTATGGGCAGGCTGGCTTCCTGTCTCCCAGAATGGCAATGCACACTGGTTAGCCTGCCCTTGCCCAGGGCCTAGCAGTCCACCAAGAAGGTTCAGAAACCCCATCTGTCTGTGCTCTGCAGCAGAGCCACTTCTGTGGGCCAGTCTCCCACAGCATGTTCTCGTGGCATAGACTGAGAGCCAAGGGGCGGCGGTCACCACAGGGTTCTTCCTGTGGCTAGCTCCAGAGAGCCAAGCCCACCTCTGCTGGCATAAGCACTGCCCATGTCACTCTGTGACGCCCCATCTTCAGTGCCTCCATGGCTGCGATGCCCTTCCTCTGACTGACAGTTGCTCTCTTTAGCTATCCCACTGCTTTGACCCACAGTACTACTTGCACGGATCATTTGCCTACTCGCTGTCAGCTGCGTTCCCAGCCTTCTTTGCTATGCTCTAGCATAGCAGGGTGAGCCTCCACATGCTGCATTTCCCAGACGCCCTCCAACAGGCTTTCAGTGAGGTTCTGTGAAGAGGAGGCACTGCCAAAAGCCTGGATAGTTCCTCCCTGCTGGCCTCTGGTAGTGTCTCAGGCAGTTGTGACAGTGCTATTGACACCCAAGGGTGGCAGTGGCAGTGGCTGCAGTGTCAGGGGCTTTGGCCTAGCAGTGCTGCTCTTGGCTTCCTGCTGAAGCAGCTCAGTTCTACAGCCATGGCTTGGAATCACACCGATTCTGGTTTCCAAGGAGACGTTCCCCCTTGGCTCCTCCAGCCCACAGCTGGTGGCGCTTTCCTGCAGCCGCTAGTCTTCGGATAACCTTACCTGACTGCCACTGTTCCTCCAGTCCTTCCATCACCCAGTTTCTGATTCCTCAATTAGATCCCCTCAGCGTGAAAAACCAGGAGGGCTTCTGTTTCCTGACCGGACTCATACACCATGTGAGTGACCATGATTCATCTCTTCAGCATGGTTTTGCACATCTCTCTTCTGGCCTGCTGTGTGCTGATTTTAAAGTTTAATCTTCAGAAGATAGCTTTGTTTTTATTTCCCTTTTACAAAGTTTTTAAATGGAGCCACCCCGAGACCCCAGTGTTCCTCCTACCATTCATTCACTTCCCCTTTTTGAACTTTGGTGAAGCCATAACAGCCCTAAAGAAAGAAGTTAGGAGTGTATGCCCTTGGACCCAGCAATCATACCTCTAGGAATTTACTTACACAACATAATTACAGAAGAGTAAAAACATGTATGCTCAGATAGATTCATTACAGCATTGCATGTAATAGTGAAAAATCGGAAGCATAAATAAAAAAATGGTTAAGCAAATTTTACTTCATATATAACATTGCTTTTTAAATGAAAAGATTTCTATCATCTATTATCAAGATTAAAAAAAAACAGGTTACAGAACAGCAGGCCTACTATGATCACAGTTAAGTAAAATTGCATACGCATAGGTATTTGTATTTAGACACAAATACTTCCAAGAGTAGTTGCCAAAATATTAACAGTGGTTATCTCTTAAGTGTGGATGAAACTTTGGGTGAGATTTATATTCATAAGCTACCTAGATGGGTTCAATCACTACATCTGTATTTAGGATTTATAGGCCAGCTCCTCTTTGTTCTTGAAAGATTTCAGTCTTTTGTTGTTGTTTTTAATCTAATGCAAAAGAAGTCAGTTAAAATCAGAATGAAATACTGTTCAAATCAACAAATGAATAAAAACTTGATGTTCCCAGTTGCTTTAGTTGATGCCGGTTTTGCTGTTTCTTCCGCTAAAGGGCAGATCACAGGGCAGGACATTCACTTTGGGCCATCAATTCTCCTCCTGAAGAAAAGAAGGGGAAAGCTCAGCTCAGACCTGAGTCTATGACTCTCACTCCACCAGAGTTGCCTCCTAATGATACAGGACTCAAGAGAGAGGATGTAACAAAACTCGATAACCATAAAAGGACATTTGGAGAGCACTTTCTGGAATACCGAGCCCATCACATCCATGACTGATTTTGATCGACTGCGGTACAGCGATGTTATCTCCATTTGATTCAGATTAGGAGACTGAGGCTCAGGGGGATTAAAGAACACTCCCAAAGTCAAACCACAGGAAGCCTGGCCTCCCTGCGAATACTAATTTCACCACACCCTGCTGCCTCTCTCCACCACCTTCAAACTGCTTACACACTGGAACTGTTGATAATCCCTCCCTGTGTGAGACACCAGGCTGGGATCCCCTTAAGGGCAGGGACCTTATCCTATTCATCTTGTGTCCCCCGATGCACCAGCATTATAGCACTCAGTAAATGTTTGTTGAATTAGATTGAACTTCGCTGGAACAGTTTTAGAAGTAGGAGGCCAGAGCTAACACTCTGCCAAAAAAAAAAAACAAAAACCAAAAGCTTTGGTTAGAGTTGAGGAATCTAGGCACTGTGGGGTACAAAGACAAGCAGAAGTTCCTGGGGAGCAGTGGCAACTCAAATAAGCAGGAATTCCAGAGCAGAAAACCCCTCATTACTTTCTGGCTACTCACAGTGTGTCTTGGATCAGTAGCATCAGCGTCTCCCTGGAGCTGTCTAGAAATGCTGAGTCTCAGGCCCCACTCCAGAACTTCTGAATCAGAATCTGCATTTTCACTAGCTCTCCACGTAGTTCCTGCTTATCAAAGTCTGTGAGGCACTAGAGGTGCACAAACTCTACCAGCCGCAGAACGCCAGCTGTGAGCCCTATAAGTGCTCCCAGACAGGGTTTTATTTTGTGCAATGTGGTCTCAGACCCTTCGTTTGTTTCTTTTTTTTTTTTTTTTTTTGAGACAGAGTTTTGCTCTTGTTGCCCAGGCTGGAGTACAATGGCACGATCTCAGCTCACTGCGACCTCCGACTCCTGGGTTCAAGCCAGTTTCCTGCTCCAGCCTCCTGAGTAGTTGGGATTACAGGCATGTGCCACCATGCCCAGCTAATTTTGTATTTTTAGTAGAGACAGAGTTTCACCATGTTGGTCAGGCTGGCCTGGAACTCCTGACCTCAAGTGATCCACCCGCTTCAGCCTCCCAAAGTGCTGGGATTACAGGCGTGAGCCACCGTGCATGAATATTTTCGTTTGTTTCTGAAGAAAGAGCAGCATAGCATGTTTGCTTCTAGCAAAGAAGCACACTTTATTAAAATTCTAATAGGAAGAGGAGAAGAGCCCTGCCTCACTACGGGAAGCCAGATTCTGGAGAGTGTGGATCATCCCAAATTTTTGAAATTCTACATAGGTTAGTGGATCTCAACCAGGGGACAGTGGCGATGTCTGGAAACATTTTTTGGTTGTTTCAACTGGGGAAGCTGGTCATTCTGGCAGTGAGTAGAGGCTGGGGATGCTGTTTCCTCCATATTTATTGCCCAGTCGCTCTGGAACTTGGTTTCCACTCAGTCCAAATGAGAAGAGTGGGTCTATCAAATTTATGAAGATCTGGGAGTTACGGAAAGAATCAGAAGAACCATTAAAAGCTTATTCTTGTCAGGTGCAGTGACTCATGCCTGTAGTCCCAGCTACTCAGGAGCCTGTGTTGGGAGGATCACTTGAGCCTGGGAGGTAGAGGCTGCAGTGACCCGAGATCGCGCCTCTGCACTCCAGCCTGGGTGACAGAGTAAGACTGTCTCTTAACAAAAAAGAAAGTATATTAAATTTAAAAAGAAGCTTATACTTCACAAGTATGACAAAAGTTCAACAACTCAAGGACTATAGGAGGGCTGGGACAAGCAACTAAGCACAGAGAGAAAGGGGCCGTGCAAAGGAAGAAATGTGGTAGGGAGAGCCCAACGCCCAGAAAGTGGATATACATTTTTTTTATTACACAAAATACTTTCTTACTCATAAGAAAGACTTAAATACCCCCCTTTTCCACAAATACACCAGATTTTGTTTCATTTCTCTATTTTCCAAACTTCTTGAAATGTGCTTATGAGGAAAAAAAAATATTTTTCCAAAAACGATTTTAAAAACAAACAAACTTGTGAACGTCACCAGAGATGGATGCCCCACCAACGCTGGAGCTGGCCTCGCTGCTGCTTTGGCGACTTGCTTTGAGCTCCTCTCCCTCCACGCCACGCGGAAGTCGCAGGAATGGGATGTGAAAGAGTGTTTCTCTAAGCATCCTTCGCAGGGTGCCACCGCCGTTTCCAGGCACTTTTTCTGCTAGACGCTCAAGACAAGAGAAGGGCATGTGAAGGGCCAGGAAGCCGGGGCAGGGGCCGCCGTGAGAGAGCGGAGGAGGAGGGTGTGAGGCGCAACCGGGTCTGTTTCACGCTGAAACGCTAGGGCCGTGCTTTCCGCTAGGCAGCTGCGCAGAGCAACCGCTCCTCCGCTGGGCGCGCTTCGCTGCTGGGGAGGGACAGGCAGGGATGCCTGGTGCAAGCGATCCCTCGGCCCCGGGGCGGCCCAGCCTCGCCGAGCTCCATTAGTTGGCATCCGAAACATCTGGCAGGGGCTCAGGCTGGGGCCCCAGGGACGAAGCCAGTTTGGTGAGGGCCCGCGCTATGCTGTCCAGGTGGCCGTTCATGGTCCGCAGCTCCACCAGGATGTCCCCGACGTGGGCCTCCAAGCTCGCCGCAGCGGCGGGCCGGGCTCGGGGCGGCGGGGATGTACCCGCGTCCACGGTGCCCTCCTCCCTGCCCGCAGTGCTGGGGCGCGGGGCGCGGCTCCTTTCCGGGCCCTCGGCCGGTGCCAGGACGGGCGGCGGCCGCTCCTTGTCATCCCCGCGTGTGCTGGGAGAGATGGTCGAAGGGCAACCGGGGAGCCAGTCGACCAGACGCGGGGCGGCCTCCGGGGAGGAGGCGACGACTGAGTAGCGGCCTGTGCGCCGGGAGGCGCCGGGGCCTGGGGGCGCCGAGGCTGCGGGGAGCGGAGGCAACAGCGGAGGCAGCGCTGGCGGACCTGGGGAAAAGGCCTGAGGCTCGCAGGAAGAGGAGGAGGGAGATGGCAGGGCGGCGGTGGAGGGGCCTGGCTCCTCCGAGGAGAGGAACAAGGTGGTCGAAGACTGGGAGTCCAAGGTACTGGGCTCTGAATCTGTCAAGGAAGAAACCAGAGAGTCACTCAGGCATGCATGCTCATCAGCATTTATTGTGCGCCAACTCTATGCCCAGCTCCATGCTAGGTGCTTAAACGAATGAGAAGGTGGAAATGTATTTCCTACCCATCAGAGCTTGCAGTTCAGTAAGGAAAAGAGGGTTATATGAGCAGTTAATGACTGGAGAACAAAGTGAAGAGGGTGTGGTACAGAGCCTAGGTACTCAGGGGCAGAGAAGATCAGCAAGTCCAAGAAGGCATCCTGACCTAGCTCTCCACTTGGTCTCGAAAGGTGGCACGGGTGTGAAGACAGAGATGGACGTCCAGGCAGGGGACCATGCTGCAGCTTATTTGGAGGCAATCTTGCCAAGGACAGCCCTGAAGACTATGACAAGAAGGGCCTTCCCCAAGATTGCCAAAAACAGAACTGTGTTAAACAGATGACCCTCCACCTCCCCAGCAGAGCGAGGCTCTCAGGGTGGAGGAGAAAGAGTTCAGGGCCGGGAGCCAGGAGACCTTAGTGCTGATTCTTGCTCTGCCAGAAAATGCCATGGGACCTCGGGCAAGCCCCATCCCTCCTTGGAGACTTGGTTACATCCTCCCATTTATATAAGAAGGTTGGGGCCAATAGCCTCTGGGACCCTTCAGAACAGATCATTCTGCCTTCAAAAGTCTGCAGCTTGAAGCATTGATCTAAGTTCACAGTGGACGCACTTAAAAATCTGGAAGCACTTTACAGACCGACTTTTGTTAGTTCTCCCCTAATCCCTTGAGCTTCCAGGTAGAAAGCAGGTGGCAGCTCTTTGTGACTGGATATGGTAACAAGGTTTACCAACCTCAGATCAAAGGAGCCACATGAATGCGAGCTACCTTAACTGAGCTATCTCAGCCACCCTGGTCACCGCCTTTGGGGAGATGGTCCATGCTCACCCTGGAAACATTTCTGAGTTTTACTGGAGCCAGGTTTGGAGGCTTCTCTCCCGGTTCCAGCTAGAACCGTCTGCGCTTGGCTTTCTGCATTGTCCGTTTGAGTGCCCACCCTGGTGCCCCGCCCTTTGGGGATTCCAAGCTTTTCAAAGGCAGAACTTGCTCGAGTACCTCAGCTTATTATCTTGGGGAGGATGACCTGATGAAAGAGTCAGTGAGTAAACATATCCCCCGCTGCCTGTGAACATGTGTGCTCTCACCCTCGTCATGGGTGAGCTGTTCCTTCATCTGGTGTCTGGCTCAGATTCAGAGAAGCCCTAGTCATCTGGGGAGAGGTTGGTCCCTCATCCCTCCCGACTCCAGTGTCCAACAACGTTCTCACAGAGCTCACAGGCCCCAGATGTTCAGATGTCCAGTTTGTGTGGGAATTGTGTCTGAGGGGATCAGAAAGGCAATTATTCCTTGGGTGACAGCATTTGAGGAGAAGCCAGCAATGTGCCTAAGAGCTTCTCTGATGGAAAAAGTTCATGGGGCCAGGCATGGTGGTGCAGGCCTGCAAGCCCAGCACTTTGGGAAGCCAAGACAGATAGATTGCTTGAGTCCAGGAGTTTGAGCCCAGCCTGGGCAACATGGTGAAACCCCATCTCTACAAAAAACTTGGTGGCATGTGCCCATAGTCCCAGCCACTCAGGAAGTGAGGTGGGAGCATTACTTGAGCCTAGGAGGTTGAGGCTGCAGTGAGCCATGATCACATGACTATGCTCCAGCCTGGGCAATAGGGTGAGACCCTGTCTCACAAACAAAAAGCTCATGGGTACTTTCTGCTGTTGACTTTCACAGAACTGCCTCTCCCCCACCAAAGCTATATATCCCCAGGTGTCTGTGATTATTTTCTTTTATAAACCAAGAATCATGGCTAGTTCTAAGAACCCAACCACTATGAATTGAAAATGATAAAAAAGAAACTCCACAAACTGTTTTCTCTAGTTTTACTTGAGAAATGTTAATGAGCTTCACATATCCAATTCTCGTAGCAGACAATAAAATCTCTATATTAAACCAAATAGAAGTCTAATGTGTAAAATGAAATAGAGGCAAGCACACAGAATATTCTAGGGTAGAAGCAACCTAGAGACCTAATGCCATCATAAAGGTGGTGATAGCAATGATGCTGAGATTTCTCTGGGCTACCAGAGGTATAAGAAAGGTGACCTCGGCTGGGCGCGGTGGCTCACGTCTGTAATCCCAGCACTTTGGGAGGCCGAGGCAGGCGGATTATGAGGTCAGGAGTTCGAGACCAGCCTGGCCAACATGGTGAAACCCTGTCTCTACTAAAAATACAAAAATTAGCTGGGTATGGTGGCAAGCACCTGTGATGCCAGCTACTCGGAGGCTGAGGCAGGAGAATCTCTTGAACCCGGGAGGCGGAGGTTGCAGTGAGCTGAGATCGCGCCACTGCACTCCAACCTGGGTAACACGGCGAGATTCCATCTGAAAAGAGAAAAGAGAAGAGAAGAGAAGAGAACAGAAGAGAAGAGAAGAGAAGAGAAGAGAAGAGAAGAGAAGAGAAGAGAAGAGAAGAAAAGAAGACCTCTACAGCCATTCACTTAATAGGCCCCAGCAAAACCTTGAACCAAAGAGCACTGGCTCAGTGAGGGTAAAAATGTCTCAAAGAAAAATGCTTCACTGTTGTTTCAGCTAAAACTTTAAAACATGTACAAAAGTTGTCAAGACTTAACCCAACCACACTGGTAAACAGAACTGAAAATCAGAATCACTTTTTCACAAGCCACATCACCTCCCAGAACTTTCTCCTGGCTGTCAGGAAAGTTGGTTGCAGCCCTAGCTCAGCTAAAATTGGCTAAATGATTTATAGGTCTCTTCCATCCAAGCTACTGCTCATTTTATCCCAAATTTGGTGCACGAGCTTTTTGAATCAATGACATTTTTATGCAGCTTTGGGGATTGCTACAAAATAATATCACAGTCTTGCTGTACAAACACAGGTCTGTGTGGAGGTTGGGGGCTTTCAGGTGCACAGAGTTGGGTTCCTCAGCCTCCTTAACTCCCTTTCTCAGCCCTCCACATGGTCTCTGGCCCTTAGCCTGCTTTGCTAGCCTTCTGAGCATGAAGACTACATGACATTTTGTGAACCTTTTGTTAGCTAGAATTTAAGCCCAGTGAAAACAGGGACATTGCTTATTTCATTCTCTGCTGTATCACCAGGGCCTCAACAGTGCCTGGAGTATAGTAGATTCTTAATAAATACTTGTTGATTGAACACCATGTAATCATCATAGTCTAGAAACACAACTCTAAATGCAATAAACAGATCCAGCTGCATGTTGTTTGGTCATCCAGCACTCCAGTTATTTATCGAACCTATGCAATATTGGGTACATATTTATACTTTGAAAAAATGTGTTTCTTGTTTATCTGATATTCAAATTTAACTGTGCATCCTGTATTTTATCGGGTACCCTCATAGGAGATTGACATTTTCATCCTGCCTATTTCATAGATGAAGAAACTAAAGCAAAGATGGGTTAAAAGTTTTCACACAATTTCAGAGTTAGAAGAAATCTTTGCTGCCGTTTTGGATTAATTGCTTAAAACGAGGAAGTAGAGGCCAGTGAGAGAAAGTGACTTACTGTTTAGTGACACAGCTGAGAATAGAAGTGAGAACAGAGAGAACAGCGTCTCCTCTCTCCTAGTTATCCCTTCAGGATCCTGATCACTCAGTCACAGAACAAATATGTATAAGAACCTACTGTGTGCCAGGTGCTACACTATATTCTAAGACACAGCCAAACCAGGCAGAGTCCCTACCTGAAGGAGCAGATCGGGCTGTGGACTCTCTGTCCTCCCACAGAGTCAGTGGGAGAGCACACGGGGTGTAGATCTCACCAAAACAGACTGCCTCTCTGTGCATATCAAAACCCAGATGGCAGATCAGATTAGGGCGGAAATCCAAAAGAGCTGCACAGCAGACATCCACCAGCTATAGTTAGCACTGATTTGCTTATAAAGCTTTCACCCTCATTCACAAGAAGGTGGACTAGAGGCTGGCGGTGAGCCATTGCCACGCAGCAGTTGAGTGCAAACTTTCTACCACAGCACTTCTTTCTCTCTGCTTTGCCACCCCCATCCCCCTCATACATATGGTTGGTTTTTGAAGGGAGAGATGCTGCTTCTTGAGGTGAAGGAAGTGGGATTTAACTAAATATTGGTTATTCTGGTTCCTTCCACGTCTAGAAATATCTTTGCAAAGGTCACTTGAAAAAAAAATGTAACTAACAAGCATTTGAGAAGTGTTCAGGCTCTCTAGAAATTTTTTTAAACCTGCAAATTAAAATAATAATGAATTACTATTTCTCACTTATAAAATTGTCAAAGTATTCTTTTGCTAACGCTCATTGTGAACAAGATTGCCAGGAGAGAAGCATTCTAATATACTGATTCTAGTTGAGTAGATCAGTACAGCCTGTTTAGAAAGCAACTTAGAAACATGTATGATAATGTTTAGTGAGAAAGGGAAATTGCCAAATCACATTATTCAGATGAGTGCCACTGCTTACAGGAAAATGTGTACAATAAAGATTGGGAGAAAATACATGGTGATGTTAGGCATGTGAGGCATGTACTGGGATTGTAATTTTCTTAATTTTCAAAGATTTCTGCAGTGACTATGCATGGATATGCCTTCCCTCATCACTGACTTTTGAGCCCAAAGTGACTGCTTCCTACCAAGCCTAGTATCAAGGTCTTCTGACCACTTTCTCTTCAATCTTGTTGCTGAGTTAAGCTGAATAACTTGGCTGGTAACTATGCACCTTGAAAGTCCAGTTGTTTGGGCATTTTCTGGGGGGATGGGGTGGGGTTCAGTTAACTTTTTTTACATCCATTTAGTATTCTCCACCACTGACACCCCCCAGCCTGGGGCTTAGGCTTCCTCTGTGGAAGAGTTGAAGTGTGCATCTGGCTATGGGAACATGTGGCTCATTTGCAAATAAGAGTTTCAGACCCTCTCCTTAAAAGCTATTCCTTTCACTGTCTTCCCCTTCTCCATAAATGGCCTTCTGTGTGTTCAGCCAAACACCCAGGACTAATCCTTGACCCTTCTCTTTCCCTCAATTCCCACATCCAATCTGTCAGCAATTGTTGTCAACTCTACCTTCAAAATATACCCAACATCTGACCATTTCTGTCTCTAGGCAGTGGCCCAGCTGTTGATGGCTGAGCTGAGATCAGAAAACAGGTCTTCTGAGTTCCAGGTCAACACTTTCTCTGCCACACCTAAAGCCTACTAGATTTGGATGGACTATTTAGAATGCATCTCCCAACCCCTCTCAGCCACTCCCTATGACTTGCCCCAGGAAAACCCTTTGCCTAATTCTTGGTCCCCCTTTAATACATTTTAGGTAATATCTAAATTTATTCATTGATTCATTCAAGAAATACTTATTGAGCACCTACTGTGTGCCAGGCAGGATGCTCCATAGTGCACAAAACCAAGCCTAAATTCTGTCCTCATCATGGGACAGATGATGTGCAGAAAATAGTCATACAAAACAAATGTGTGATTGCAACAGTGACAGAATCTACATGTTATAAGCTAAACATACAAGAGGAGGATAAAAAATCCCTTCTAAATATGAGGATCTGACCTCTGGAAGGTTCTTTGAGGGAACTCTGCTTGAGTGGAGTTCTGAAGGATTAGTAATTAAGTAGGAGGGAGGAGAGAACACTGAAGCATGAGCAAGGGCCTATGGCAGGAGGGAGTATTGCAAATGTGTGGAACATCTGGAGAAAGCCAGTGTGTCTGGAGTGGAGAGAGCCAAGGGAAGAAGGCATGAGGTATAATGATGCTCAGGAGAGGAGTACTATATGATTTACACTGCCAGTTATCACTCAATATCTATTCTCCCCTTCTTCCTCCATTTTTGGTGGGCTATGGCCACTTGGAAAAAAATATTATTACATTTTCCAGCCTCTCTTTCAGCTACCTGTAGCCATGTGACTAAATTCTGCACAGAAGGATGCAAGTAGAAGTGCTGTGTGCAATTCCTCCTTCCTGTGAGCTGAGATTTGGTTGCAATGGCTGGAGCTCAAGCAGCCCTCTTGGATTGTGAAGTGAAAACTGCATACTAAGGATGACAGAGCAGATAACTCAAGTAGTCTGAGTCCCCCATCACTTTAAGGAGTTGCTGTGCCAATCCTCACTGGTTGAAATGCAGACTCTTCACATAGAAAAGAAAACCTTATCTATTCAAACCCCTATTAACTTGGGTTTTCTGTCACTCATAGCCAAACCAAATCTTGATCTACATGACCTTGTCAGACTTGTTAGAGGTTTTGCCTTTATCCCAAGAGCAATGTGAAGCTTTGAAAGAGTATTAAGCTTAAATGTGCATATGCGTGTATGTGTCATGATCAGTTTTATATTTTGAAAATTTTACCTGCCTGCCGGTGGCAGGTTGGGAAGACAAGGGTAGAGAGAATAGAAACAGTAGAAACAGGAGGTTGCAGTTGCAGGTGAGAAATTATAAAATGGCAGTGGCTTTTGCTAGGGTTGTGGCTCTGGAGATACAGAGAAGTAGATTCTAGAGATAGTTGGGATGTGGAAACAACAGGACTTACTATTGTTAGGGATGTGACGCAGTGTGGGGAAAGAAGGCCTCAGAGAAATGGGTCCCCTACCTGGCTGGGGCTTCAGTGCAAGGTTCCAGAAATCCTGGCTCCAGAAGGGGAACTTTCCCTTTCTTATTCTTTGGAATATGGGTGGCCCCTTCCCAGCCCACACCCAGCCCTCGAAAATAGCTCAGCTCTGACACACCTCACCAGAGGCAGCCCTCAGAAACATTTTCCCAGGAACCTGGAAGGAGGAGAAAGTCGATAGCCTTGGGGGACTGGAAGAGAAGAGGAATGGAAAGAGGAACAGACCTGTCTTCAGGAGAAGCAACATCTCCCTGCACTGCAACCAGGCCATTGCCTTTGATGGTTCAGACTTGGCTAAGTTGCTGCCTGCTCTCTTCAGAAGCACCGGCATACAAAAGGGAGGGCTGAGTGTCTGATGAACTCAGCCCAATAATATTCACTTCTTTTATTTTCCAGGAATGTCATGAGACCCACAGGGCAATCTTCTGGTTTTAAGACCTGGTGAGTCAAGTCTACAAATACCTCTGACTCAATCTGATCCCAAGTTCTCACCAGGCATCTCCTAGGAACATGGCTCAGCAGGAGAGCTGGAACTGACCAGCCCTCTGCAGGGAACAGGAGGGTTGGTTTCTCTGCTTTGGGGTTTGGGGAGGGAGGGGGTGAGAAGGGCTGGCTGCAGTGGAAATGATGGGATTCTTGACTTGACACTGACCATGCTCACAATAAGAGCTGACATTTATTGTGTACTCTCTAACTCCAAGCCATGCGTTATCTCTTCTAATCTTCACAGAAAACTAGAAGTGGTTTCTGTCATCAATCCCATCTTACCATTGAGGAAATTGAGGCTCGGCTATGTTAGGAACCCTGGTCACTGGCACAGAGCTGTGATATGAACCAAGGCAGCTGATGCCAAGGCTATTCCATGTGAGGGAGGGCATGTGCTTTCTAGAGTTTTTGCAGGCATGGGAGGAGGACTGAGGAAAGCTAATATTTGAGGAGGGTCTGCTACACTCTAGGCCAGTTATATGCCACCTTGACTGCACATTAAAATCACCTGGGGAGTTTTATAAACACTATCGGTGCCCCTGACCAATTAAATCAGTATCTCTAGGAGTCATACCCAGACATCCTAGGTTTTAAAAGTTCTCCAGGTGATTCTAATATGCAATAAGGTCTGCTCAATAAAAGCAAGTTTCATGTTTTTTATTTTTTTTTCATTTAATGACCCTATATCCATTTGTAAATGGGGAAGCTGAGGCTCACAGAATTTGGATGGCTTGCACAAACCCCATGGCTGATAAGACCCATGTCTTGATCTATATCTGGCTGATTCCAACACCCATGTTTGTTCAGTTCATTCCATTCTCTCTCATATTTGGGCATCCTCTATTTTGAAAACATGTGATTTTTTTCTATTATAAATTTCTTTTACAATTTTCATTTTGTTTGTTCAAGTCCAAGTGCTGTTTAGGTCAGCTGCCTGAGAGTAGCAATGCAGTCTATAGCCACTGAGTCAGGAGGGTTGGCCCAGGGGCAGCTGAAACCACGGCCTTGGCTTCATCCAGGCTCTGCTGCAGCCAATGGACCAGGATCTCCGAAGAGATGTCCAGGAGCCCTGGCTGGGAGGTGCCCACTGACTCTCCCAGGCAGAATACTGGCCATCTTCTGTGGCTTTGACCCCTAAGGGGCCACCATCTGAGAATGAGAAGGCCCAGCCCTGGGGAAATCCCTAGTCTCTGTTTCTAGCAGTGCTAGTGATTTCCCAAGGAGTGACATTAGAAAAGTCATCACACATTTATTTCTGTATATATCATTCAGAGCCTAATTTTCTGGTGGCTGAGGGTTGAGCTCATCAGAAACAGACTTCATCATCAATTGATAATAAAGCCAAGTCAAGACAAGGGAGAAGGGCAGCCATCCAGATGGATTCAAGCAGCCAAGAGGTGCTTCTGCTCAAAGACTACCTTTAAAGAAGGGAAGAGAAAGAAGTGAGAGCAGATACCTGTACACCCATGTTCATAACAATATTATTCACGAGAGTCAAAAGGTGGAAGCAACCCAAGTGCCTATCCATGAATGAAAGAATAAACAAAATGTGGCACAAACATACAATGGAATATTGTTCAGCTTTAAAAAGGAAGGAAATTTTGATATATGCTACAAGATGGATAAACTTGGAGACCTCTGCCAAGTGAAATAAGCCAGTCACAAAGGCCAGTACACAAAACATTGTATGATTTCTTTTGTATGAAGTTCCTGGAGTGGTCAAATTGATAGAGACAGAAAGCAAAATGAGGGGGAGTTAGTGCTTAAAGGATACAGAGCTTCTGTTGGGAAGGATGAAGTTCTGGTGATGGTTGCCCAACTGTGTGAATGTACTTAATGCCACAGAACTATGTACTTAAAAATGGTTAAAATAGTAAATTTCATGTTGTGTATACTTTACCACAATAAAAAGGTGGAGGAGAAGTTTGACACCTTAATTCACAATTTTGTCCAAGCACTTGAAAGATCTATATATGGCATTACCATAAATGTTTATAAAATGGGAATGGGAAGAGCTGATAAAATAAATTGCTATGGAGAACATGATAGATCAGGTATGGGTTAAGCACCCCGGAGGCTCCTGAGGATGAGGATTACTTACCCAGTCCTGGACTCTAACTAAACATTAATGCCTCCTCAAAGATGTCTGGTTTTTTAGTCATCAGGGTGTCAAATTCTAGTAAAATGGCTTTGTTGAGACTGTGTGGATGCAGGTTGGGAGAAAGTAAAGTCTAGAGCCTGACACTTTCAGAACCACTCTTACACTCATCTGCATTATAAGCAAAGTGTTGCAACCTCCAAGCATTTCACAGCCAACCTTCTGGCTCAGGTCACTCATTCCCACTGGCAACACTGGCAAGTGTTTGGGTCAAGAGCTCCATGGTCCTCACCCAACTTCCAGACACCTCATCCCTTTATTGCTCACCCTACTCCAACTATTCCTTGAAGGCACCAAGCACATTCCCACCTCAGTGCCTTTACACTTGCTGTTCCTGCTGCCTGAAATGCTCTTCCCTCAGATATCTGCAGGCTGTCTCCCTCATCTCCGTCAGCCTTCACTCAAAGTCACCTTCTCAAGTGTGCTTTTCTGGCCACCCTAGTTAAAAGTGCCACCCTCCACTCTACCACATCATCTTCCTGTCCCCCTTGCTCTGACCACAGATGCTATCACTGTTCCACTCATATCCCCAGGGAATATGCCAGTGGAGGAAATTGCATGTGCAAATGCATGAGGCTTGGAAGACTGTGGCCTCAAAGGCCGTCTGAAATGGCTGGAGTGGAGCGTCCATGGGGCTGGGGGACTTCATGGAATGGCTTAAAGGGTAACGGAGGACAGAAGGTTGAGGGAGTTTGTCTACCAAGCTAAGGAATTTGAACTTTAGCAGGCAACGGGGAGCCACCAAAGGGTTTTAAGTAGGAAAGTAATAGATTTGATTTGCCTTTTAAAAAGATTACTTTGGCAGCCAGTGGAGTGGAGGCTGAAATGGATGGGATGAGGCTGGAGGCGAGAAGACCAAATGTAAAAGTAACATCTTGAACATTGATGAGCTCAAATGATGTTGCAGCAGAAGTGAACATAAGAGTGACATCCAGCCAGCCAGTATTGGAAGCAATTTTTTTTTTCTAGGAATAGATTGAATTTCAGCAAAAAGAAACTTTCCTGCCACCCTTTATGACAATCCTGTGAACGCTGGCTCCTGCCCTCATTCAAGTTGGCCACCCTTGGTCTTTCATGCATCACCATTCAATAAAAGCAAGCATGGGTTTTATGGGATTGTTTGGAGAGCCCTGAGCCAAAGTTTTCTACTCACTTAGGCAAGGCTGTTCTGCCAATTCTTAAATTGGCTGTTTTTTACATATAGGGTGTGAAAGATATCTCTATGCATCTCTAGGAACACACCCATTTGGAAGGAGACATATGTGACTATATATAATATCTTTATGTGCTTTTTGAAGGGATGTTTATACAACTTGCATATTATTTGGCATGAATATTTTTGTAGAATGGAGAAAGGGAGAGACAGCATGAGAAAGCTATTCCTATGCCATAACTGACTTTGGCTCATGAAACGAAATGCAAAATAGATTATGTTCCTTAGCAATGCCTCCTGGGTTGAATGGCTCCCAAGTCAACCCACTTAATCCTTCCTCCTGGAGGGTCACTCACCTTTGAACCTTCTTTTCTAAAACTACCATTAAAAAAAAATAACAATGATGTAGCCCAGTCCAGGCCCTACTGAAACCCAGGCTCCCTACCCCCAGAGGAAGAGCTCACCAAAAGAGTCATCTAGCTTCTAAAACTCGGGTTGCTTGAAGAACTTGATGGAAAGAGCAGGGTAGTAAAAGACAGCATTTTGGCTTTAACAAGGCTAGGAAGCCTAGAGTTGGGCCAGCTGTATAGTCTGAACTAACCCAAGAATATTAGAAGCCGGGGTCACATGGAGCTAGGACACCACCATTAATGTGGGGAGCAGAGACAGTCTGGCGAGGAGCGGAGGGAACGACTGCAGCCCCCTGCTGCCAGCTCCCACGTGAGTCAACCAGGAGGACGGGGGGACAGCTAGGATAGGCAGGCAGGAGGACTGATCCTGCAGGGTGAACGGGCAAGCTGCGCCCAGCCGTATGGAGTTCACTTGGGCCCTCTTCACACCATCAAGCTCCAGGACTTCCGGGGGGAGCCAAGGGTGACAGATGTGTCAGCCGGGACAGGCACCTCAGAGAAAAAGCCTCCTTGGTTTGTTCCATGGTGTTCCCTTGCCAAGTCCCCAACCCACACTGAGCAACCAAGCAGTAGGACACCCCATCTGGAGAGGAGGGAGGTGATGGCTCCATTCCCCAAAGCAATAGGCAGCAAGGTTTCCGACAAGGATGTTCAGTAAGTCAGCGGAACTGGCTGAGTCCTCTAGCACCTTCCATTTGCTTGGGGAATAAAGTAACACTGCCCAGCCCTGGACACACTTGGTAAACATCTGGTAAGAGGATAATCCTATTTCAGCATTCCATGGTGCCCTGGGAGCAGACGCTGGCTCTTAACAATTGATGCCTCTGGTGTCTGTTGCCACCTCTTACCACCATGCCCTTGCACTTAGAAGCAAATAATCCCAAGAGATGGCAGGGCCATATTCAGTTCCCTAGTTGTCCCATCCAGGCACTTTTAATGCCCAGTCCTTTCTCCTAAGAATTCCTCTGAGACCAGAGCTCCCAGCCTTGCCACTGTGTCTCTCCCTCAGGACATCTTTTCTAATTTGGGTCTGAGCTTTTCCATTCCTTCATTTCATGCCATTCCTTCTAATGATAACCCTTTGTGCCAGGCTCAATTACATACAAAGCTTAAATGAGCAACCCCAACTCTAAATTTGGCCCTGTCCATTGAAGGGGGTGGGGGTGGTGCCTTGGTCATTTGGCTTTGCTCAAAAAGAAAGATGCTACTCCCCATGGGGAAACAACGCCAAGGAGAGGGGGAAAATCTTTTGCAGAAATAAAAATCTAGAACGAAGAAACATACCAGTGCTGGCTGTCCCTGGTCACTGGGGCTTGAAGCTGCTTCTGCATCTTCAGCCAGGCCTGTTAGGACTCTTTGTCCCACTACAGGCATGCAGAAGCTACAGACATGCTTTGATTTTTCCTTTTAAAAACATCCTCCGATCTGACCCTACCTATGCTCTCCCTGCAAGGTTAGCAGAGGGTGAGATGAGAGCATTTGCCAGGAATTTCCTGACTTCTGTGAGTTTTTCTCAAGATCTAGTCATGAGTCAACATGATATACTGGGACACATGGTGGAGCTTGCAGTGGCCTCCCCTCCCTTCTGGAACTTTAGGAAAACCATGTCCCTGCTGAGTAACCCTGGGCAAAAATCCAGAAGGCCCCCTCCCTCTCCCTGACTCTCCCTCTGTACAGTCCCCAAGTTAGAGGAGATAAGGGAAATATATTTACAACAAACTTGATCAGACTATTAATATTCTCCAGAACTACACAAAGATCCCTGTTTATGCAGCTCACCTCCTTTCAAAATTAAGCTCTCTTGTATGGTTCCATTGCTCTTTATATTTTGGGCATTTAGAAAACCGGAGGAGGGGGTGATGAGGAGAGGAATGGAGAAGAAAGGAGAAGCATTGCCCAGATTCACAATGACAAGATCCGAGACCCTAACACACCCTCTGAGAGGCCCAGGTGAACTGGGCTGCCAGGTAGGTAGAACTATCTATGCAATTTTATTGATGTTGACAACCCATCTGAAATACTCAAACGAAGTAGATTCATTACAATTTCATGTGCGAGTTCTGACTACCAGAACTGGCTATCCTGGCCAGTGGAGTCCAGCCATGATCAGTTTCTGCTAGTGATAGTTTAGAATTACCCCTAAGAGTTTGGGGGAGAAGCTCAATAAAAATCAATGACATCCTTCGATAGATCTTTGAGTTAAAACAAATGGAGTGCTACCATGAGACTGTTAAATATCTGTGAAGCTTTGCCTCAACCCGGGTTAATGGGAGCAGATTCTGGGAAGCACTTTGCAAACTGTTAGATTGTAGCAAGGAATTGTTGGTATCACCATCGTTGAGGTTCACTAGCTTCAGCTCTTTGGGCCGAAGAAGATGAACGTCTTTTATGAATGTAGCATAGACTCACACCTGCAATCCCAGCACTTTGGGAGGCCAAGGTGGGCTGATTACCTGAGGTCAGGAGTTCGAGACGAGCCTGACCAATATGGTGAAACCCCGACTCTACTAAAAATACAAAAAAAATTCACCGGGTGTGGTGGCAGGCAGATGTAATCTCAGCTACTTGGGAGGCTGAGGCAGGAGAATTGCTTGAACCCGGGAGGCAGAGGTTGCAGTGAGCCGAGATCATGGCATTGCACTGCAGCCTGGGCAACAGAGCAACACTCTGTCTCAAAGGAAGAAAGGAAGGAAGGAAAGAAAGAGGAAAAGAAAGAGAGAAAGAGAAGGAAAGAAAGAAAGAAGAGAGAGGGTGGGAGGGAAAGAAAGATGAAAGAAAGAAGGAAGGAAGGAAGAGAAAGAAGAAAGAAAAAGAAAGAAAGAAGAAAGAAAAGAAAGAGAAAGAAAGAAAGAAAGAAAAAGAAAAGACTTTCTAATATCCTTGAGAATTTAGAGGTGAATATCTTTATTCCTGTCTTTCAAATGCAGAAACTGAGGGGCAAAGACATCAAGTGAGTTTCAGGCATTGAGGAAAATAGGACACAGCACCTCCGACCCCTTAGGCCCTTTATCTCCTTCTAGCCCAAGACCCTCAGGAAGGGTCAAGGCATCCTTAGTTGTGGAAAGCATAACTTGGGAAGGAAAATCTCAACTTGAAGGAAAAGCTTGCTGAGGAGAGAGGCCCTGTTTCTCCTCTCAGCCTTTCCTGTGTGCTGGTATCAACTGTCCAAGTAACAGATGGAGGTGGTAGGGCAGGTGGGCTGCTCTGCTGTCCCTGGCTGTGCTGGGGTCAAACTATCCACTCTCCCCATCGCAGCTGCCAGCCTGGCACGTTGTACCACCTGCCAGACCTGGTTCCTGAGGCCACAACAGAGTTCTCATACTTTCTACCATTCTGAGGGAAAAGTGAGATCAATATTTTCCAGGGCTCTTTCAACTGAGATGAAGAAGGCAACTGTCCTCTTCTCCACAGGCTTTTCTCCCCTTTCCTCACTTCCCCTGTCCTCTCACATGCAAGCACACAGGCCCATGGTCTCACCACCCCGGAAAAAGACAGCTCCCAGTTTCCTTCTCATTATGGGAAAAAAAATTCTGAATGGCTGCTTTTTCACATACATATAACAGCAAAAGGAGAACAAAATGAGGCAAAGAAGAATAAAATTTTAGTGAACTATAACTTTTATATTTTTATTTAAAAATGTTTATTATACATTATATTTTATTATATATTTTTATTATTTCTTTATTTGTTCATTTGCTTATTTATTTGTTGTAAGCCAGCAGAGCCTTTCCTTCTCCCAGCTGACCGTTTTCTACCATCTGCTGTCTGCCTGTTGAGGTGCAGGCCGCTGGGAGAGGCTTCCTGGAAGCAGAGCTTCCCCTGAAGCAGAAGTTCCCTGGATGTACGCAGTGGAGCCCAGGCTTTCTGTGAGACCCAGACCCAGGCCACTTTCATTGGCGGGCTCTGGAAACATTTTCTTTCAAACGCTCTGGGCTGTAGCTCACTTACACATAAAATGAGCAAAACAACACTCTTTCCCACAGCTATGCCATGAGGTTTAATTGTTGCAAATTTGTGAAGTGTTTTAAGATCCTTGGATTAAAGAAGTTATATGAGAAAAAAATGTTATTATAGAGTGGAATTCTGCTTAGTTGTCATATGTTTCCTGTAACTCTTCCCCTGTGTCTTATATAACTTGGAACAAGTAGTATGAGCTATGAGGCCTTCAGAAAGCCTTTAAGTAATTTCTTGGCCTGCTTTCTTTACCTTTTAAAAAAAATTCTTCTTCTACTTTTCCTTTTTTTTCTCTTTCTAATGCAGCCAAAACTTGTTCCCCTCTAATCTGTATGATGAGAAAGGAAGTTGCTTCAGTTGGGGTGGGCCCTTGTCCACGTGAGTACTTCCTCGTCTCTCCTCCCTTCCTCTCCCTTGCCTTTGCTCCCCACCTACATCTCTTCTTTTTATCCTCATATACACTTTCATAGATTGAAATAAATTTGACTTTGAGCCCTGGCTCTAAAATTTGCTCTGCCTCTTGGACCAATTGCCAAAACAGGTTACTGAGTGAGGCTCCCTGAAGCCAAGCCTGATGTGTGTCGAGGCTTGGTGATGGTGACAGAACAGAGCCTGGCTGACCAAGGAGCACAGGAGGCCCTGGGTGGCTCTTCCCCACTAGGACTTCCCAACATCAGCATCACACCCAAAATGCGGGAAAACACCCAGGCAGCTGCTACGGTGGCCATGAGGCAGCAGCCAAGAATGCCCCTTGTCCTGGCTGCAGCTGTGTCCCTAAGCAGGTGCTGCCTGGCGGCTGGGCATGCCTGCATGTGTCACATCCTCCCCTGGGCACACAGAAACACATCCCAGATCAGGGATACACACTGGCCCTCACAAGCAGCACTCTCAGGCCCCATGCCCGTCCTGAGGCCATGGAGATTGTGAGCATAAGATAGGCCCCAGGTGATGAATTCTTTGTAACCCAGTATCTCAGCCTCAAGATGCATTTAAACATTTTTTTTTCCTTTCTTACTTTCAGCCTTGAGGCAGACTTTGAAACTCTTTGCTTCTTCCTTTCCCACTGTGCACGCTTGTCTAATTATGAGCTTGCTTAGAAATTCCAGGGACCAACTTTGAAACATACCAGGCAGAGAGACCCAGCTGCAGGATCCTCCCACTCAAGAAGAGTTAGCAACAGTGAGCCCCCCACTGCCGGGCTGAAGTCAGTATGATGCGAATCAGACCTCCCCACAAGCCATTACCGAGATGGCCACAGAGCAGACAGGCGGACCTGCGCCCCTTTTCACTACTCCTGCCTATTCCCACACCTTTTCCTTCCTAAAACCCTTCCCTCGGCCTAAAAAGTTGGAATGATCTTCCAAAGGCATGAGCTTGGCCATACCCCAACCACCAGCATTTTCATAAAGTTGCTTTCCTTTCTCCACACCTCTCTTCTTCTGTTTTCTACCTCTGAGCGGCGAGCAGTCAGACTTCAGCCAGTTACAAAATGGGGCCCAGAGTCGCATTCCCTCTGCCCTCTGCCCTCTACCCTCAGCTAAAGGACCCTGAACAGATTAGAGGAACCCCCTTCCACTGACCCTACACCTCCCTGGCATCACTGCAAGGGACAGAGTGTCCCCAGAGGAGGAGGGAGCACTGACGCTGGCTCTCTGGCCCCGCACAGGGACTAAACAGCTACTGCCATCCCCACACCACCCTCATCCAAGAATTCTCAGTCGGGGTCCCACTTCTCTGCTCCCCACAGACCGGAAGAACCCAGTGAGGGAGGGCTAAAGTGAACCTGAGCCTGGGGACAGGACAGAACCAGGCAGCCTTCCTCCTGCACCTGGGCTCTTTTTTTTTTTTTTTTTTTTTTGTAATTTTCATTTTTGTGTGCACATAGTAGGTATATATATTTATGGGTTACATAAAATACTTCGATAGAGGAATGTGATGCATAATAACCATATCATGGAAAATGGGGTATCCCTCCCCTCAAGCATTTATCCTTTGTGCTATGTGTAATCCAATCAAATTATTATTGACTATAGTCACCCTGTTATACTATCAAATACTAGGTCTCGTTCATTCTTTCAATTTTTTCTTTTGGTACCCATTAACCATCCTCACTTTCCCCCCACCCCGCCTCCCCCTACCATAGGGGCCATGGTAATCTTCTCTGTATCCTTCCAATTTTAGTATATGTGCTGCCGAAGCAAGCACCCTGGGCCCTCTTTGTCTCTCATTCCTTCCTTACTCTTCCTCACCTGCTTCTCCTCAACCCCAACATTCACTCTTTTTCCCTCTTCTCCTACTGGTCTCCACTCCCACCCTCAGCCTGCCCTAGCTCCTTACCCCCAGCAACCTACTCTCTTCTTTTTTAAATTTAATTCTATTTTTAATTGATACATAATAATTATATATATTCATGGGATACATGATGATGTTTTGATACGTATAATGTATATTGACCAGATCAGGGTAATGAACATATCTATCTTCCCAAACTTTTACCATTTCTGTGTGTTGGGAGTATTCAATATCTTCCTCCTAGCTATTTGAAACTATATGACCGTTAACTACAGTGGTACAGAACACTAGAACTTATTTCTCTTATCTAGCTGTAATTTTGGATCCTTTAACAAATCTCTCCCCATACCTCCCTCTCAAGGCTGGTTGGTTATCTGGGGGTATGGGGAGCTGTGTGTTGCCTCTTCAACAAGAGGAGAGTAGGGACTGTGTCTCATACAGTGATACAGTCCCCTCCCTAAATGTTTTACTCACCCCTGCAGAAACAAAAACCAAACCAGAGAAGTATTTCACTTTTAAAAGGGGGTTTCCTAGAGGCTGTTTCCTAGCGTCTATGTAAATTCGGTCCCATGATAAACATGCTAGAACATTCTGAGCTGAACACAGTTAAATGGTTTCTTTCCCTTAGGAATTCTGAGGACCTTAACATGATAAAGAGCATCATAAACATCCGAGAGAGAGGCAGAATGTAGAGTTTTCCAAATTTATTTGAAACTCCCCTTTTCTAAGAAATATTTTGAGAGGCAAGGCAAACATCCCCTTGACCAATGCTGCAGGAGATGCCAGCTCCTCCAAGGCTGGCTCCACTCTAGAATTATGGACAGTGCCCAGCATAGGATCCTGGATAGGCCACCCCTTCACAGAGACCAGCACCTCTGCCCTCCTTCAAGCCAGAAAAGCAGAATTGGCCTCATCTTCCAGAACCTTCAACAGTCACTTTGACAAGTGGAGGACTTGCTTTACTCTGAGACTTTATTCTGGGGTGTTTCAGCCATGGACTAACAAAGAGACACCCAAAGCTACTCCTCTCACAATAAGGCCACTCAGTTGTTCACCCCCAGCAGCACCTGCATTAGCACAACAAAAGTATTTCAAAGTCTAAAAACAACAGACTCAGCACCTTGGCCTGTGGCTACTTAATTACAGCCCTTCCCCTCCTGCTGCCTGCTTTCTTGGACCTGCTCTCACTTCTTCCAAGCCCCTCAGTAATTGACTCTTACCTCCTGGCTCCCTGGGGGTTCAGCTTGGTGGTCCATGTGACAGGGCCCTTATCAAGAAGTCTCCAAACTGCCCTATGGCCTGGACACGTGCCCATGGACCAATTTTGTTTCCTTCAAATCAGGGAAAGGAGAGGGGAGTCTTCTTGCTTCCTGAGAGTGTTGGCGATGCCTGAGAGCATGAGGGGAGGAGAAGGGAGACTGTCTCAGCCAAGCCAAGGGCAGGGTGGGGTATTCCCACAGGGCACCATCAGCATGGAAGCTTTAAGAAACAGGGCACACCCTGTGCAAAGGATGTTTCAGTCTACAGCCATTGCCCTGCTGCGGCCACAGTGTATACTCCCATCATTTCCTCCCATTTCCCGTTGGCATTGTCCCTACAAAGAGGGGTAAGAATTATGTGAGATTTGGGCAGGTGATATCCCCTGGACAACCATCAGGGCTGCTAAGAATCACAACCAGCACTGCAGGCCCACCCACGTTTCTTCCTCTGCAAAGGCATGCGTACCTGGGGTTGGGGGAGCAGCTGGGAAAGCACAGCTTGGGGTACACCGACACTCTGAAGGTGCAAGTCATGCTGCAACTGGGAGCCTCAGTGTGTTCATCTGCAGCATGAGAACAAGGGCTCCCCATCCCACCCACAGCGTGTCTCCCAGGGGCCTCTGGGCACTCTGGGGGCAGGAGTGTGAGAGAGCTGAGTACTAGTCCCTCTACCATTTCCTAAAACGTCCCATTCCTGCCACCCAGCATCTCTTCCCTATGAAGATCAAACCCGCACTATCCCTGTCTGCCAACATATGCAGGTAGAGGAGACCCAAAGGTCCCACCTCATTCGATTCCAGCTGCAGATGTCACGGTGAGAGCCCCCTTAGCTGCCTCACCTTGGACGATGAACAGTGTGAATCACAGCAAAGACAGCCTAAGCCCCTCTCTTGCCACAAACCCCGCCCTGACTACACCTGAGAGTCTCCTCACCGCTCACCTCTGCAAAGAGCTTCTTGAGAAGCTCTGGAAGACTGTGGCAGAGCGAGTGTTACTTTTAACCTGTCCAGATTTTAGCCCAGGTGACCATAACTCTATCTTCCTTACAGGGTCTTCTAGAGTAACCAGAACAAGGGTTGGAGGACTGGTGGGAGAAGGCGAGGAAGGAGGAGGGAACAGAATGGGGACACTCCTGCCTCTTCACCCCTCTCTGAGTCAATGGTCATGGCCAGTGCTGCTGCTTATAGGCACTCTGAAGCTGGTTCCCAGCATAATCAAATAGAAGCCAAAGGTCAGGAGATGCCTTTGCCAGACAGGAGAGCCCTCCAGAGGACCCAGTACTGCCAAAATACTCAGGATACACACTTCCAGTTACTACGTTGCTGCCTTTTGTCTTCCTGGCTGTTGCTCACGTCTTCACCAGCCTAATCTCAGGCTTCAGGAATCCTAGACAGAGTCCCAGCCCTTCACATGTCGCTCTGTCTGGAGGGACCTGACTGTGATCTCTACTCCCCAGCCTGATGCTGCCTGCTTCCTTTCCCTGAAGTCACAGCTCAATGCTTGAGGCAGCACAAGGAAGAAGACTCTGGGGGAACCCCAGTCTGTGATGTGGGAGGGAAAGGAGGACAAGGGAAGGAAGAGAGGAAAGGAGGGGAGAGGAGAGGAGAGGAGGGGAGGGGATAGGAGAGGAGGGGAGAGGAGAGGAAGGGAGAAGGGGAGGCAAGGGGAAAGGAGGGGAGGGGAGAGAGGAGGGAAGGGGAGGGGAGAGAGGAGGGCAGAGAGAAGGGGAAAGGAAGGGAGAGGAGAGGAGGGGAGACAGAAGGGGAGATGAGAGAGGAGGAGATAGAGAGGAGAAGGGGAGGAGAGGGGAGGGGAGAGAGAGGAGAAGGGGAGGAGAGGGGAGAGGAGAGAGAAAGGGAAGGGAGGGGAGAGAGGAGGCGAGACAGGAGAGAGAAAAGGGGAGGGGAGAGGAGAGAGGAGGAGAGAGGAGCTGAGGGGAAAAAAAGAAAAGAAAGGGAAGAACATGAGGCCAGAAAATCTTTAAAAATGAACTTTCTCTTCCCAGAGGGATATGAATGGGAGAGGAATGCCACAAAAAAGAGCCCATACAAGTCAATATAAATATGGTTATTTTAGGACTCGGTGGAGAATGGCTGCTGGTGGTCTCCCCCTTCTTCCTGGTGGGTCGGCGTTCATCCCAGGGAAGAAAACTGGGTCATCACAAGTCTGGCCCTGCGGCCCGACCAGGCGGCCAGCGTGGAAGCGCAGTGGGCGGCCACGCGGGCGGCGGCCCGGGCCGCACCTTGAGGCGGTCAATCTGTATGTGTGAGCAGCACTTTGATATCTGGCCACGAAAGGACAAGTTCTCAAAGCCCCCATTCATGGACCCTACACACAGGAGCAGCACACAGAAAAAAAATTGTTTCCCCATCGGTCTAGAAAGGTGGGTTCCTGTTTATTAATCGAAGACCACATAAAGAATGCATGGTTACAAATGTTCCTTCTGAGGAGCACAGAAGCTGGTTAAAAAAAAAAAATCCATCCGGTGATTACTTGGGACAAAAAGCTGCTGCTGCGGCCCTCATGTTAGTTTTAGAAGGAAAATTCTACAAAAGTACGGGGGGCCTATTTTCACCAGGCCTCACTGAGGGCTTTCCACGGAGCCTGCTGAAACTCGCCCCCTGTTAGAAGCTCTCAGACGGTGGGGTCACTAGTGCCGGCCGCAGCTCCCCCTCCCCACCACTGCTTCTTCCTGCACTGAGAAACACCCAAGAGGGTTTTTTTAAAAAAGGTCATTGGCAATTAGCTCCCTGTGGAAATCAGAGAACATTCGAAAAGAGTTCCCTTGGAAGAAGTTCAGAGAAACTCATTCTCAAGGCAAGGCTCACCCAGACCGTGAGGGTCCCACCCTGCATCTGACCACAGGCTCCGTTTCCCACCTACAGCAGGGACCGTGGAAAGGGAATTAAGGAGCAAACAGGAGATAAGATGGAGGCTTGGGTTCTCTTTTGAAGCTTAATTAAAGCAAACCGATCAGCCTTCTACTGCACATGCCGCAGACTACACAAACAGCGAACATAATCACTAAGAGGGAGCCCTGTCCTCCGCAGCAGGCGGGTGGCAAGGAAGCCAGTTCAGGCTTCCAGCGCCGGAGAGAAAGCCCAACTGTGATCATTCAGTACAAATCGCACCTGGAGGCCAAAAAAACTGCTGATTTCTCCAGATAAGGGGGGAAAAGGGACGGGCAGAGGAAATGGATTCCAGGCCATCTTCATTTAATTTATTTCTGTGGCGGATCCTAACTTATTTCTAGGTGAGGGGATCAAACAGGCCTGTCACCAAATCACAGTCATCTCAAATATGCACAGACTGTACCCCATCCAGCTCCCGGACCACCAGCACGTTTTATGATTTCTTTACACTACAAATATTTGGCCGTGCTGAAATCACCCAATAAAGTCAATCCGGGGCTTCATCTGCAGTTCTGAGGCGCTCTCCAAATGCTTGCTGGAGACTGGCCCAAAATAACCATTGCTCATCTTATTCAATATCGCAGGAAAATGTGTCCTCCCTCCCGTATCTGCCTCCCACCACCTGGGAGCACAGGGATGATCCCGTTTGGTGTGTGTTTGTTGCTTTTGCTGTTAAAGCGACTGCTGTTGTTTTCCATACACAGTTGCAGACGCGGTCAGGATGAATTGCCTGTGGGTGACAGCCAGGTCCTATGAGCAGACTACAGGGCCAGTCCTGACCCTCCGCCGACAAAGTGAGTCCGGGCCAGCCACTAAGGCGGAGGCCGCGCCTGTCACTTTGGGCAGCCACAGAGGTAGTAGCCTCAGGGCCTGAGTCAGAAGACCAAGACTCGGAGACCTTCCATCCTGGGCCCGTCTGCCTCCTGCCCTCCACCTTGCTCCTGGGAGAATGAGGCCAGGACAAATTTAGGGGTGGATGCCATAGGAACAGGAAGAAAAAGAGGCGTGTCTGAGACAGGAGGAAGCCATGGTTCAGGGGTATCATCCTGAAGAAGTTGTCATTCAGGGTAAGCAAAGGGAGGGAAGAAAAGTAAGCGGCAGCCACCATCGTAACTCCACAAGGACGTCAGGCAGGCCGGCAGGCGCCATCGTCAGTGGGGCCACTGTGTGTTTCTGACCACAGAATAAGAGCTCACCCCACATTAAGACCTACACATTTCGGCATCCTCTTTCTCTTTGAACTTAGGAGTTCTTGGAGAATATAATCTGGGTTGCCCCCGAAGCCATCCTGGCTTTACTTAGAGAAGTTGGTATGATTTTCCCCTCTTCATAGAAGAGAAAACAGCGGTATGGAGAAAATGAAGTGAATCAGAGGAAGTCAGGCAGGATTCCTGAGGAGTTTCCCAGCCTCTGCACAGCAAGGGTGGGGCTCGAACACCTATTGGGAGGCCTGGAGGCATCTTCAGTTGGTTTGATGGGCATCTGTCCCCAGAAGCCTCTATGTCAGTGGGTACAGGACCTGCCCTGTGGAACCTGATGAGCAATTTTCTCCTCACTCCCACAGGCTTCCAATGCCTGACAACACCATGAAGGATGAAGTCCTGGGCAGCAGCCAAAGCTCCATGCATTCCACCCTAACCCTTCCCAGCCAGGACTGTGGACACAGCAGCCTCCATCACCCTCACCACCACTAACCACTTCTCCAGCAATGACAGCTAGCCCTGGGCCCCAGGGAAGGAAAACGAAAATCAACCCAGCTGTTCATCAGAAACATCCCTGAAAGACTTGACAGGGCCTGAGGCAAGGCCAACAAAAATCAGTGTTTCTCCCAAAGCCACACCATGCTGCAAAGTGACTAACAATTCTTCTTTTTAGAGATTGCCTTGCCCATGACATCTCCAGCTTTGTCTCTTTCCTACTGCCTCAGAAGTTGCTGAGATACCCAACCTGTCCCCACTTCATGTTGGCATGCAATTCAGAGCAGGTCCACATTTCCCCTAGTCCCTCCTTACCATCATTAAGCATGAGTTCAAAGCTTATAAAATGCCCCTCCCCATTCCATCCTCCTGAGATGGGTCCCTGGGGTATGTTCTCCCTTGCTGCAGGAAGTTAACAAGCCTAACTTTATTTGACAATAAGTACCTTCTCGGTAGTTATCCGTTGGAAAGCAAAAATATGAGCAATCCTTCTGATCACAGGGGCCTCTGCAAGCTTAGTTTCCACAAGGTTGGTGCTGATGCTCTGAGATATCCACCTGGTAACCAACAACTGGTTTTCCAAAAAGACGTCACAACCCCAGCCGTGGCATCAGTGATCCGTGTCTTGTATCCTCTTTTATTTCTCCTGGAGGCCACATTTCCAGTATGTAGCCAGGCTTCATGGGGAGAGAGGAGGAGAGACACCCTGAGCTCTGAAATGCAGGGAGTTGTCTTTGTGTTATTTTGCTATTTTTATTTTCACATCGAAAGTAGCTTTATTGTTTTCTGATTTTAAAATAATAAACACTGTAAAAAGTTCAAACTCCAGAAAGTATTTTTTAAAATGAAAGCTAACCTAAAGCCCACTAACCTGCTAATCATCACCAACATTTTGATAACCATCCTTTCATCTATCTCCTTATATATGTGAGCATAGATACATTTTCTATATAAATGGGATATCACACATATTGTCTTTTAATACAGTGCACACATTTTTCTCTTCCATGATCTTTTTTTCTCATATCCCACCTTCCCCTCTTCAATGCTCCTGCTCCAGGTAACCAGTGTTACCTGAGGTGCTTCCTTCCACACTTAGCTCCTTTCTACTCTCTCTGCATGCAGCAGAGCCCAGTGAAAGCCCTGCTCCCATTGAAGGCATTGATTTTAGACAATGGACCCTGGTAGAGACAAGGATGGAGATCCACACATGTAATTAAGGAGTCAGAAGACCTCTAACCCATAGACACTGATGTGCTGCTATAATTATAAAGATTGTTGGTTGGTTGCTGGGCCATAACTGAGTTGCACTCAAAATATACTTGTGGGACAAACAGAGTCTCCTCCTCCTCCTCCTCCTCCTTCTCCCCAAACTAAGTTGGATAATAAGGTGACAGGGGTCTGTGTTGATTTTAACACACCCCATTGCCCCATTGTCTGTGTGTGGCAGTGATTTGGACAGGATGGTACCAAACCAGGTTGTTTTCAGCCTTCTTGATGGCCTCTCCTCAACACTACTGAACAGAACTCTTCACTGCTCCCACAGAGCAACTGTTTCCTTCCTGACTTTCTCTCATCAAATTATTTAGATCTTGATCTTCCTGACCTTCACCTGAGTAGGTTTGCCGCGTTCTGCATTGAACTTTTCATGCCTGTCCGTGCATGCCAGTTGTTCACCATCTTGAATGACATCTTCAAGACACCAAATATGATAAATGCCCACTTTGTAATATGCTGCACTCTAGAGCATGTGATGAAAATGGATGTTATGTTAATCAAATCTATCTTTTGAAAATTCCAAAGTACACTAAAAATGAATTAGATGGTAATTTTTTGTTTCTACAACAATTCCTAGCATAAGAAAGAAATAGCCTATTAATATTTGGGGCTACAAAAACACGTGATTTGTACTCAACATTTCAGGAACATATTTATTGTATTAAAGTGAAAGGGGGCACATCTGGGTCCCTGTTTGCATGTGTATTTGTGCATCCAGGAGCCTGGGCCTCTGGTCTCTGGCCTTTTAAAATCTGTACCAGGTTGCCTGCCACATACCTCTCCCTGCCTGTCACTCACCACAAGCAGCCCCTCACAGGCCAGAGCTCTGCTGTGCAAACAGGTGCCTCAGAGTTCACCCAAAAGATTTTTTAAAAAAACAAAAGACAAAAACTTTCCACTCAGAGCAGGCAAGCTTTACTTTTTTTAAAGTAAGTGTTACTTAACAGAAGGCCTCGTAAAGCTCATAAAACACTGGAACATCTGGTAAACGGTGTCAACTTTACACGTTCTCCAGCACAGGGTACATGACTCTTGTTTCCACTGGCGTAACTCAGGGATGCAGAGCCCCGTGCTGGTGCGTCTCTGGGCTCCCTGCCAGTCCTGATTTTCATAGGATGGTCTCAAGCCAACAGGTCTGTCTCTACTTTCAACCAGCCCAGCAACAGACAACCAACAACCTCAGAGCCCAGATACAAGAGGCAGCAAGGGAGGTGAGAAGAGTGAAACAACCTGAGGACCCAAGGACATGACCCTGCTGTGACGGGCACACACTGCATGCTGGGAGCTGGGGGGAGCAGACTAGGATGTCACATATGATTGGCAGCCTGCCTCTTTTGGGTGCCTTCAGAATAACATGAGAATCTGTGGTTTAAATGTTCATTCATGTATCCTAGATGTTAAACGCACTGCTTTTTGCCCAGGTGGGGTGCCAGGGGTTGGGGAGGGTTACTCAAAAACACTTAAAATCAACATTTCCAAAGTCCTCTGGAAATGAGGTCATGGTTCCATCAGCAGACACGATTTTCTATACCTGTTTTTATATCCTGGCAAGTAAGGATCCCAAAGGCTCCACTGTGAGACTCTGACTTCACCATGAGAAGAAAGCTTCTTTCTTCCCAGCTGGTCTCCTTCCTACCATGTGACTTTGAATCCCAGGGATAGCCACAGGAAAACATCAGAGAGACACTATCAACATTTCGAGACTCTAAGCAAATACCTCAGCGAGCAAACCATCATGTCCCCTTAGGAATCTACTGCATTTAGGGCTCAGGATCATCCCACTCTCCCAAACACAGCAGAGACCTGGTGATACAAGCACCCAAGGGTGAGATGAGGACCTCTAGCTGGAGGGGGACTGACTACGTGTTTCTGGTCAAGTCCCTCAACTGAGCTCCAATGCTTTCATCTGAAAAATTGCTCTGTCTCTCTCCCAGGATTGATGTAAGAATCAGTCGACTTAATACACACAAGTGTGGCTTATAAGGCATTCCACAAATATTACTTATCATTATACACATATAATCACTGACTAGTTTGTCTTTTCTGTAGTCTTCATTAAAAAAAACAAACTCAGTTCTGGCTAATAAAATGTAGCAGAAAGTCTGCTGAAAGGTTTCTGGGAAAAAAATGTTGCTGCTGATGAAATACAATTATGTTAGAGAAAAGAGTTCTCTAGTATACCTCCTTCCCTGTGCTTCCAGTCTTTGAAAGTGGAGCTGCTGCAGCTATTCTGTAACCATGAGGCAACAAGCGTATGGGTGGAAAATCATTATGTTGAGGATGGCAGGGAAGAGGCAAGAAATGGCCTGGAGGCTTGATATCGCTGAACCAATGCCAGCAAATGTCTGCTTTTGGACTTCTTGTTATGTGAAAGAAACAAACCCTACTTAGGCAAGCCACTGTTGATTGGGTTTTCTGTTATTTGCAGCTGAATGCATTGTAAAGGACTTAATTCTTCCTTTATCTGTTCTCACAGGACCTTGTATTTTCCTCTAAAGAACTTATCACAGTCATAATTATTTAAGTATTAGTGTGATTATCTGCTTAATGTCTCTATCAACTAGATTTTAAGTTCTGTGAGGGTAGAAACCACATCTGTCTGGCTCACCATTGAATCCCTAGCTCCTATCTCAGTGTCCAGCATATAGTAGATGCTCAGTAAATACTGGTTGAATGAATGAATGACTGAATAAATGAATAGCACTTATTCTAAATAGACACTAGTCAGTTCACTTCCTATTCTCAGTAGGACTAGTGTGGCAATCTCTCAAATTAGCGTGGAAGTTTTGGCACCATGGAGGGACCTCCCTCTACCATTTCTCTCCAACACTGACTTGAATCAGCTTTTCCATGCCAGTCAAGACACTTTCCCTTATGGAGAATAATGCCCAACACAGACCCCTTAGAAGGACCTCAGTAAATCCCGGCAGAACAGATTTTGCCACCCCCAAGAATCGTTTTCCATAAGATAAGTGCATCCTGCTTTCTAAAAAGACAATTTGAGTTTCTCCCTCTAAACATTAAGCCCTGACCCCAGCTTCAACAGCAGGAAAATACCTCAGTAAGCAATATCCCCCATAGCGTTACCTGATTTTGCTTCAAGAAGAAGGAAGAAAAGTTTCTTAGTGAAAACCCTTCTTTCCTCTACTGCCGCTCCCTGGGCTGTGTGTTGCCACTTCTAGTCTCAGCTGGAACTAGCAACCCAAAAGCAGTCCCAGAAAAGAGAAGGAAAAAGAATTAAATCACACCACCCACGAGGGATCAGGAGTTTACAAAACACTTTCCCCGTGGTTGGCTGCAAACGCAGTGCAGAGGGTGGTCTCTTACCCTCCATTGCCTGTCCCTTGTCCTCCCTGTGCCAGAGGGGTATATATTACCTTTTTCCTTCTGCTAAATGCCAACACACAAACTCCTGGAAACGATCCATCAGCAATTCGGAGAAAGGATCTCCCACGTAAAGCAGGAGGATCCTGAGTTTCAACTTCCTGTCTCCATTCACACTGTACCTTCCAAAAGGAGGGAGACTGGCCCCCTGGAAGCCATAAAGCATAATGGTCAAGAACCAAGATTCCAGACCTGGGAACTCTGCCACTTCCTCATTATATAATCCTGGGCATTTTATCCAATCTCTATAAAAACTCATTCTCTGTTTTGGTAAAATGGGGAAATAAATGAGATAATCCATGTAAAGTGTAAGCTTGCCACATAGCAAGCCTCCAAAAACTTCACATATTTTTATCCAGGTTCAACTCAAATCACACTTACCTATGAAACCATACTCTGGGAGGTTGTTAAATGTCTTCCAAGGCATTTTCTACTGATTGGCCGGTTCCCACCAGCCTTCTGTGTCCTGCCTATGTCTTCTCTGAGTCCATCCACCTTTCCTAGTCTCATTCCCTCTAAAAGAGCTGCTCCAACTTGAGAGATGCCTCCCAAAAGATTGTGGAGCCCATCATGGGGATATCTCAGTTACTGCCTTAGTTGCCCGAATCTTGCTCTCCTGTTCTTAGCCAGCCAAGTTACCTCCCCTCGGTCTGTTTTCATCATCTAAAAATCAAGAATAACCATTTCTACTTTGCAGGATTGTTATAAGGTTTAAAAATTAAGTATTTGTAAAACGCCAGGCACATACTGGGCCCTCAAATCAGGCTTAATGTTCTTATTCATATTATTATTATTCAAGATCCAAGTTAGCATATGCCTAAGTTAAACAGAAAAAGAAGAGAGAAAAAGCAAGAGCAAAAACATTTTTTTCTTTTCTTCAAGCTGAGATGCAAGTTGGCAATCAGCTGGGGTCTGGAAAGGGAGCTGGCCAGCCACCCAGCACGCTGCTGCTTCCCAGGAAGATCCTGCTTTAAAGCTGAAGCCCCACTGGGCAGGGTCCAGCGACGCTTGGTACATGACTGGCACCACCACACAAATACAGAAGACTGTCTGGTTGCAAATGCATTTACAGATTTGGATTAAAAATAAAGTCCCCGGATGGACCCACCAAGCTTATATTTTAGAAGGATTTCTTTCTCTCTCTCTCTGGAAATGTTCTGGACTCCTGAAAATAGAGGTTTATTATGGAAATGCTGACAGACCCTTAAATAGAGCACTGTATTTGCAACACTGTAATTATGCCTCCATTGAAAAGCTCCAAAGAAAACATGATTTCCTTGTGCAAATAAATCATGCATGGCTTTAAAGGCCCAGATTTGGATCATTTGAACCATAAGGAACCATCGTCTTCCATATGTGAATGAATTATAAATAATAATGGCTTTAAAAAAGGCCCATCCCAGGGAAATATGGACCCACTACTATGGCATTTGTAAAACTGGACCCACATCTCACTATTGTCTTATTGCATGAGTAGGCACCAGATTAGCCTTATTATAGCATTGATTTGATTGGCCTAGAAATTGTCCCTGAATAAACAAGACATTCATATCTTCTTCCATTTATGTCCCTCACAGAACTTTCTCCCACACTCTCTTTCTTTCTCTCTTCCACTCTAACATATTTGCTCTGTGTGCCATTCCTCAGCAAGACGATCTGAGGTTAGACCCTGCAAATAACCACATCAACGTGATGCAGTAGCTCAGATGTGTCCAGGGGCTGCAGATCTGTTTGCACCCACAATGGAAGGTGCCACATGCACTTCTCTATGCTCTTGACACATCTCGTGAAGGGTGTGGGGCCACCAATACTTTAGAACTGTATCTTGACAGGCACTGTATGTTTGACATACAACATGTGTCTGCAGCCTCGGCAAAATGTGCTCCAGATTTCATAGCTACTGCCCCGAGCACTGGTTAAGGAGCCATTATGTGAATCTGCAGCAGCTCCAAGCAGTAATCAGAGAAGCAGACCATGGTCTTGGAGGACAAGCTTTATTCTCCCATCCAGATTGTGGTTTGCTTATTTTCAAACAGTTATTGATACTTCCAAATTACAGTCACTAAATGACAGGTTTCATTTAGATGATCATCAAAAACGAAACTAGCAGAGTTGAGGCTACAATTCTTTTTTTCTTAATAGCAAAAGAAAATCTGCATTATAACTATATAGAGCTACATGTGGTTATAAATACTTGATTATACCTACAAAAAATAAGTGTTACATGACATTTGTTTTTTTCAACAACAAAACTGTAGCTGGATTTTTTTCATACATATAATTTTCATATTTGGGGATAAGTAAACTCCTAAGAGGCTTTTTGAATTACAAATGAGAGATTAAATTAGGTTCCTTCTGATTTTCTTATCAAGTCTACTTTATTACATTCTAATTAGTTGAAATTGGGTAACAGAGAGTTGCCTGAATCTGAATGTAACACATATAAACCCAGAGGCCCTGTGGCCCAGGCTTGGTGAAGTGCTATGTTAAAAGCAATTCAACAGAAAAGATAGATAAATGTAATTGAAAGCTATTTAAATCCTTTCTTGTTCTTTTTAGAAAACACCAAATCAGGGGAGGACATATATTTCATATAATAAAATAGTTTTAAAACTCTTGTTATGGACTGAATTGCGTCCTCCTAAAATCCATTTGTTGAAGCCCTAATCCCCAATGTGACTGTATTTAGAAATAGGACCTTTAAAGAGGTAATCAAGGTTAAATGAGGTCATTAGAGTCATTAGAGAGGCAGTCCTAATCCAATATGACTGTAGTCCTTGTAAGACGTGACATCAAGTTACCATGTACAAAGAGTAAAGGCCATGTTGGGAGATAGCCATCTGCAAGCCAAGGAGAGAGGCTTCAGGAGAAACCAATCCTCCCAACATCTTGATCTTGGACTTCCAGCCTCCGGAAGTGTGAGAAAGTAAGTTTCTGCTGTTTAAGCTACCTGCTCTGCAGCATTTTGTTATGACAATCCCAGCAGACTAATCCAACCCTCTTTAGATATCTTTCATGGTTATTCTCTTACACTTATCAGTGGCTCCCCCTAAAAATCTATTTACTCCTTCCCTCTCTATGGCTCTCACACTCTCCTGAAAGCCCACTTCATGCCTGCTTTCATTTTTCTCTCCCTGCTCCCCTCTTTGGCTCAGCTCTTTATTACGTGTGTCGACTGGGCCTCTCTAGTAATTTGAGATATTTTTCTTCCTCTTTTCTTCTTTTCATCTTATCTTAACCAATGTAAGAGATATTGAAAAATTAAAGGCCTTGCTTCAAAGGGGAGGTGGGGAGACAGGCTATAAGTATGTATTACAACCTGTTGTCCTTATTACACACTTCAAAATTATAATACAGAAGCAAATGGGACAAGAAAGAAATGGATGAAGGTTCAGAAAGACAGAGATACAAAGCCAGGTGCAGTGGCTTACACCTGTAATCCCAGCACTTTGAGAGGCTGAGGCAGGGGGGTCACTTGAGGCCAGGAGCTTGAGACCAGCCTGGCCAACATGGTGAAACCCCGTCTCTACTAAAAAATAGAAAAATTAGCCAAGTGTGGTGGTGCATGCTTGTAATCAGCTACTTGGTAGACTGAGGCAGGAGAATCACTTGAACTCAGGAGGTGGAGATTGCAGTGAGCCAAGATGGTGCCACTGCACTCCAGCCTGGGCAACAGAGTGAGACTCCATCTCAAAAAAAAGGACAGAGATACAAACAGCAGCACTGCCGACATGATGCCAGAAGTGCAGTAGGAAAGGCCAATTCTCTAGTTATTTAAAAAAAAAAAATGAGAATCTAAATGTTTGACCACAGTCATGCATTGCTTAACAGGATAAGTTCTGAGAAATGTGTCCTTAGGCAATTTTGTCATCGTGTGAACATCGTAGAATATACTTACACAACCTACATGGGCAAGCCTACTATATACCTAAGCTATATGGTATGACCTATGTTCCCAGGCTACAGACCTGGGCAGCATGTTATGGTACTGAATACTGTAGGCAATTACAACACAATGGTAAGCACTTGTGCATCTAAACAAATCTAAGCATAGAAAAGGCACAGTAAAAATACAGTATAATAGAGAAAAAAATAGTACACCTGTATAGAGCAGCTCTATTATAATCTTAGGGAACCACAATTGTATATGTGGTCCACCGCTGATGGTAATTTATAACAATGCATGTCTGTAATATGTTTGCCACCCTGAAAAGTTGGCTAAAAGCTTTGACATCCTGTCCACCTGGTCAGAAATGAATGTGAAGGTAAACAAGAAATGGTGTGTTCAATTCTCAGCAGGCTCTCCTCTAGGGGAAAGCAGACAGCTAAGTAAACCTCATTTGGCCTAAGAGAAGAGAAAGGAGGGAGAAAGGGAAACCGGAAATCCTCCACAGAACAAGTACAATTTTATGAGCATCAGTAGAAGAACTGATTTTTGTTTTGGAATGGGCTTGTTTATAGTTGACAAGCAAAATATTTAGAAATGTAACGGGAGGAAAAGGTCACCACCAACTCCAACAAATTCTACTATTAGTCAGCAAAATGCCACCAGTCTGGATTCAGGCATCTGTGTACAATTATAACAGCATTCACAATGCACTCTTCACCTTCAAAGCCCTTTCCCCAGCATTAACGAATGAATTCTCACAACGGCCTTGTCAGGGAGGTGGGATTATATCTGTGTGGGAGAGAGAGAGGCTGGGGTGGCCCAAAGAGGTTCTCTTTTCCCTAAGCCTGAGAGAGATACATCCTGGAGATGCAAATTCTTGGCAGCCTCTGGTCAGCTAGGGCCCTCGCAGGTCTCCAAGGGCTGTAGATCTCCTGGCTTCCCCTGAGTGCAGGAGCCATCCAGAGAGGAGGTCACCAGCTTTACTGCTGCCAACCACCAAGAAGTGAAAGACATACCTCCCTCTCTCAGGGGTGATGAAAGCTCATTTCTGTATCCAAACAGGCATCTCTCCTCCAACCATTAGTTTTCCGAGCTCTCTTGCCACATATGCTGGCTTTGTCCTGGGTTGACTTAGCTAAACTGTAACTAGAATTCTCAGAATTCTCTTCCTTGTACAGTTCTAAGTTAGGGTTGGCTACAAGAGACTTTAGAGTGGGATCTGGGAGGTGAAAGTGAATTAGCCTCCATTATGCTGGGAAGGAGGTATGGGGCTCCAGGCATCTTTTTAGCTTAAATTGCTGCTACAGGTACACTGCCCATCTGCTGGAAGACAGCAGAGCTGGTCCTGTGGCTCTTTCAGATCCTACAAGATTTCTTCCTTCAGCTCCTCTGGGTCCTGAACCAGGCATGTGCCCAGTTCTATGGAGAAGGACACCTGCTTCTGCAAACCAACTGCTTTGTCAAGGTGGTGAGTGCTATGGTCTGAATGTTGGTGTCTCCTGACAAATTCATAGGTTGAAAGTTAATCTTCGATGTGATGGTGGGAAGAGGAGAGGCCTGTGGGGAAGTGCTTATGTCCTCACAAATATAATTAGTGCCCTTATTAAAAAGATTAAAGGGAGCACATGAGGACACAACTAGAAGGCACTACCCATGAAGCAGAACACAAGCCCTCACCAGACACCAAACCTACTGGTGTCTTGATCTGGAGTGTCCCAGCCTCCAGAACTGAAAGAAATACATTTCTGTTGTTTATAAATTACCCAACATAAGATGTTTTGTTAGAGCAGCTTGAATGGACTAAAGCAACGAGTGACACATGTGAATTCCAGTTTGTCTTCAAGGCTTCATGCTGGCGCATTCCAGTTTATCCTTGGCCATTCCCACTTCATATCCAACCTTTTCTTTCCAACTGATGATCCTATGGACTTGCAATGGCCGCAGGCCCATCACCAGACGAGGCAACAGCCTTCTATCGACTTCCTCACCAGCTTCCAAAACTGTGTAAAACATAATCCCTACAGAAAAGCCCTCATTCACCTTGTCCCTCATAGTGGTTCAGCTTTCTTGATCAAATTCTAACTGACACAGGGCATTTGACTACTTATGTGATCACAGGATCTCCAAACAGAATGGGTCCCCAACCAGGAGTCTACCCCGTGGAAGCCTACAAGGCATGTAAAATGGCATCCGTGGTTTCAGTGAGCCTCTCAGTTTCCCCCATTTCTCTCCTATAGATCTGCTTGGCCTCATTTCCTGTGAACTAGGACTTAGCAGACCCATGAATCTGAATTCTAACCCAACAGCACATGTCCAGTCCTCTCTTATCCCTCCTGCTCACCTCCATCCCACTGGTGAGGGCAAATGAAGAAGCAAAGACTGGACAAACAAAGTTCACCCAGCCTGTCCCCTTACTGGTCAAGTGTTTATTTAATGAGGAGCTGCCTAAAAGGTGTTCCATTCATGTAAGTTTCAGTCTTAAGTGTGAGGCTAGTTTGGGGATTTAGTGGCTTCAGTAAGAAATCTGAATATTTTCCAAGGCCAAATATGGAAGAAAGAGGAGAATAGTTCAGTATAACCTTCCCAAGGGGCCACCATTTATCCAAGCAGAGTGCACCCATGTTCCCTCAACTTCACACCGTACAGGAGAGTCAGCAGGAGTGTTGGGGATGGATGAGTGGATGCTGTGCTGGACATCTGCAAACAAGCTCTAAGATCCAGACTCTGCCATTTCCCGGCTCTTCTCTATATTCAAAGAAGGATGACCTCTATAAACTACCAAGGTTCCCCACTGCTTCCTGCTTGGTTTGGCAAATGACAAATATGGGCAGATATTTGAGAATGGGCAGAAAAGAGAAGCCAGGTTTTCACACCCCTCCCCTACTAGGGGCTGAGACTTCTCTATCAAGACACTACCAGTTGGATTCCCCCCAGAACCAGCTTTCAGCAGGTAGCTCAGGCTCTTGGCTCAGGTAATACCTTTGTTCCTCCAGCCCTAGGGAAAATAGGAGTTTTCAGCAATTGCTAATCTTGGGGTTGCCTTGCCTTACCCTGGTTGCTCTTTCAACTCTTCTAAAAACCTTTGTAACTAATTTCCCATATTAAATTTCCTCTATTAAATTATTCTGCATGGGTTTTGTTTTTTCTGGAGAGACACTGGCTGATACATATGCTTTCAACTCTAGGAATTAGAATTTGCCAAAACTGATGCCCTTCCAAGATTTTTAAGTTCCCTAGGCTAGCATCATTTTTTTCCATTGCTTGTAGACAACAATACACAAAGTGTTGCTGAAGAGGAAAATTGAATGGTAATTCTGCACCCAGTCTTTGTGTGGAGGGTGGGGGTAGAAGACAAGGAAAATTGACTCAGGTTTTCCCCCTAACTCAGTAAAAGTAGGTAGATACTAGAGGGGTTTCTCATGTCATAGTAATGGGTTTCTACTCATCCTTTCCACACTGTCTTACCCAAATTTCACTTCTTTCATATATTCACCAGCATATATTAAGCATCTGCTAAGCCTGGGGATATGAAATGGACAAAATACTATTGACATCAAGGAACTTCTAGTCTAGTGGACAAGTGTGATCATGTGCATGTCCTTTCTAGGATCAGCCCTTGCCATTAGAACCTGTAGTACTGACGTAGAATTATCCATTCCAATCAAAACAGCCAGATAATTCCTCACAGACCAGAATCTTTCCAGCAGCTTCAATAGAGGTATTCACAAACAAAAGCACATCCCTTCAAAGTCATCCTCACAGCAATCCTCATCACTAGGGTCCCTCATATAAGAAGGCAACAACATGCACTCCCACAAAGGAGACCATATTCTCCCTCTTCAAGTTCAGATCCCAGTCTCTTCCAGATTTGGACATTCTGGTCATTCATATCATTGCCATGTGTGATCTGACCACATATTAGTCCAATCTACTAAATCTTCAAGGGTTGTCTTGGCCTACATGTTCAGAAGATCTCTTTATCTTCCCTTTTCCTACTCCAAGCAAGACACTGACCCTGCTACTCTTCAAGGGTTCTTCAGATCATGCTTCCACCTCTTCCTTCTTAATCAGTTTTGTATCTTTCCTCAGCACTTGGTAGGTTCTGGCAAGTAGAAGGCATTCAGTGTTCATTGAATGAATGAATGTATAGATGCAAGGATGGTGAATTTGGAGGAAGAAGCAATCAATGATGTGTTAACTAAGGGTTGTCTACAAAGCACTGGTTTGAAATCTTGCTTTAAGTGCAGTACCATGCTCATCCGTGATCATCATTGGAGTCATACGCCAAAAATAAGACTTTCAAGGAATAATACTGAAGCCTCATCCCCAGGCACAGACCAGCACCCGTGTGTACAGAGGAAGGCTGGCTGCTATACCTGGACCTGCAAGAGTAGTTTTGTCCCAAGATTCAGCCAGTATTAGAAAATTAAGATTTCTAAGGAAATGTTTAAGCCATCCATTTGCCAGAGTCCCCCCACGAAGTTGGCTCAGTATGGATCCAATATTTTAAAATCCTCCACTGGCATTTCCAGTTGCAGAAAATGTGGATCATAACAAATTGCAGCAGACAGCTTCTTCATTTTCCTTTGCGGGAGCGGCCTGCAAACCCAACACCCACAGGCAAAGTCCTATGCAGTGTCAGTTAGAGACCACAGGAGAGTGTCTGTTAGTGGCTGTAAGACTTTCCCTCTTCCCAGACCTCAAACCTTAGAATCTGGCTCATTAAAGATAGACAGTAGGCTCCCCTGAGCCCCAGACCTCTCCCTAGCCTACTAGAAATAACCAAGAAGCCAGAGGTGACTCAGCTCCTACTTAGACCCAGACTGACTTTTCTACCAGCCAGTGCTGTTGTTTCAAGGTCCAGTCTTGACAGGAGCCACCCACACCCCAACCTATGAGTAGCTCTTCCCCAGGAAAAAAAACAAAACAAAACATGAACCAATAGAAACCCTGAAGATTAGGTAGCAGATTTGCAATGACTTGGGCGCCATGTAGAATTAACACAGAATGCCTCATGCCATAAGATGAAGTCACAGCACCCAAAGATGAGCCAAAGGATGGCCTCCATGTCTCCCTACATTGCTGAGGCGAGTGGCAAAGGCCTGCCCACTCTCTGCCTTCTGGGCAGGAAGTCTTACATGGCTCTTGCATTCCATCCAAAAGACAAAAGACGGGGTGGATTTCTCTGAACCCTCGCCAGGTCACACTGAGGTGGGTGTTGGGTCTTTTGAAACTGTCAGAATGAGTATGCTTCTGATTATGGGGTTCCCAAGACTCTGAGCCAGCTTTTTTTTTGTAAGCACATACATTTTCTTTCTGGACCACAGCCACGTTGCTCTGGCTAAGTTAATCCCCACAAGTAGTCACAGTGCTTCCCAGGGCATCCAGGGAGTTGCTTGTTTTAGGGAAATCCTGTTAGTTTGAACTCTGTTCAAGAATGTGCCCAGTGTGCTTCAGCCCAGGAGCAAAGTGGATTTGGCCTGGAGAGTTAAAAGCACTTGGGTCCTTGGGGGTAGGGGACAGAAATGATCTGTGAGCCTGTAAGCCTGGAGGAAGAGTATGCAGATCCAAGGGTCAGCTAACTCAGCCCTGCAATGTTCTGACCTACAAACTTGAAGATTAACTGGCTACTGGAAGATTCTCTGCATGCCCCGATTAGCGAAGGGTCAGTTTACGTTGATGTGATGAGGGCAATTGTGAAGCAGGATTGTCCTGGTCACTCCACCTCTTGTTTTAGGGCCTTCCTCTTCCAGTAGGTTCTCTGGGCTCTTGTCTGTCTAAAAGACCCACGACTTCTCAACACAGTGCCTTTGCTGGTAAGGAAATATGCTGCTCTTTCCAGATGATTACCTCTAATTTTCTCTACTCATCAAAGCTTGCCTGTCCTGTGTGTCTACACTGATAATAGGAGATGATTACTCCCTGTTACTGTGTTTTCCAGGATAATCCTTAAAAATAACTGGAGCAGGCCACTTTCTATATGCTGGGAATTTAAAAGAGCCTCTTACATCCCAAAAACTCTCCACCTCTGACTCAAGGCCACTTCGAGGTTTACCATCAAGAGTGACTCATTTGGCTTAAAGTTTTTGTTGTATGTCAAAAAGCAAATCGAAGAGGCAGTATAATCTAGAGCACAGAACATGAGACTGAGAATCAGGGGCCTCAGTCCTCCTACTGGTTCTGTCGTAGCTAGCTGTGTGATCTCAGGCAGTCACTTCAGCTCTCTGGTCCCTAATGTGCCAGGCTTCCCCAAAGGTCAGAGCAATGGCAATTTACTGAATCAATCCAGTGACACAGCCCCAAAGACTGCCTGTAGAGGGTACTTCTAAATAGTCGGTGATCAGATATGTTCCTGCCATAGACTAGCCTGCTCACGAGTTGTGACCTTATGATCACTCATATGTGTGCACTCATCAGATTCCCTCCTGAGATTGGGTTTTATTTTGTTGGCAGAAGAAGAGAGAAAAAAAGAAAAAGGGAGGGAGGGAAACAGAGACAAAATGAGCCAGAACATAAAAGGTGCCATCCAGAAAAGGGAAAGAAAGTAGAAAGGGAAGGCAAAGGCAGTGGCGCTGAGGAGAAAATGGGCCTTCTTGTAAAACATACTTCCCTTTCTTACAAACCCAGCTAAGATATACACAGCACCCGTGGCCCAGTAGCTAATCAAGCTAACGGAGAATGTTTCAAATTTAAATCCAGACTCTACCTCTCATTCTAGGAAAGTTATCTAGCCTTTCTAGGCCTTGATTTCCTACTCTATAAAAGGAAGTGAATATTAGAACCTACCTCAGTGGGTTACTTGGAGGACTAAAAGGAATAAAGCATGTTAAGCTCTGCCCTAATAGTGCAGAACTTTTCCCCACTAAAGACTCACTCTATGTAGGCTATTTTTATTATTAGGGAGGAACACAGATTACCTGAACTCTGGAGGTGTCTACAGGAGGAAGTATTCTTCAAATAGGAAGACAAGAATGATGCAGGTTGCCAGGCTTCTGAAGTCACAGCATGTAAAATGGGAAAATTAGCTCTGCTGAATGAGCTACACTAAGGAAATGCCTAAGGCCTCCTTATAAACCCAGGTAATCCATAGACACCAAGCTATTAGTGCTCAGAGTGCATCCCCGGCCAAACGCCTGGTCAAACATCATAGTTGGTTGGTGCAAAAGTAATTGCGGTTTTTGCCATTAAAAGTAATGTCGAAAACCACAATTACTTTTGCACCATCCTAATAGCATGGGACTGAACCTACATGTGTGATATGTTCCCTATGATGCATTTTAAAATTTGATGGTTCATCACCAATGGTAATTTTTTGTTAAGAATGGATAGGCTGGGCATGGTGGCTCACACCAGTAATCCCAGCACTTTGGGAGGCTGAGGTGGGTGCATCACTTGAGGTCAGGAGTTCCAGACCAGCCTGACCAACATGGTGAAACCCCTTCTCTACTAAAAATACAAAAATTAGCCAGGTGAGGTGTTGGGCACCTTTAATCCCAGCTACTGGGGAGGCTGAGGCAGGAGAATCGCTTGAACCTGGGAGATGGAGGTTGCAGTGAGCCAGATGGTGCCACTGCACTCCAGCCTGAGCGACACAGCAAGACTCCATCTCAAAAAAAAAAAAAAAAAAAAGAACAGATAGATCAAAGATCAAAGTTAAAGTATCATCTAGAATAAGGTCAGCTGAAGCCTGAGGATACAGCTATGCTCAGAGGGAATGAGTGAGGATGGAGGATGGGTTGAGTGGGTGGGTTTTCTTCTTAAGCCATAACTTGAGATTCTTATCACAATGATAATGATGGGGGCTCTCAGCTAGGGCAACTTACTAAACTACTAGGGCTTAAAGAAGTTTGTGTGAAAGAAAAATGATCTAACAAAACATGTTTTTTGAATTATTCCATAGAGTTCTTTTCTGAAGAATTAATTTTAAAAAATCCGAAGTCCTTACAATGGCTTAAATGTTCTATATGATCTAACCCCTTCTGTGACCTCATCTCCTGACACTCTTCCCCTGCTCCTCCTCAATCACTGCCAAGCTCACACTCTCTTTAACTTGCCTTATCCTGTTTCCAGAAAATTCTCCCCAGATATCCACATGGCTTGCCCTTTCACTTCATTTAGGTCTCTGTCCAAATGTCACCTCATCTGAGAACCCTTCTTAACCATACTATTCACAAGAAAACCCTAACAATCTTTTCCTTTTACCGTGTTTTATTTTCTTCATAGCACATAGTACCATCTGAAACTCTAATAATAGCACTTGCATACTAATAATGGCACTTTGGTACCACCTTACATCCTGATGCACTTAGTACCACATAGCACTTAGTACCACCTTACATGCTAATAATAGCAGTTAGTACCACCTTATATGTGTTGACACATCTAGTACCACATAGCATTTAGTACCATGTGCTGATTGGGGACATTTTAAATTTTCTTATGTTCATCTTAGTATCCATATACTAAGTGCCTGGTACATGGTAGAGACCCAAAAACTATTTCTTGAATTAATGAATGAATGACATTGTTGAGTGGATGGATGAATGAATGAGTGGGGATGCAGTTAAGTGGCACAACCATTAAGCTAATGTTGGCTCCAGAATGTGACTCTCTTAGAGAAAGCTGTGTGGTAGTAATCCTACATGTTTTGTTTTATGAAAGAAAGTATAAAATAGAAGATTTGCCCATGACTTTAATCCATTTTGTATTCCTATTTGGTTCTAAAAACATAAATCCCCCTTTCAATTCATTGCTTTGTGTAGAAGAGCCCTGGATCCATTTGAGAAGAGCTGGATTCAATCCTGATTCAGTCATTTCCAGGTACATGATCTTGGATGAGACATGTGACTGGCCTGAATCTGAATTTCCTCATTGGTAAAATGAAGCTAAAATAACTTCTTTCTCAAAGGCTGTTGAGAATTAAATGACATGCTATATACAAAGGCACTTGGAATTGTAAAATATGATGTAAATGTGGATGGTAGACGGTAATGCTTTCTCACAAAATATGGAAAGTGTTCTCCTTTTGAAAAGTAGATACTTGATGAATTAGAAGGAAGTAGAGACTGCAGTCAGGACTATCTCTAGAGCATTATTTTTTGAAACTGTGGGACTTTACCTCTTAGTGGGTCATAAAATCAATTTGATTTAAAACCAATTATTTTTGGCCGGGTGCAGTGGCTCACGCCTATAATCCCAGCACTTTGGGAGGCCGAGGCAGGCGGATCACGAGTTCAGGGGATCAAGACCATCCTGGCCAACATGGCGAAACCCTGTCTCTACTAAAATACAAAAAAAATTAGCCAGGCATGGTGGCATGTGCCTGTAGTCCCAGCTACTTGGGAGGCTGAGGCAGGGGAATCGCTTGAACCCAGGAGGTGGAGGTTGCAGTGAGCTGAGATCATGCCACTGCACTCCAGCCTGGGCAACAGAGCAAGACTCCATCTGAAAAAAAAAAAACACAAAAAACACTATTTTTTTGCAGTAAGTGAGAAAAGAATAGAAAACATCAAGATATTTCATAAAATCTTTAATGTTGTGGATGCGTTTCTAATGTCATAATTTAGTAATGAAGTAAATTTGTCACTGTGGATCATGGTTAAAAGGTTTGAAAACTACTACTTCAAAAGAATCTATTATTACAGTGTTAATTTTGGTCACCAAAGCCTGAACTAGATTGGAAGTATGAGAAAATACTCACACCATTTTTCCACTGCTCTCACTCCACAATGATCAACACAGAAGACTTCTGTGACCAAATGCATGAGGATTTTTCTTCACATACCAAGCAAGCCATCAATTTTGCAGTGGACAGTGGCTGGGTGTCCTCTAATTTAATTCAGTTCTGACACTATCTATCTGGAGATAGCATCAGATCCCATACGTTGAGGACTCAGTCCCATAAGACTGTCCACCTTTCAGATGCCTGTTGCAAATTCAGGCCTCTGGAACTTCTGATCGACTGACTTCAAGTTGGAGTTCCCGTGACTCCCAGTTTTGGCTTGATTAGTTTGCTAGAGTGGCTCACAGAACTCAGTGAAACACTTACATTTACTGGTTTATTATAAAGGATATTACAAAGGATACAGATGAAGAAATGTGTACTGCAAGGTATGAGGGACATGGAGCTTCCATGCCCTCCCTGAGCATGCCACCATTCAGGGACTTCCACATGTTCCAATATCCCAGAAGCTCCCCAAACCTTGTCCTTTTGGGTTTTTATAAAGGCTTCATTGTACAGGCATGATTGATCAAACCATTGGCCACTGGTGATCAACTTCACCTTCAACCCCTCTCCCCGGAGGTGTGGGGGTTGGGCTGGTCACCAGAAAGACCAAGGGTCCCAACCCTCTAATCATGCCTTTGTCTTTCTGGTGACCAGCCCCCATCCTCAAGCTAACTAGGGGTTGCCAGCTATTGGTCAATCATTAGCATACAAAGATTTATCGCTTTAGAGATGCTAAGGATTTTAGGAGTTTTATGCCAGGAAACGGTAGAAGACTAAATATATATTTCACAATATCACAATGAAAGAAAGAAGAACAATAATAACTATTATTATTAGCTCATATTATTATTATTATATAATCATCATAATAAGTCTATGTGGTAAGTTGTCTCTTACCCTAGTTTTTAAGAGGGTTAAAACAGGTCCAAGGTCACACAGCAAATAAGTAGCAGAGCCTGGTTCCAACCCAACTTTTATTTTTTGTTTCTCTCTCTACTCCAGATCCTACAGTCCTATCACTAGACTATCTGCTTCACCTCTGAAAGAATTGAAGAAGGTGGGAAGCCAAGGAAAGAAAAGGTCAATATTGACATCAAGGCTTCAGTGCTGAGTAACTGAAAGAATCCCTGTACAAATGTCCAAAGTGGGCACATCAGCAGAGTGAGTTGGTTTGAGCAGGGGAATGGGAAAAACCTGAATTTAAAATGATGGATTGACACCCAACTATCTAATTTTCAAGTCAAAAGAGAACCTCAAGCCCTTGGTAGACATCACTGGCATTTCAGAAGACCCAAAACCCCTCTGGGTTTGTGTATCTTGGGATCAGAACCAACACTTGTGTAAAGGAGCACTTTCTACACCCCAGAGTGGCTGCAAGTGCTTGTGAACGGCAGCGCCCACCTCAGCATGGCGCCAACATCCTAGTAACACATTTGGTTTGTGAAGGCCATCAGCCCTTCCCTGTTTGCACACCTTCTTGCCTCCTCCAAATTGTAGTCTTCCACTCAGAGGTCAAAGAACATGCTAAAAAGTCATTTCCTGTTTTGCAGCTGCAGTCTCTGAAGGCCTCTCAAATCTCCTCCAACCCTGTCCCTTGCCAGGTTGAAAAGAATGCAGTGAACCCATCACTTGCCTTTATAATCAGATCTTCTACATAGCTCATCTAAATTTCTCTCATGACAATGTGAGCCCCAGTGCTTTCAGAAGTTGTGGGCACCAGATGGGCTGTGGCCTTCTGAGTAAGCGCTGACCAAGGGCAACCACAGGCTAACCATCTGAACTGAAAGTTAATCTTATGAGAACAGTGAACATTAAGGCTTACATGTCAGTGAGGAGTTAACAACATGGCAAAAACACATTACACATTATTACACCGACACTGGTGTGAAGAGACTTAAGCTGTGGGTTCTGGAGTCAGAAAAATAAACAACAAGAACAAAATATGTAAATGGCTGAGCTGTCAACCTAGGCTGCTCTGTAACATTTATGATTAGTCTTTATGGTAGGTCGATTTGTGGTCCCCGGAAAGATATCCATGCCCTACTTCCAAGAACCTGTGGATGTTACCTTAAATGGCAAAAAATAACTGCAAATCTTAAGGATTCTTGAGATGGGGAGATTATCCTGCATTACCTGGGTGGGCCCTGCGTGTAATCACACGTCCCTAAGTATAATCACACATGTCCTGTAAGACAGAGGCAGAAGAGATTTGACACACACAGAAGAGAAGAAGGCGATGTGATCGCAGAGGCAGAGACGGGAATGATGTGGTCAAAGCCAAAGAATGACAGCAGCCACCCGGAGCTGGAAGAGACAAGGAACAGATTCTCCCCGGGAGCCTCCGGAGAGCGTGTGGTTATGCTGACACCTGGATTTCAGCAGAGGGATGCTGATGTCAGACTTCTGGCCTCCAAAACTATGAGGAATACATTTCTACTGTTCAAGCCACTGTTTGTGTAATTCGTTATGGCAGCCATAGGAAACTAATACAGTCTGGAACATAGAGATGTGAAAATGCCAAGCACAATAATGGTATTAGCAGATACAAATAAACAAACAGCGCTGGTAATCAAGCCCAATGTTCTTCTCTGTAGGCATTTACCCCAGAGGGCATCTGAGATGAAGAAATGTTTGTTTCTTCCCTGCATGCCTTTCTTCATCTCTGTCCTCCTTCATATGCCTTCTATTTTCTCATCCCCCTTTAAAAAAAAATCTAGTATGTAAGGCATAGAAAAAGGAGCACCAGCTTTGGAGCCTCACTTCAAATTCCACTACTGCCTATTCACTGAGAAAACTTAGGCTAGTCCTGTGACCTCTCTCAGTTTTCCCGTCTGCAAGTGGGGACAATGCCACCTACTTTTTAGGGTTTTTGTGAAAAGCAAAGGAGATAAACCATGTAAATCTTGATACAGTCGGTTTATATCATGTACTCATTTACCTTGCAAATTGAACTTTCCATATTTGTTGGGGGCATTGGAGAGAAAATTAGAGAAAAATAGAATTAGCAAAATAAATAAGCAGTGCTGGTAATTAAGCCCAGTGTTTGTCTCTATAGGCATTTACCCCAGAGGACATATAAGATGAATAATATAATCTACTGTTTCATCTGTGACTTCAGGCCTCAGGTGCTTCTGCTGAGTGCAAGTCCAACATTCAAAGATATATTTCTCATATAGCATGGTTTCTAAACACAAGACAACTTTTTCATCTGATACTTTACATGGTGCCTTCTATGGTATTTTTGCCAATAATTTTAGCATGCGTGGTGTGCACTGCATAGCTGACTGCAGAAGGTGGACCCAGGCACAATGCGGCTCCACTGTAGTGCCTGGTCATTATCCTTCTGCACAGGTATGCCCTGAGCTTACCCAAACCCCTCATTCCCACACTGAGCTAACTCTTACCAAGCTCCCACAAGCACCAAAGGCTACTGGCCTACTGGTCTTTCAGCAGCCATGGAGCTCTGGAACAATTATCCTGCTTGTATCTTATCTTCAGTCCATAAATTTAATGCAAGTTGCAAAGGTGCCACCAAGGGGCCTAATGATCCCCAAAAGTTTGGGAAATGTAGAAAGCACTAAAAATTCATGAGATCCATCAAATACCAAGTTATCTCAATAACTTTCTGGCCCTCAGCAATTTCCTCAAAAAAAAAAAAAATGACCTGCATATTTAGAGAACAGTGGTCTTCCTACAGTGTTCTCCCACCACTTCAAAAGTGATTTTTAAAATTGCGGCAGAACTTATTGCTAAACAGCCACATCCACATCCAACAGCTTTTTGGGAGGTTATAAAACAAACAGGCAGCTCTTTTGGAGTCATAACATAGCAAAAACCTAGTCATACCACTGAAAAGAGGAAACCTGAAATTTGCCCTACCAGTCTTAAAATGGGAATCTCTCAGGGAAAAGAAAAAGGGGAGGGGGAAGCTTTCTGGCTTCTTTAAATATCTTCCTGTATTTAATTTCACAGAAAACCAAGCTTCTGGCCCTACCATGCCTTCAGCCTTCTCATTACCTCCAGCAATTTACATTGCATCTTTTTTGAACTCTGAGTTCCCGGACAGAGTTGAATGTGGTGTGGCAAATTAGTGAATCATAAAAATTAGAGCTGGAAAAGGCTTCTGGGGTCATAGGGTTATCCTCTGCCAATTCTAGATGGTTCTCTGTGGTTTATTCCTGAGTGCTTTGTTCAAACTGGTTTTAAGTCAACAATACATCTCACAGGGAGGGGAGAAAGCGAATAATAACAAAAAAGTCTGTTGCCCTTCCGTTTCCCTAGCCAGCCCAATCCAGGAGAGGGAAGCCTAGGGCCACTGACTGGAGAAAGAGGGATGAATCATGGGATATGAGGGCTGGAAGGGACTTCAGAAGGTATCTAGTCCAACATTAAATTTTACAAAGAAGGAAGGGAGGTTCAGGGAGTTTAATGCACAGTGCCACAAGGATTACTTGAGACCTATGTCAATGAAAGCAGGGCCTGGCACATCAAAGGAACTTGACAAATATTGGTTCCATTTCCCTCATCAGATCATCTTCTGCCTTTGTATTGGAGTTTGTTGTTTACACACATTAAATGATATCTTGTGAATTCCTTGAGGGTGGGGACTCTATTTTATTTATGTCTCCCACAGCACCTAGATCTGTGCCTTGCATAGAAAGAATGGCTCAGGAGATGCTAGTCATGTTGAATTATGTTTCAACAAAAATGGTCTCTATTCCTTACACAGATCTCACTAGCTTATATCCATGTTTGTGCTTGCCCCCATCTCCCAGATCTTGGAATAATGGCTGTACATTACAGGAAGTGGGGTTTAGGGTCAACGTGAGCAGGACCTTCCATGGACTACACCTGAAAGGAATTGGGCTGCCACGGCAGGTATCAGGCAGAGCTGAACACTTGGGCAGAGACAAAAAGGAGGGGACATGGGCATCCAAATTAGGTTAGAGTATTGACCTCTGAGGTCCCATTCCACCTTCAAGTTTTTAGACCCTGTGATATAAAAGAGCTTTATTTCCAAATGCACATAAGGTTTCAACTAGTTGAATCCCTTAAAAGTCAAAGCCCTCTCAAGACAGATCCCCACAGTCTCTCACCCTTATAAATCAAAGACATCAAAATATGACTCCAACTGTGAGCAAGGGGTAAGAAGGGTCCCCAAAGTTTTCTCCCAAATGCACCTCTTGATCTAGCTTAGAGACTTCAAAAGTTATCCTCTTAATACACTTTTTAAAACCTCATTTAACATAGTCAAAAGTGGAATTAGTTCTGTGAGTTAGTTTGGCAGAGAGACGAAATCACATCAAATCCATATTCATTATAGACATCCCAAATGTCAACTATGAGGATGGATGGGAGCTCTTGTGTAGGAGGAAGAGTAGCTCAAGAGAAACACTCCAGGGTTTACAGAGATCTGCCTTTTGCCTTCCTGTTTCACCTCCTTTTAATTGATTCATCCCCAAACACTGGAAGACTCATCCATTCCAACCAAAACTCTTTCATTCTTAATACCTCTCTTCCTACTTTTAGCACTAGCCAGTTATGTCTAAATGTGCCCTTGAAGACATTTGAAAATTCTTATATGTTGTTTTAAATTTTAACTTTTTTAAAACAGGGAGTGTCATTGTAGAAAAATTAGAAAATGCAGGTAAGCAAAAGAAAACCCTCACCTTCTAGAGAGAATTCTATGAATATCTAACATGTAAGTTTTCAAGCCTTCTTTCTCCTCCTATCCTCTAGAACAATGGGAAAGAGGGTAGTTAGAGAATAACTGTATAACCTAGACCAGTGGTCCCCAACCTTTTTGGCACCAGGGACCAGTTTCATGGACAACAATTTTTCCACAGACAGAGCTGAGTGGGGAGCATGAGATTCTCATAAAGAGCGCACAACCTACATCCCTCACATGGGCAGTTCACAATAGGGTTCGGGATCCTATGAGAATCTAATGCTGACAGTAATCCAACAGGAGGTGGAGCTCAGGCAGGGATGCTCACTCACCTCCTGCTGTGCAGCCTGGTTCCTAACAGGCCATGACCAATACTGGTCCGTGGCCCAGGGCTTAGGGATTCATGACCTAGACCACACTGAGAGTCGGCTGTACCTGCTAGCTCTTGACTTCACTCTTGAACTCTGAATGTGGAATAGTCCAGAGTAGAGGTGAATGGAAAAAAAAACTACAGGAACAATGCAGGCTGTTTTACACAAAAGCATCCTCTTGTGAGTGGGGACAGGGAAAAGGGACAGGGATAGGATTTATTCAGACTTTCAATCACTGTAATCATAACAACCATTTATTCAACATTTATAATGTGTCAGGCATCCCTCATCTCAATGAGTTCACACCTCCTGGAGCTTTCCTAGGGGTGTGCTGGTGAAGGGTTAGCATCTGGCAAATCTTGGATGAAAGCCCTGGCTTTTAGCATTTACCATTTCCTGTGGTGTAAATACCCCTACCAATTTCAAGCTATGACACCAAGTCGGGAAGAGATGCTCAAGAGTATGAAATCATATAGTATTTCCACCATTCAGATGGAATAGCCATCAATAACCTCAAAAGCATAGATAATAGTGAAATGCAGTAACAGAATTTGGATATGGTGAGTTTTGAATATTTTGTATGTTTTCAATATAATTTGTTCAGTGGAAAGTTTGTATAACTTAATTCTTATTAATGTCTGTATTTAACAACTGGCTTGCAAAATTCCTGAAAAGTTTAAGCTTTTGTGGAGCCAGCATCAGCCAACTCCATTGCACCACTGAGCCCTCCTCATCACCTCTTACTCATCTTGCTGTGTAAATACAACCTGACTCATGAGCTTTTGTTTTACCTGAACTTAGGTTTTGTTTTTATGTTTTTGTTTTCCTTTTTGTAGAGAACCGAGTCTCACTATATTGCCCAGGCAGGTCTCGAACTCCTGGGCTCAAGCTATCCTCTGCCTCCCTAAGAGCTGGGATTACAGGCCTGAGCCACCATGCCCAGCAGATTTTGTTTTAATCTTTTCCATCTTCAAGATGTTTTGCTTCTCCTCCCCCTCCTCTGATTTTGGCTTTCTGCAACAGGAGAGGTTATGGTGGAGAAGAGAAGCTGATGTCCAGAGGGAAGGACTTTCCCATTCAATAAAGATTTTAAGAAAGGGGAAGTGTTAAAGCAAGAAATGTGATGCGTGATTAAAAGTGGTGCTCTCCAATACGGCAGCCACTAGCCACAAGTTGTTGCTGAGCACTTAAAGTGTGGGTAGTTTCAATTGAGATGTGCTATAACTATAAACCACACACCAGATTTTTGAAGGCTTAGTTCAAAAATATATAAAATATCTAATGAATAATTTTATATCAACTAATTATGAAGATGATAATATTTTATATATGCTGAGTTTAAAAATATATTATAAAATTAATTTCATCTGCTTATTTTTACTTTTTAAAATACATTGACCGGGTGAGGTGGCTCACATCTGTAATCCCAGCACTTTGGAAGTCCAAGGCAGAAGGATCATTTGAGCCCAGGAGTTCAGCCTGGGCAACATACGGAGACCCCGTCTCTACAAAAAATAAAAAATTAGCCAGGCATGGCGGTGCATGCCTGTGGTCCCAGTTACTTGGGAGGCTGAGGTGGGAGGATCACTTGAGCCCAGGAGGTCGAGGCTACAGTGAACCATAATTATGCCGCTGCACTCCAGCCTGAGCAACAGAGTGAAACCCTGTCTCAAAAAAACAAGTAAATAAAAAATAAAATACATCTACTAGAAAATTTTAAATTATATATATGGCTTACATTTGCTTTCTACTGAACAGCACTGCTATGGAGAGTTAACAGAGATCAAGGGACTTTTGCTAGAGACGGCATTTTTGATGATTTAATCCCACGTTTCTCAAGCTGGAGGCGTGGTTTCTGAAACTTGCTGGCTTGGTGGGAAGGTTTATTCCCATAGAGTCTTTCAGGAACTCAGGCTGACCCTGATTTATTTAGTGCTGACGATTGGGTGCACTGTGAACAAGAACCAGCATGTGCTGGCGCAGCACTAACAGAACACTGCTGCTCGTTCACGCCATCTGACTTCCTCACTGCATTACTGTCCCTAAAACCAGCAGCACTAAACTGCATCTAATGAGAAACTCCTGAAAACAGCTGGAGTCAAGTTATATCCCCGAGCTGTTATTAAACACGTGCCATGTGCTGGCCCTGAGCTGGGGCTATGACAGAGTAGGGTTCAAGCTTACAAAAGAAATAGCCCCACAAATACATGGCCAATTGATTTCTGAAATAGGTGCAAAAGCTTTTTAGAGGAGAAAGGAAATTCTTCCCCATAAATGTTGCTGGAACAATTAGATACTCACATGCCAAAAAATGGAATTCCATCCATTCTTCAAACCATATACTAAAATTAACTCAAAATGGCTTATAGACCTAAAACTTTAAAACTTTTGAAGAAAAAAATGGGAAAAATACTTGTGATTTTGTGGTTAGGCAAAGATTTCTTAGATATGATACCAAAAGCACATCCATACAAGAAGAAAAATTATAAATTGGACTTTATCAAAATTAAGAAATTTTGCTCTTCAAAAGATACCATTACAAAATGGATAAAACAAGCCACAGACTAGAAGGAAATATCTGTAAGTCACATAGCTGATTTGAAAAAAAGACCTGTGTCTAGAATATACAAAGAACTCTCAGAACTAAATGATAACAAAGCAAACAACCCAATATGAAATTGGGCAAATGATTTTAAAAGACACCTCACCAAAGAAGATACACAGATGAAAAGGTGCCAGTCCTTATTAGGAAAATGTACATTAAGGACACAATGCAACTTAAAATCATAATCAGATACCACTAACTATTAGATACTTATTAGCATGTCTAAAATTAAAAAGACTGACCATAACAAGTGTTGACAAGGATATGGAGGAACTGAAGCTCTCATACAATGCTGGGTGGGAAGGTACAATAGTACAACCACTTTGAAAAGTAGTTTGACACTTTCTTAAAAAGTTAAATACAAAAAAATACACAACTACCACATAATTCATTCCACTTGTAGGTATTTACCTAAGAAAGATGCAAGTGTATGTCCACAGAAAGACTTGTACATGAATGCTGATTGCAGCTTCGTTTGTAATAGCCCAAAACTGAAAACGACCAAAGTGTTTGTCAATGGGTGAATGAATAAACAGGTGTCAAATACCTGTCCAGTGGAATAATACTCAGCAGTAAAGAGGAATGAACTATATAGATGTAACAACATAGTTGAATCTCTGAATAATTACACTGAGTGAAAGAAGCCAGACCAAAAAATAATACTTATTCTGTGATTCCAGTTATATAAAATCCTAGAAAAGGCAAACTAATCTATAGTGACAGAAAGCAGATCAGTGATTGTTTAGGGATGAAGGAGGAATCAAGGAGGACCAGGAGGGAGAAATTATAAAAGGCCACAAGGAACCCTTTTGGGGTGATGGATATGTTCATTAGCTTGATTGTGGTGATGGTTTCAAGGGTAGATATACATGTCAAAACTTTTTAAATTGTACACATTAAAAATTTGTAGTTTATTGTAAATTATACTTCAAAAAAGTATAAAGCATAGCCCCTCTCCTTGGGGAGCTTTCAATAGACAGTGTATAATCAAGATTCACCATGGCTTTCCCTGTATTTATGGAGATTGTGGGAGGGAGTCTCATGCCTGCCTCTCCCCCACCTCCCCCATTAAGCACTGCTGCTGCAGCAAAGACTCTGCTAAGAATCCTAACAAGTAAACAAGAGTGAATCCATTTAGAATCTGGTCCCATCTGGCCCAAGCCAGGGCCAGACCCCAATAACCTTCCCACCTCTCATGCCCCATTCCCATGTGGACTCCGTCTTGCTTCCTTGTCCGAGTGCCCAGTGAGGAGCTCTATTCTCAGCTACTCAGGTTGAAAAATTCGTGCTTAAAAAATACTTGTGCTATTTCTTTCAAAAAGACCTGGATTTTTTATAGACTGGCAGAATAAAAAAACTCAAAATGCTTCATGTCTAGAAAGGACATTTCAGGCTCTGTTGAAGCTTGGGGGACCTTACCACCACATGGACAATCTCCTGCAATCACTTACCTTCTGCATGTGCATGGCACATGTTCAAAGTTGGAGACCTTTACCCTCTGGTTATTGGCCTGCTGGTAGAGGGAAGCCGAGCTAATCTCTCACCTCCCTTCTAATTCAACACTCAGAAAGGGCAGGTAGTAGAAGAGCCCTGGAGTCATTGCTGCCTGTTGGAAGCTCAGTCATGCTGGTCTCCACTGAAGTTGTACCTGCAATGGTGAGTTCCAGGCTGAGAAATGAGGGATAAACTCAGTGTCCTATGAAAACACATTTCAATGAGACTATGCCTGCCAACGGGTGGCTCGAGGTCTCCCTGCAGCAGAGTCCTTCTTCCCTCCAGGTAATAATACCTGGGCCAGGTTAGCTTTAGGTGGGGTTAGAGGACAACCTGGACCTTGTCTCAGAGCCACCTGCTTTCTAAGATGGCACAGATGGGCCCTGCAAGAGGGCCTCTTTAAAGTCCCCCTCACCCAGTGCTGGCTGAGCCCCAGGTCAGAATCCAGTCAGATAAACAAAGCAACAGTACTGTTTCTAGACAGGTTTTAATTCTTCTGTGATTCTTTGGAAAACTTAACATAGGATCAAGAAATCTCAGTTGGAGGAACAGTAGAAATATTCTAGCCTGACTGCCTTACTGACACATAAATCTCTACTCCATCGTACCTGAGAAGTGGCTGTCTATTCCTCACCTGAATGCTTCCTCTGACAGAGTTTTATTTTAAAACAAGCTCTAATTGTTAGAAACTTCTTCCTTATATGTACAGCTGTGAAAAAGAATGAGGAAGTTCTCTCTGTACTGATGTGGAAAAATCTCCAAGATATACTATCAAGTTAAAAAAAAAAAAAAGGCCAGGTGCTGAACAATATGTCTAATATACTAGCTTTGGAACTTAAAAAATAAGAAAAATAAGAATTGACGTTCACATTTGCATATATAATATATGCATTTTAAAACTCTGATAAAATACAGATGAAATATAAAAATAATGGTTGAATACTGGAGAAAGGGGAGAACTAAGCAGAGAAAAATGAGAGCTAAGACATTTGTGAAATTGATTGTATGCCAGCAACTGTTCTAAGTACTTTATGTGGATGTACTCATTTAATTCTCACAACGATCCTATTAGATAAGTACCATTATTATCCCCATTTTTCAGATGAGGAAGCTAAGGTTCAGAGAAGTTAAGTAACTTGCCAAAGGCCACACAGCTAAGAAGTAGCAGGACTGGGACAAACTGAGGCAGCACAGCTTTCAGAGACTACACTCTTAAGGACCATCACAAACTGTCCCTACTAGAGTACAAGGGTGGGAGGGAGGCTTTGTCCTGTATTTGTCTTTATGCTTTTTGTTAGTTAGGTTGGTTGGTTGGTTAGTTGGTTCATTATTTATGTATTTATTTATTTGGTTGGTTAGTTGGTGGGTTGGTTTGGTTGGTTGGTTGGGTTTTGAACCATGTGAATGTATGCTATATTTAATAAGAATTTCTCTGGCTGCTGTCAGGAGACAAGGTTAAAAGCTGGGGGACCAGTCTGAACAACCACAACAAAAAACTGCTTTCCTGCTTTTTTGTCATAGGTTGGTTCTCTGGGCAGCGATCAGATCCTGCTAAATGAACCCTTTCCAGGAAGGAAAAGAACATTTTCAAGTCTGTCTGCTGATCCCTGGATGCCCCAGGCTTTCATACTTGTCACCATGCTGGTTAGTCTTCCCCAGATACACCCTGGGACCTCATTGCCCTCTTAAGGTGGGGTCCCAAATCCAGCCCAGTTCTTCAGCACTAGTCTAGCCAATGTGACTATTACCTCCTTGTTTTGAGAACTGCATTTCTACTAATGCAGCCTGTTTGCACTTGGAGTTTCCAGAGTCCTCATTTCTGTGTTGCCATTAACTGCAACGTCCAACACTCACCCTCATGTGCTCCTGCCTATTCAGCTCCTCCCCATTCCTGACTGGTACAGTTGTTTCTGAGCCCATGACTGGGACATTAAATCTCTCCCCATTAAACTTTAGCTTGTTAGCCCATTTGATCTATTGTTCCAGCCTGGCTCAGTTGAATCCTGACACCATTTTCCAAAATAGTCAAGATCCTTCCCAGCCTCATGTAAGACAAGTATTAATTATTCCCATTTGGCTGTTAAGGACACTTAGCCCCAGAGAGGGGACATGCCTAACATCTCACAAATTGTGCCAGGGGAGGAACGAACCAAGGGCTCTTGACCTCCACTCAGTGCCTGTTCCAGGAAGTCCTGGTGTTGTACTAGGTCCACAGCCCGGGCCTGCCAGAAGAATTCCATCCTGCAGGCACTATGGCTCAGGACTGCATCCCAGGGTCCAGCACTGACACCTTCAATAGGAGCTGGACAAAGGGAGTGCACTAAGGCAGACTCATACTCAAGCTTCACAGGCAAGAAGGAAGGCCGTCATGTGCATGGCACATGTTCAAAGTTGGCTGGTGATTATAGCAGCTTAAAACATCATGTTCTAGATGAGTTGCTGGGGGTTTTCTGAAGCGTGTGCCGAAATCAGAGATGCCATGGGGATGACATCTTCCTTATCTGTGAAGTGATGTGATGTGGAGTTACTCAACGAGCAATCCCCAGAGACCACAAACCAAGAAACTGATCCAGGAATTCCACTCTTGTTCTTCCGCCAGATGTGCAGGTTGAAGTGTGTTTCCACACTCCACATGTCTTCTCTCCCAGAGACGAGGTCAGACAGCTATTTCAAAGATGGGTTAAAAAAAAAAAAAAAGGGAGGGCATTGCCTACCTAATCCACAGACTGGTCACATGTCTGATTTGGCAAAATGGGTGAACAAAGTGAAAACAGGGCAATTTCCCAGGATCCAATAATTTGTGGTCATGAAGACACCAGAAAACATGGCAGGGGAGACAGAGAACCACGACTGGGCTGATCCGCGTGCTCCGGGACCGCCATCTATGGGAAAAGCCAAGAAAGCAAAGCACAAGGAGCAACAGGTGCCTCCTAGAGAACTGAAAATGCCTTTGAGATGAGGTGATGCTGGGTTGAGGAGAAGTGAGCCAATCAGATTTGTTGAAAGCCAGCCCTCAGTAAAGGTCATGGCAGGACACACCTCAACATCTCAAATTAAGTCTCAGATGCCATCAGGAACTCCGGCTTGACTAGATAGGAGTGGAATTTAAAATGAAAGCTTTCTAACCCGGAAACCAAAACGTGGTCTCTAATTCTGACCCTGCCTTATTGTAGTGGTTTTTGAACATCCTATGACCAATGTGTGCCTCAGTAACCCCCGTTTTCAAGGTGACTTGTTGGGAGGGTAAGAGGCAGAATAAAAGAGATGATGAAATCCACCCTGCCAGCCTCACTGGTGTCCTATAAATTCAGAGACGATAACATCAGGACATTCTTCTGAATTACTTAAAGAATGACAGAGAATAAATAGGATTCTTTATGACTGCTATTATGATGAAATTCATAAAATTTCCTGTGGGGGTGTTTTCTGAAATCCTGAAACACAATTTCATTCTCAACTATGTAACAGTTTTCACCTTGTCAAAATTCTTAACAGAAAGTCCCCAGGACCCCGTCATGGGAAATTAAACCCCTGGAGAAGTAGAAAAGCTACTAGAATATGTCCTTCTGACCCCAAACCAGGAGTAGGTTAGTGCGGGAAGATGTTTCGAGTATGTTCAGTTGTGAACTGGGTGCAGCTGGCACCCCTTAACGGATAAAACTGGTTCCAAGAATGAGTCATACTGATTATACCCTTGGGACATCATTCATAAATATCATCTGTCCCCAAAGACTTCCAAAACACAGGAGTCATGGCAAAACACACACACATATATACATGTAAGCAAGACTTCTAACAATCAGGCCATTGTTCGCAGCAGAAAAACCAGGCACACCCTTTATCTAAGATAAAAAAGAAAATGCAAAAAGCAATCAAATGAAACCTATCTTGCTTAACCTGAAAAACAGCAGTTGGATTAAAACATGTCTATGATCCATTTTCAGCAAGCCACTTTCCTGGGAGCATTTCAGTGAGCAGGAAGCTTTTTGGGGACAGTCCTCCCCTAAACAATGAAGTGCTCCTTGACACCTGTACTCATGTCCCTTTTGTGGCTAACTTCCCAATCAGTCCCAACCTCACTGAAGGGGCACAGCATCTGGTTAATTAAACCTCCTTCTTTCCTGTAAAAATATGTTATCAGAAAGTAGTTTTTGTTTTGTTTTGTTTTGTTTTATTAGGGAATACAACTTAAGAAACAAAAGTTAATTTCAGCATTTCAGGCACCTACAGTCTCCTGGAGAGGGGGTGAGATGAGGTGAAGGGGTTATGTATAATCTTCTCCCTAATTCCACAAGGGAAAACCTGGATTCAGCACCTCACAGGATTCCCTCCCACCTCCCGCTTCATCCCTGCACAGAGCAGAAAGTCTCTAAAGGGCCAGCCGTACACATGGCCATTTGGTTCGACTGTGGCATCTTACCCTAAACAAAACTCTCCCAAGTATGCCTTTCTACAGAAAATGACTGGCCTGAGAAAAGCTGGCCAGCCACATAGTGTGAAGCCAGGTGCAGAATATGTTCATCCTTGCTGAGCCTGCAGCAGTGGGGTAGAAGTTGAGAGGTTTCAGACTCTGTCCCCAACCTGTTGTCCTTGCCTTCTTGTGCACACCTCAGAGGTACACATAAAACTCTGCCCCACGGCCCCTCCCCACTGCTCTTCCCTCTACTACATTTCAGGAGCTAGGAACTAACAGGAGCTCTGCCTGCCTCAAATGAAAACTTCAGCGAGGCCATCACTCCCACACCCACACCCTGCAATAGCACCAATCCTAAAAGAAATCCCCCCCACACACAACTGCCTGCTCTTTAGAGGGCATTAGACATAACACTTCCCACTGAACACACATCTAATTTGCTCACGCAGAGATAGTCACTCCAAGTAGAAACTATTCTAGCGTTGATTCTGCATGTTCAAAACACTCACGCAAAGAGAGAGGGAGACAGACAGAGAGAGACAGAGAGACAGAAGGAGGGAGACAGAGTCGGAGACAGACAGAGAAGTAGAAGAAGAGAGGGACAGAGAAAGCGAGAGAGGAAAGGAAGTTTTCATAGACCACTAGGGCTAGAAGAGACCTCCTTTTAATTTTTTCAATAGTTATAGGTCAATTGGGGTTTTGTATTATTTCTGAGTCAATTTTGGTAATATGCTTTAATAGGAAATTGTCCACTTAAATTTTCAACTTTATGGTATAAGGTTATTTAAGTTATCCCAATAATTTTAAACTCTTATGTTTATAGTTGTCCTTTTTTTCATGGTTTGTTCATGCTTAATTTTTCTGCAGATATCCAGTAGTCTTTAAAGAACAAGCTTTTGGCTTTCGACAATCCTCAGTTGAATCTTTGTTTCTGTTTCATTAATCCCTTCTGATACTATTACTTCTCCCCTCTCTCTACTTTCTTTATCTTTACTCTTGTATTTCCCCTAACTTCCTAAGTTGGGGATTTAGCTCATTGATATAAATATTTCTTTTCTTTTCTAATTGTAATGCCCATTCTCAGACAGACAATTACACAATCACAGCAAACCTCCCTTGAATCAGCTTCACTTAGAAGAATACGAACAAGAAACACAGCATGCCTTCAGGCCAGGATCAGACACTGCTCTTCATAGCAGTCCTCACAGTAGTTCAAGGACTAGTGTCTTGTTTTTAAAATGAGGAAATTGAGACCTAGAGAAAGAAACAGTTTGACAAAAATCAACAGCAAGCTGGACCTAGACCCTAGGTCCTTTGTCTCTTTTCTCTGTTGTACTAATTGGAAAACTAAGATAACTGTTTAAGTAGTCGCTGTACCTCCCATAGTGTCATAATATCTTTGACTCTCTGCTTCAGTTTCTTCATCTGTCAACTAGAAATACCATCCTTCCCGGCCAGGTGCAGTGGCTCACGCCTGTAATCCCAGCACTTTGGGAGGCCGAGGCGGGAGGATCACCTGAGGTCGGGCATTCGAGACCAGCCTGACCAACATGGAGAAACCCCGTCTCTACTAAAAAAAATACAAAATTAGCCGGTCCTGGTGGCACATGCCTGTAATCCCAGCTACTCGGGAGGTTGAGGCAGGAGAATAGCTTGAACCCGGGAGGCGGAGGTTGCGGTGAGCCGAAATTGTGCCACTGCACTCCAGCCTGGGCAACAAGGGCGAAACTCTGTCTCCAAAAAACAAAAAGAAAGAAAGAAAGAAAAAAAAAGAAATACGATCCTTTTCTTGTCCCTCCCAGATCACAATCTTTGGAAAAAAAAGAGCCGCCCATATTTAAGAGTTTTTGTTTGGTTGTTTGGATGTGTTGTTAGGGATGTGTCGGGGTAGATGTGTGCTGAGTCGGCTGGTGGGGGAGGTGGAGGTTATTGTGGGTAAGTATCATTAAAAACTGACCCTGCTCATGATGGAATCTGGTTGAGGTCAAGATATCTTGGTTTGCATGATCCATGATCTTAGCGTTTATCATTTAAAATTAGCACTAAAGTGAGTTCCCCACATATAAGTAACTTTTAGCTCTTAAAATTACATCAGTGGGTACAGCAGGTCCCCATAGAATTCAACAGAGGAGAGAAGTTTTGCTCAGGGCTTTGATACCTCATTGTCTGAAAGGGCCAGAGGGAATGGACTCACATTTATTTGGGGCCAACTCTATGCCAAAGACTTTGATAGGCATCTTCCCTACCATATTTCTTTTTGGAAGAGTGTTAATTACAAATTTAATTTCTTGTTATAGATCTGTTCAGATTTTCTATTTCTTCTCTAAGAAGTTGGTTTTGGCCCTGGCATGGAGGCTCATGCCTGTAATCCCAGCACTTTGGGAGGCCTAGGGGGTGGATCACCTGAGGTCAGGAGTTTAAGACCAGGCCTGGCCAACATGGTGAAACCCCATCTCTACTAAAAATACAAAATTAGTTGGGTGTGGTGGCGCATCCTGTAATCCTAGCTACTTGGGAGGCTGAGGTGAGACAATCATTTGAACCCAGGAAGTGGAGGTTGCAGTGAGTCGAGTGCGGCTGGAGTGCAGCTGCACTCCAGCCTGGACAACAAGAGCAAAACTGCATCTCAAAAAAAAAAAAAAAAAAAAAAAAAGTTGGTTTTGGTATAATTTCTCTCTAAGATTTTATCAATTTCAACTAAATTGTCTAATTTGTTGGCATAAAGTTGTTCATAGTATCTCCTAATCCTTTTACTTTCTGCAGGGTCATCACTAAATTTGGTAATTTGTGTCTTATCTCTCTTCATTCTTTGGCCAGTCTAGCTACCGTTTTGTCAGTGTGGTTGATCTTTCCAAAGAATCAACTTTTGGTTTCTTTAAATTTCTCTCTTGTTTTTCTGTGTTCTGCTTCATTCATTTCCACTCTAATCTGTATTATTTCCTTCCCTCTGCTTTGGGCTTAGTTTTCTCTTCTTTTCTCTAGTACCTTAAGATATGAACTAAGATTATTAATCTGAGATCTTTCTTCTTCTCAAATATAGATGCATAAATTTATAAATTTCCCTCTTATGAAATGGACCCTCTTAAGAAAGGACGTTTGAAAGTCAATTCCTCTATAAAGCTGAGAACGTTGGCAAAAATGTCAAAATGAATTTTTTTCAGAACTCTAAATTAACTAAAGGCTTGCAATAATCCAAGGAACACTTAAGGATCAGCTTTTCCATTTCTGCAAGAAAGGCAGTTGGAATTTTGATAGAGATAGCATTGAATCTACAGATAAATTTGGGGAGTATAGCCATGATATGGTTTGGCTGTGTCCCCATCCAAATCTCATCTTGAATTGTAGCTCCAGTAATCCCCATGTTCATGGGAGGGACCCAGTGGGAGATAATTGAATCATGGGGGTGGGTTTTTCCTATGCTGTTCTCATGATAGTGAATAAGTGTCACAAGATCTGATCTGCCCGTTATAAAGTGCAGTTCTCCTGCCACACATTCTCTTGCCTGCCACCATGTAAGACATGCCTTTGTTCCTCCTTTGCCTTCCTCCATGATTGTGAAACCTCCCCAGCTATGTGGAACTGTGAGTCCATTAAACCTCTTTTTCTTTATAAATTACCCAGTTTGGGGTATGTCTTTATTAGCAGCATGAGAACAGACTAATACACCGTGTTAGCAATATTAAGTTTTCTAATCTATGAACATGAAATGGCTTTCCATTTTTTTATGTCTTCTTTAATTTCCTTCATCCACGTTTTATAGTTTTTACTATAAAGCTTTATACTCCCTTAGTTACATTTATTCCTAAGTACTTTCTTTTTTTGATTCTATTATAAATAGAATTATTTTCTTAATTTTATTTTGGATTATTCATGGCTAGTGTATAGAATTACAACTGATTTTTATACATTGATATTGTATCCTGCAACTTTACTGGACTAGTTCCATTGCTCTAAACATTCTTTTCTGTGGAATACCTAGGATTTTCTGTATACAAAATCACTTCATCTGCATGTGGAGATAGTTTTATTTCTTCCTTTCCAATCTGGTTTACCTTTTTATTTCTTGTTCTCATCTAATTTCCCTGGTTAAAACTTCCAGCACAATACTGAATAGCAGTGATGAGAACATCCTTCTCTTATTTCTTACTTTAGGAAGTATTTCACCATTGAGTCTGTGGGATTTTCATAGATATACTTTATGGCTGGTGGGTATGTAAAATGGTGCAGTCACTTTGGAAAACTTTTTGACAGTTCCTCAAAAGGTTAAGCATAGATCTCCCACATGACCTAGCAATTTCACTAGTAGGTTTATGCCCCCAAATAATTGAAAACATATATCCACATAAAAACCTGTACATGAATGTGCACAGCAGCATTATTCATAATAGTCAAAAAGCAGAAACATCCCAAATGTTAATCAACTAAAGAATGGATTAAAAAAAAAGTGGTATATCTATACAATGCATTATTAAGCCATGAAAAGGATTGATATACTTATAGATGCTACAACATGGATGAACTTTGAAAACATTATGCTAAGTGAAAGGAGGCAGACACACAAGGCCACATACTGAATGATTCAATTTATATTAAATGTCCAAAATAAGCAATGCATAGCAATAAAAATTAGATTCGTATTTGCAAAGGAATGGGGGAAGGAGGCAATAGGCAGTGACTGGTAATGGGTATAGGGTTTCTTTTGAAATAATGAAAATGTTCTGAAATGACTGATGATAGTTGCAAAACTTGGTGAATACAGTAAAAGCTGTTGAACTGTACACTTTAAAAGGATGAATTATACAGTATGTGAAGTATATATCAATAAAACTGTTATTTAAAAATTTTTTCTTTCTAAGCACTTTAGCTGCATCATATATATTTTGATGATGTGCTTCTGTTTTCATTCAGTTAAAAATATTTTATTATTTCCTTTGTGATGTGTTGTTCAATTTCCAAACACTTGGAGATCTCCCACATTTACTTCTCTTGTTAATTTCTAATGTAATGCCATTGTGTTCAGAGAAATGCCTTGTATTATTTAAATGCTTTTAAATTCATTGACACTTTGCTTTATGACCTAGGATATAGTCTGTTCTGGAGACGTTTCCATATATGCTTGAAGAGAATGTGTATTTTGCTGTTGTTGGGTGGACTTCTATACATCTATAGAAATAGATGTCGGTTAGGTCAAGTTGGTTAATAGTGTGTTCAAGTCTTCTTAAATCCTTACTGATTTTCTGTCTAGTTATTCTATCAGTTATTGAGAGTGGGATGTTAAATGCTCCAACTATTGTCAAATTATCTGTTTCTCCTTTCAATTCTTTCCATTTTTGCTCCATATATTTTGGGACTGTTTTCTTAAGTGTACATAAGTTTGTAACTTTTTTATCTCCCTGGTGAATTGATCTAATTATCATTACAAAATATCCTTCATTGTTTCCAATAATACTTTTTGTCTAAAAGCATATTTCATCTGACATTAATCGATCCAATTCTAGCTCTCTAATGGTTTCTATTTATACAGTGTATCTTTTTCCATTTTTAAAAATCTATTTGTATCTTTGAATCTAAATTGTGTTTCTTGAAAGTAGCACATAGTTAGATCTTGTTTTTTTTTCCAGGCTGATAATCACTGCCTTTTGATTGAAGTGTCTAAATCATATGCCTTGAATGCAACTACTGATATGCTTGGATTTGCATCTTCCATGTTCTATTTGTTTTCTATAAATCCCATGGCTTTTTAAATTCATCTGTTCTTTCTTTACTACATTCTTCTGTGTCAAATAGGTATTTTCTAATATGACATTTTGATTCCTTTATTGGCTTTTAAAACTATTTTTAAAAATATTTTCATATGGTTACTCTAGGGATTACAATATGTATCTTAATTTATCAAAATCCACTTTGGATTAATACTAACTGAATTTCAGTACAATATTGAAAACTTGTTCCCATACATATAGCTCCATTTTATCTCCTTTCCTTTGTGCTATTATTATATACATTAAATCTTTATATGTTATAAGCCCAACAATACAGTTTTATAAATATTGTTTTACACAATGATCTTTTAAATCTGATATGAGAAGAAAAGAGAAAAATATATAATACAGTTCTTCTATTTACCTACATAGTTACCTTTTCCAGTGTCCTTTGTTACTTCACGTGGATTCAAGTTATTCTCTGGTGTCATTTCCTTTCAGCCTAAAGGATTTCCTTTAATATTTCCTGTAAGGCAGGTCTGTTAGCAATGAACTCTCTCAATATTTGTTTTTCTGGGTAAGTGTTTAATTCACCTTCATTTTTTAAGGACAATTTTCTTGAATATAATAACTTCAGTTTACATTTTTCTTTCAGGATTTGAATATGTTATCCATTGCCTTCTAACTTCCAATGTTTGTGGTAGAAATTCAACTTTAATCACATTGTTATTCTTGTGTACTTAATGTGTTGCTTTTCTCTTGCTGCTTTCAAGTTTTTCTCTATCTTTTAATAGTTTGACTATGACGTGTTTAGGTATAATGCTTTTTTTTCTCATACTACTTGTTTGTGGAGCTTCTTTGATATTTAAATTAATTTTTAAATCAAATTTTGGAACTATAAAACCATTATTTCCTTAAATATTTTTTCTGCCTCTTCTCTCTTGCTTCTCCTTCTGGAACACATATTACACATATGGCGTATGCTTGATAAAGTCCCACAAATCTCTGAAACTCTGTTCACATTTTGTCATGCTATTTTCTTTCTATTCTTCAGTTTAGATTATTCCTGTTCATTTATCTTCATGTTTGCCAATTCCTTCTATTGCTATTTCAAATCTGCTGTCGAGGGATTCTAGTGAATTTTTCATCTCACTTATTGTTCTTTTCAACTCCAGAATTTCATTCTTTTATACGTTTCTCTCCTCATTTATATTCTCTATTTGATGTGTCATCACCATACTTTCCTTAAATTCTTTAAATATGATTTTTTTTAGTTCTTTGAGCATGTTTATTATATCTTCTTTGAGGTCCTTCTCTGCTAAGTCCAAAATCTGGATTTTCTCAAAGACAGCTTTTTTTTTCTATGTATGGATCATACTTTTCTGTTTTTTTTTAATATGTCTTACAATTTTTTTGTCGAAAACTGAACATTTCAGTTAATGTATTGTAGCCAGTCTCGATTCTGATTCCTCCTCCTCAAAAGTTGTTGTTGCTGCTTTGGTTGGTTGGTTGGTGACATCCTTGGATTAATTCTGTAGAGTCTGTCTGCCTGCAGTATGTAGCCACTGATGTATCTGCTGAAGTTTTAAAGTTTTTTCTTTTTTTAATCCTAACTTCCTATACCTAATGTTTAGCCAGAGATGTGTGGATAATCACGGCCCTCTCTGGTCACTACTGAGTGTGTGCACAGCCTTGCATCTGTGTGCAGCCTTCCACAATTCCAAAAATGTTATCAATGGCCACGGTGGCTATCCCACTCCTTGGATCTTCCTGTTCTTTTGGGGCAAGTTGCCTTTTCTGTTGCTTCCCTGAACCAGAATTACAAACTCAGGATGGCTGCTGTATTGGCCTTTCTTATTCATTCGCCACCAACATGGTTACTGTTTTAACAGGGTTTTCCTGCACTTCACTCCAAAGCAAGTCAACCCCCTCCAGCAGCAAACCTGCTGGGTTTTATGGCTTATCCTGCCCTGTTAGGAACTACCGCGCTGATGGAGCTGGAGTGAGAGTTGGGGAGGTAGGAGCAGTCCCAGTCTACCGTGGCACAGACTCCCTTTGTTCTTAATTAAGGTTCTGCTGTTTGTAATGAATAAATACTTCTCAATTTGTTGTGTATCTTTAGTTAATTTTTCATAGTCCCAAAATGGTTGTTTTTTACAATTTTGTCCAGTTTCATTGTTGTATTTGGGGAGTGTTGGACAGGCTTCTCATTCTACCATTCCAGAAGTTCCACAAGTCTCCATTCTATATTTCATTTAATCTTCATAAATACTATGAGGTAATTTTATTATTACCAATATATGATGAGGAAACAAACTTCAGAGTGATTAAGTAATTTGCTGGAAGTCATGACTCATATTTCTCAAAGGTAGTACAGTGTTTTGTGGATTCTACACCAGGGATCTGAATTGTTCCTGATTCTTTGAAGATGCACCCTCTTATAGAGATGCCATCTTGAAGAATTTTGCATATCTTGACAAGGTTAGGAGTCAACACTATTGTCTTGATGGTTCTGGTAACTCTGTTTTGGTGTTGATGATGCAGATAAAAGTTGTTTTTATGATGTACACCCCATGTTCCAGATGCCAAGCAATGTGCTACTGTATTTCAAATGCAATCCTCATAGCAATACTAGAAGGGAGTGAGACCTAGTCATGCCCACTATGAAAATGTGGAAGCTGAGACACAGGAACATCTCATGTTTTAAGTGCTAGAGACAGGATTCAAACACAGACTTCAGATTCTAAGGCCTAGTGTTGGACATAGTTCAATAGTCTCCCTCAATTGGAATGTCATCCTGCTAAAAAAAAAGTGGGAAACATGGAAAGAGCCCTGAGAAAATTAATAAAAATAATGAAAGATTTAGAACTATAAATCAATGGAGAAAACTAACATGAGGGACAATTTGGTCTAGAGAGGGGCTAAAAATAGCAATCTTTAACTACATGAAGTGATACTAACATTTGCTGATAAGCACTAAATGTTTATTTCATTGAAGGAAAAAAAGCAAAGCAAAGCAATGGAAGTATATTTTTATTTCATCAGAAAAATCTCACTTCTTTCAAGGATTCAGGAGATGCTTTAAAGTTTGTTACTCAAAAGATTACATAATCTTCTTCAACAACTAATTGTTTTTCAATTCTCCTCATAGTATGGCTTAGGTAAAAGCAGGGGGTGACTTGCAAGACTCTTTCAGCCCTACCTGCCCTTCCCAAATTAGAAGAGCAGATTCCCCATCCAACCTCCCTGGTGCCTAAGCTCCATATTCTGCTCATCTCTGTGTCTCCATACCTCTCTCTGGTTCATGTAGCCAGTTAAAGCAAGACTTTTGCAAGATACACCCCCTTCAGGCAGGCCAAATCTGTTTATCAGATATAAACAACTACTATGTGAGTTCTAATACGAAAGTGTGTAAAAGCCCTACTTGCTCAAGCATTTCTTCCTGACTACCATTAAAATCCCCATTTAATACTTTGGGTTAAGATATAGTCTCCAGAATGTGACTGGTAAAACACATGTATCATGGTGGCCACATCTATTTCAATAGATGCACACATCAACTTGGCTAGGCATCCCTTTGGAAGAAGGAGTGGCTCTAAGATAACATCAATTTACATCCGGGGAAATTTGATTTATGGACAAGAAAGGTAGAAAAGTTGAGATTTTGCCATGGTGGATAAATGAGTCCATGGGTACTGAGACAGGAAAAGCGAATGAGAGGAGGGCAAGCTCACGTTCAGAAAAGTGGCATGACACATTTGATCTTTACAATTGTCCTTCAGTCTAGCCTTGACTCAGATCATCCAAAATTTATTCCTTGGGGCCGAAAGTCAGAAATGGGGACCTAAATCCCGTGCAAACTTGACTACATCTCTGCCAGCCAGCTGGAACCATAGCATATGTTTTTACATTCACTTTTATATGAACTTCATTTTGCTAGTGATTTCATTAAAACCCACTTCCAGAGCTGATATGTGCAACTTGAAATCCTCCAGATGAATAAGTTCTGTAGATGGTGACAACACTCCCGCCACACTCCATGGATCAAATTGCTCTTTATCCACTTGACTTGGCCAGAATGTAAAGGCAAACGCTGAGCAAATGCTATGAAATCAATAGCTACAGAGTGTTGGTTTTGGGTTTTTTCCCCTATGTAGACTCCAAAGGAGACTGACACGCAGATTAGACAAATCACTTTTTGTAATCCTAAGGACTGCTGCATGAGGTATCCAGAGTATTAATCAAAGGCTGAGACTGAGTAAAATGTGAATTAAATTTCTTAATGGAGAGAGACATGAACTCTCTATCCTTAGATCTCTGGCTATGGATGTCTGTAAGGCAATGGAAAATTCTGCTACCCAGTTTATAATATTCTGAGAGATATATCACCAAAGTGACACAACTTATCATGGTTACCGTTTCTGTTTAGAGAACTCAGTTTCCGATGAGGTCAAAGGGAACTCAGGGCTGCTGGCAGAGAATTTAGGGTAGCCCATGAAAACCAGAGTCCTGTACATTTGGAGTCATTTGAACATCCTTTCCACCACTGGGGGCTTGCCTGAGTTTCAACCAAACACCAGCACCTTAACTTTTTTTATTTAGTCCATCGAATTGCAATGAAGTGAAATCATTTGCTTTCTATGCCAGCAAAACCAAGGTGAGCCTAAAAGAAATTAGACTAAAAGCAAATAAGATTTCATGCTAAAATTGAAAATAACCCTGTATCATGGCCACATGTGAAGATCAAACTCACACCACCTAAAGTCACTGGTGTGACACTGGTCAAGTTAGGGATGAATGGCAAAAAAAAAAGAAAAGTTAGTAAAAGTGTTTGTAAACAGAGTTTTTTCTTCTTGCTCTCTGCAAAGATCTTTTTGGGTGCCATGGCACTGCAGAGTCAAGCCAGTACAACTGTCTACCCCAGAAGGAATGAACCCGGCAGCAGCTGGAGATGATTCCACTTCATCTAAGACTGTCTCTGGTTCTTTGAGGATGGATGGGGCTATGAACCCACACAGAAACATTATAGGATACAGTATTTGTATGTGGGCAACTTTTTCCTAAGGCGTTAAAAGCCTTTTATGGGCATTATCTGACTTATCCCTACAACCTTCGGGTAGGTGGTAGGATGGGAGAGAAAGCCAGCAGTATAGATAGGAACACAAATCAGAAATCCGTAAAGCCTATGTTAGGAGATATCAATGACTTCCCTAGGATAAAGCAAGCTGATGGAAAGGAATTTGAGGCATTCAGCTTTTCCAAGGAGTTGGAGGCTACAGGATTGCATGCCTCCTCCAACATACATACACACATGCAAACACACAAGTCTGAACCTCTCTGTGACTCAGTTTTCTTCATTTCTAAAGTTGGGATTACAGTGTATACCTCATAGGATTTGATGAGGATCCAAGGAGATGATCTAAGTAAAAAATAATAATGATGATCCATAATAAAAAGGCAGTTCCCTGTTAATCCCTTTCCTTTCTCCTCCTCACTGCCACATCTATCCAGAAAATGGGCCAGCCACAGAAGGAGGCAGAACACATGAGTTTGGCAGCAGAAGGAGTAGTGCTTCTAATAAGCTCTCAAACAAACTGAGTATACTATATATTCTAGACGGTACATGGTCTAGGTTAAAGCAACATGCTAAAATGTATTTTGCATTTTGTCAGGCTGTTAAGAGTCCACTGAATCACTGGCTGAAACTTCAGCCTCTTCTGCCATGCCCATCTGCTTCTCTGCGCCTCTACTGGCGTTCTCAGTAATTGGGAGGAGGCGAATTTCCCCCCAGTTGAGAGACCCCATGAGATTATCAGCAATTGTGCAGTAAATCTTAAAGATCTATCCCCCCTCGAATGCAGTATGCTATGGCACACCAGGTTACAAGATGCATAATTAGAGCTCATTCGGCTGACAGATTAATGGGGTTGTAGAAAAGGCCAGATAGCAGTAAATTAGGCAGCTAAACACTGCAATCTCTGGCATAACATCAGCACTAAATAGCACATCTTTTGTAGCGTGTTGGGCACTTCTCACAGATTCTTAGAAGTGTATCTGTTTTATGAGGTGTTTTCCTTTTAAGGAACCTCAGCATAAATACTTTTGTGGGCAACTTGGCCTACTGGTATTCAGCACTTTCATTGCCCCAGCTATTTCAGAGTCACCTACTTAATATCTGTATAATATACTGTCACAGTCTATTATTGGAAGAACAGCTAAATATAACAACAATGACTTCTTAGTAGCAGTCATACTCTTGCTAACTAGCTTTAAAAAAAGACTGACAAGTTCATGATTATTGTACATCTGTTTTTATGACCTTGGTAAAAGTTGGTAAAAAAGGAAAGTAAATTTCAGAGTGTTCAGATGGATGAAACAAATGAACCTGAGTGATTTGGGTATTTTCATTCTAGATAGGACAGCTCACCAAGATGACACAATGTCAGAATTCACGCCCATAGTGCTGACAGTAGGATCTTCTCTCCCAGGGTCTCTTAATTCTTTTCCACCTCTTTTCAGATTTCTACAATTTTGAGAGCATTTTTCCAATCCCACAGCACCTTTCTGCCTATTAATGAGTTTCCTCCTTGCCTATGTCTCTAACCCTTCTCTAAATCAGAGGTCTTTGAATTATTTGTTTGTGTATACCCTAAAATAATTTTTTAACTACATTTTTAAGAAGACACCTAAATTTCATCAACATATGTTTAGGTTGTTATGAAGGATGTACCACCTGACAGCCTGTGCACTCTGCTTATGCTTTAGCTATATTTTCATCAAAACTTCCTTGCAAAAGATTTAGGTGATTCTGTTTATGTCTGCCATATGACCTAAATGGTAAAGCAGTCCTCACTGTCAATCCAATTAGCCAAATCATACTCACTTTCTCGTGGAGAAATTCTAACTTCATTTTCCAATTCAAATGAGTGTGTTAATATGTCTCCCCAGGGCAACTAATTCATTTCTGAAGTGTCATCCTGATAGACAGATGGATAAATGGGTAGATGGATAGTTATGACACTACATACATGCATGGAGGCTTGCCAGGAGTTTGCCACGGGACAGAATGGTGCTCTGCCCCCTTTCAGTATTTCCCCCTAACACGCTTTTTGGCTTTTTTTTTTTTTGAGACAGAGTCTCACTCTGTCGCCCGGGCTGGAGTGCAGTGGCAGGATCTCCGCTCACTGCAACCTCTGCCTCCCGGGTTCAAGTGATTCTCCTGCCTCAGCCTCCCAAGTAGCTGGGATTACAGGTGCCAGCCACTACACTCAGCTAGTTTTTTGTATTTTTAGTAGAGAGGGGGTTTCACCATGTTGGCCAGGCTGGTCTTGAACTCCTGACCTCATGATTCACCTGCCTTGGCCTCCCAAAGTGCTGGGATTACAGGCTTGAGTCACCATGCCAGGCCCATGTCCCCAATGTTTAGAGACCCAGAGGATATTTAGACCCTGAGGAAATGCTCTATAGTGGGAGGGGGATGAGTGAAAGGATGCCTTTTATTTTAAAAGTGTGAGAAGGGCAACTGTGAAGGGATGGTGGGAAAGAGTGACAAGTGGTGTGTTCTCAGGATGGTGAGTTTTAGGAAAGGGTGCGCATGAAAGTTGAGCATCTGAAAATCAACAGCATTAAAGCCACCAGCATCTGCATAACCCCCGAAAAATCTTCAGGCACTCCCCAGAAGGATACACACCATAGTGTGAAGATGGCTGTTCTTGATCAAACACACAAGCTGGGGGTCATTCTGGGGAAAGCAGTGAGAAACACCTGCTGTACCAATATCTGCCTCTGTTCCTCTAGCCGCTGCAAGCAAGAGGCCTCACCAAGGGTGCCTCACTCATTTATTCACTCAACAAACATCCTCTTTGTGTGACGCTCAGTGCTATGTGTGCTCCCTTGGCCTTGCATTCTAGGGGTCATCTTGGATAATCACTGCCATCAAAATATGGAGACTCCTATCAGCCCTCATTTGTGACAACTTCATATCACAGCAAAACTCGGGTATGTACAGACAGCAACTGGTGACTTGGTTAGAAAAACCTATGTAGGGTATTTCCAGATGCTTGAGCCATCTAGATTCCAGATCCAAAATAAAAGAAAATAAAAAAGGTAGGAGGGGAGCCTGAGGGAAGAGGTCATATCCTAAACTCATCATTAAATTGCCGGGAAGTGTGAGTGATGAAAATGGCCAGGAAATATGATCCTTTGGTGAATTGGGATCTCACTAATATTTAATTGGGTCTCCTGTGAGACATTTAAATCTATGGGCAGCTATCAAGGGTAAGAATTCTACTCTAGTGGCCCCCAAATGATTTCACCTTCACTTTCATTTTAGTGGTGGAGGAAAGCCAGGACATTTGCTAAAATATTTGAACTGTGGGTATGTGTTTTAAGGCCTGTATGTGTGTGGTAGTCACCATTGAGGAAATTCAGAGCTTGATGATCTCTTTCAGCACATCGGTTACCAAAAACCAGGGCAGCCACGCTGGAGGTCTGGTCACCCTTGTACAAGCCCTGGATTAGTCAGTTTCCTAAAACAGATTTTTTTCCAAGAAGGATGGCTAGGAAATGACCATCTTCAATTTTTCTACAAGTATTTACAAACCTCCTTAAGGCTGAAATCTAGGTGCTTTCAAATAAACAAAAATAGTTTGCAAAGCACTCCATAGCCTCTGCACTCCAAGCCCCTTCAAAATAAATGAAAAGGTAAAATGTTGTGTGTGTGTCTGTTGTTGTTGTTGCTTTTCTAAATTCCAACTCATCATCACAGGCTTGGGGACCAGAGACAGATAGGAAAATCACTGGACCAGGAGGAAGGAGACAAAAGTTTTAAATCTCAGGTTAATGATGGGACCAAGAGAGTTCTGAAAAGGGTTGTGAACCTCAGCCACACACTTCCTTGCTCTATAATCTTAGACAAGTTACTTAACTGCCCTTTGCCTCAGTTTTCTCATCTGTTGAAGGATGAGCCTACCTCTCAGTGAATTGTGAAGAACTGAATGAGATTAGGCATCGGAAGTGCTAAGCCTCACACCCAGCACATACGACAAGCCCAATCATATTTGCTATTACTGTTTGTGGCATGGGGCAAGTAAGTCCGCTCCGTTTCTCCAGACCCCTATTTCTTCCTCTTCTCTGTCCATGTAGAAAAAACAAAGGCACATTTTATTGTTTTTAAAATGTAGGTTTTACTAAAAGGCAAATGGATCAAAGTCCAGTTTCCTCCTCCATTAAATTGCAAATATCTTGAAGCCTGGGACCAGAATCTTGCTTTTGTATTCCACCCGCAGCCCCCGACCCTGATCCCCTGCATTGCCTAACAGTGCCTTATACATGGTAGGCATCAATAAATATTTATTGACTTGAATTACCTCTACGTTTAACTTTGTGATAAGGGAGTAAATGAGTGAGATAGTTTTTGTGGGGGCGTTAGGTGAGTCTGGGAGTCTGTTTGAGTGAGAGTAGGTGTGTTTATTAGTGATTTAGTGAGGGGAAGGGGGATGACTGCACATGGATATAAACATTTCTGTAATTACTGAGACGGCTTTAACTGACCCAAGACTTCACAGGAACATAAATCTCTGCCTAGCAGACAGAAGTGCTGTTATTTAAAAAAAAACAAAAACAAAAAACAAAAAAAACCCTTATTCAACCCTCAAATGAATCAGATTTTGAAACTGATCTTCCGAAGATAAGTTCGTGTGAGGAGAAAATGAGATGCATGTTTTCCATCTTTGCCCTTTTTTGCCTTTGTTTATCAAAAATATCAACTAGAAGAGAACTTTTTTGCACTTCAGAAAACAACTAAAATCAACCCCTGCTTTTCTGTGGGGGCTCCACTCATCTCCTCTGTGAATAACACCAAGTACAGATAAAGCTCTTTGAGACAAGCACGGGTATCCAAGACTCTACTTCAGAAACCTAAAATTAAAAACAAATCTAAACAGTGGATATTAACTGTTTTATATATATACATACTTTTTTTTTACATAAAGGAAAGAAAAAATAAAAACACCAAGTGTTTTGCCTGGCTTGTGCATTTGTGATGACTCACTTCAACAAAATTCTAGGGGAGAAAACTCACCTCACTTCTACCTCTAGGAAATTCCCTTTTCATGGGAATGAAAATCTCAACTTCCATGCTCTCAGATCTGGGGACCCATGGTGTGGGGAAGTGGGTCTGTCACCCCACCTTGAAGCTGCAAGCCCTAAGGCAGGCCAGTGCTTTCTTTCTAACCAGATCATATTTTTCGATCTGAACAATTTTATGATGGGGGCTTAAGCAACTTCCTACATTCCTGTTGTTGCTCTTAATTTCTTCTACTTGGACTGAAACCCCTACAGGGAAGCTGTAAAGAAAATAGAATAAATAAAGAAGGAAGAAAATGTTTCTCTTCTCTTTCCTCCCTAAACCCCCCTCATAAACATCCTACCCCAGGTCACAAAATGTATGGTGAGCGTTAAGCCTTGGCAGTATTTTGACACGGTGCGCAGTCCTTTTCTCCTCCCTTTTCCTTTGAGGTTCATCTTGCAGCCCAGGGCTCTGTTCCCCTGCCAACTTGGTGGGAGTGTTTAGTGACTGGAAGGCTGTGGCCTGCTCTCCCCAGAACTTCACACTTCATTTTTCCATATCCCTAGGAGCAGCAGCAAATATTTCACCAGCCTGGTTTGCCGGCTACTGCCATAAATCAGACTTAGGCCTCAAAAAAATATCCAGGCCTGTCAAGGCATTAAGCTTTTATTTTCTGACTCGATCCAGTGGTAAATGAGAGCTTGTATTTTCCTCTAAAACTGTAAAGGGATTTTTAAGGATTGTCGCTGGATGGCTGCCAGCTACGAAAGATACAATACAGAGTGTAACTGGTTAGGAGAGATTTGAAAAAGTCTTAAGTATGAAAAATGTCTTTTCTTAAAGGTTTTTCAGTGAAATGGGAAACAGGGCTTAAATTTCATAAAGACTTTAAAAAAAAAAAGACCCAAACTATTCATGAGAAAAGCATTAGGAAATGGAAGAGTCGTGCTCTTTGAGAAATATGAGTTATACTTGTTCTGCGTGCTCTCTGCCACTGGCCCCCTTTCTTCCTCTCTCTTTCTCAGTGTACATAGATACTTGGGCCGGTTCATTAGTCAGTTCCTGCCATCATTACTGACGATATGACAGCAAGAACAAACAGACTGGACAGTTTTATGTGCTGTATATTAATTGCTTCATAATTTAGGCCTGCAAACAGGACAGTGAGGCAAGTCTACTTGGAAAACCCCCTGCTTAATATTCTAAGCAAGCTTGCAAGGTGCAAATCATGCCTATGAGATCACTTCTGAATATTTCCCCTGGATGAGTAATCAAATCTTAAACTCCAAATGCTGAAAGCCAAAGCCTTCTTGCAGTTGGAAGAGAGATGGAGTTAAAATAGGTAGGTATTGCACCAAAACACCATGTCCAGGAAATCTGGAAAAAGGTGCAAGAAACCAGGCTAAGATCAGGTACTAGGTGTAGAAAAACAGTCTGCTTAGATTTTGTGATGTGTCATGTTTCATTGAGGTACACATTTAATTTCAGTAAAATATAATTAAGTGAGAGTAAACATAATCTTTCCTCTGCCCAGTCCAGTCCAGGTTATTGCATACACTTGCAGCCTGGTGTCACAAGGAGGTGTGGGAAGTGGGGGACGAAATAACTAAGGAAATAGTGAACCTCTATTTACAAAGGTTTCAAGGTAGCATTTAAATCAGGATGAGACCAATCAAGACAGTAGCAGTGCCATTTAGGCAAGGTGATCTGATTCTGCACTCAAGAGAGCTGGGGATGAGGTAAGTGGGAGTGATGGGAACACAACACCAATGGGATGTGGGAAGAGGAGACCAAAAATGAGTAGAAAGGAGTATCATTATAAGGAGGGTAGGGGGAGGAATAGACTGCCACAGCTGACTTTGCAAGGACGCCATAGACCATCCACCCTATTGGTGAAGTTATTTATGTAAACCTCTCACACTCCAACCTCAAGATGATTATTTGTGTTAAATCTTGGGTGTTCTCAAGGCGGGGCATTGTTTTCCTGTGTGTTGCTCTTTCTTCTTGAAGGAGTTCAGAAGAACCTGAAACCAGACTTTCTGGCCTAACATAGTTTGAGCAATGGTTTGAATGTTGGTATAATCCCAGAATGGATCCTCTTCTGAAGTCCATTCCAGCTGATCTCTCTCCACTACTCCCAACCTTTCAGTGGCACATGGAGCCGAGCTATGGGTGTCTGAAGCCTCTCCAGGAGCACGCCTCACCTCCAGCCTCCCACTCAATGATCTATCACACCCTTCCATTAGCTCTTTAACTTGCCAAGGTTTCTCTTGCCTCTGGTCTTTTCCTTCGTCCTGTGACATCACCCCCAAAAGTCTGCAAACGGTGGTCCATGGACCAAATCTAGCCTACCACCTGTTTTTGTATGGTCCACAAGCTAAGAATTGGTTTTTTTTTAATATAAAATTGAAAGAAGAATACTTTGTGACATGAAAAACTTATAGGAAATTTAAATTTCAATGCCCATAAGTTTTATTGGAACACAGCCATGCTCACTCGTTTACATATTGCCTCTGGCTGCTTTCACAGTATGACAGCACAGTAGAGTAGTTGTAACAGAGATAATAGGACCTGCAAATATTAACTATCTGGCTATTTACAGAAGGTTTGCCAACACCCTGTTGTCCCTCTCCTGATCAACCCCATCACATTGAGCCTGACTGACCCCTCGTCTTCCTTGACATCACCTTTCGGACTCACTCCCAGGCTAGCTGCTCCTGCCTTGCACACACTACACTTCATGCATAGTGAATATTTTGTACACTGAACTCATTTCAAAATGGTTTTCATTCAAACTACAAACTGGCTAAAACTACTGGATGAAAACATAGTAAAAGTCATCAATCAATCATAAAAAATACCCTAATTGAAATCTGGAATAATAAATCTAGAAATGTTCATAGGGGTTATCCATAAGGAGTAGTATGGGTGAGTTTAACATACTTTTGATTATCGATATTTTATAAATTTTCATAATGTGTATTTTCTAGATTCTCTCTATAATGTACATGTTCTAAATTTGCTATACATTCATAATGTGTAAATATTATATAAATATTATTTTTAATGGAACTTTTACAAAAATGTGTATTGAGCACCTTTTTCATGCAAGGCACTGAGCTAAGCACCATGGAAGATACACACATTTTGCCTGTTTGGGTTGAGTATTCAAGAAAGCAACTATTATTTGCTGAGGAAATGTGTTTAGGTATTATCAGATAATATATATGTGTCTATGTATATGAGCCCCTAGTTTATTCCCTCTTCCCAGGGTTATCCACTTACTTACTGTAAGTCCTTGAATATGTCTATATCATTTTTAAAAATGGAGTATACATGTTTTACTTTACATTGAAGGTATTCTGCTATAATATCATCCTTTCATTTTTACACACTTTAAAATAGTTTGTTTGTTAATTTCCCAAAAACGTTTGGGGGATCTTCTGTGAGGTCAATTCCCAGGTATGTTGTGGGTTTAGCTGTCATTGTGAGTGGTATTTCATGTTCTATCATCATTTCTCAATGGTAACTGCTGGTGGATAACGAATCTTGAACCAGGCAATCTTGCTGGGGAAGGGAAAATATAAATAACACAATGAAGGAGACTCTTACTGATCTGTGTTGCAAACTCTGGAGTTGGGTCTGCACCTGTGGTCTAAGAGGCTGGGGTAGGGTGTGGCAGGGTGAGAGTGGGGGTGGGGGGCCTCTCCATCTGTCACTGATGGTGTGTTCCACGCTTTTCATAACTGAGACTTCTGCAGGCCTGCTACGTGTGCACCTGGCATGTCCTGACACCACACCACTGCCCCACTGACTATCCAGCACACAGGCACTGCCCACGAAGTAAGCTATCATTTCCTTAAAAATCCCTAAACTTCCTCATATCTTTCTACAGAGTCTCACTGAGGCTCTAAGCCCATAATCTCTCCTGTAAATATATTGGCAGGAAGCAGCCCTGGCTCTGTCCTCTCTCTCCTTAAGTGGCATTTGTGCCCTCCAAGCTATCCTGGTAGGTTTAAGATGGCCTCCAGGATCTGGCAGATGGTATTGGATGGAATTCATTATTCTAGGGCACACCTATTGGTTCAATAACATCTGAAGAACTGTGGAATGATCTGAGCATCAAAGGTTTCGGGTCTTGGCTTGTCCCTCTTATCACCACCACCATCATCTCTGCTAAGTCATTCCATTGTTATCATAACTTCTTAGCTCCCCAGTGATTTACTAACTATGCCATTTTGCAGGTATAAAATGAGCTGGACAATATATACTCTTTGTCCACATCCATGGAGTGCTGGGAATAAGTTTTTGAGAGCCTTGTCAAAAGACTCTAGGTAGTCAAATCCTCCTTAGCTAATGTTTGTGCAGGAATAAGAAATGCTAACTCTTACTAGCTGGGTTCAACTTTTTCCCCACTGACTTGCCTTCTAAATGCAGTGAGTCATCCAATACCTTCAATAACTACAGCAGTGGCTCTCGATCACCTGGGAGCTTAGAGCACATACCTACACGTGGACCCCACCCCAGAGAAACTGAATCAGAATTTCCCTATCTATCTGCTGTGCCAAGAGTGTCATGTTCTGCTCTCTGAGACCAAGTAGAACACTTGGGTGGGGGTGAAGGAGCGGGGTGGAGAACCTGTCCTCTGACCCCACCTTTCTCTAACCACATCTAAGTGAAAAACCACAAAACCAAGTAAACAGGCAACTGAGGGTTGATACAGTGATTGAAAAGGGGCGGGGGTGTGGGGTAATGAGGATGGATAAAGACAAGAGACCACATCACATTAACAGAGTCTTTCTCAAATTCAGACCTCACACTCCATGGTGGAAGGGATCTTCGGGTGCCAGGGTCAAGTTGCTGACACTGCCCTGGGAAGGACTGTACCCTGCCAGTGTCCAGGCTGGAGGGGCTGAGCTCAGCTAACTAGAGGCTTCAGCACCCTTTCCTCCCTGCACCCTCCAGGGGGCCCTCCCGCCCCTCCCTGGTGGCCCCCCCAGCCTCGCACACGCTCTTCATTATCACCACCGTTGCCTGTGCTTCTCGGGTGTTCCACCCATCTCTGGTCTCCGCCCTGAGTGAGGGGATTAACTTCCTGCAATGCCACAGCTGCAGCAGGCTGTTTCTGCAACGGGCAGCAGGGGGGCCACATGGCCCAGGAGGATGTGTATCCAACAACTAAGGGTGCTGAATACTCATTCTGGGGGAACTTGGGGTGGGAGAGTTTGCTCTCTGGGGCATTTCTGAGAAAGGGGGAAATTGGCATTTGGAGGCCTTGTCTGACACCTTCACCATAGTTACCAAAAAACAGAAAGAACGTTGCTGCCATCTCCATTATCCTCCTGAAGTGGCTTCTCTTTCCCCATGCGGTTCCTCTTTGCTTCCTCCCCATAATAAGAAATGCCTTTTATTGAATGCTGGCCATGTACCAAGTGCATTCATGTGCTCTCTTCAGTAATATTCTGTTTGTAGATGAAGAAACTGGGGCCGACGGAAACGAGACTCAGCTTGTTAGTAAAGTCAGAGGTGGTGCTCAAAGGGCCTGACCATCATTAACCAAATCCATCAGAACTCAGAGCCATGTGGGCAATTCTGATGGGAGCAGCATAAGCAAGAGTTGGGAGCACCCACAGGCTTTGGATCAAACAGTTACTTAGCTCTTCAGTTTCCAACCTCATCTGTAAAAGAGGACAACAGCACCTACTTCATAGGGTTGTTTGAGGAAATAACACAGGAGGGACATTTAAGACCAAGTCAGGTGTAGCATGGGAGCTTCATAAAGTAGCCATTTTATTATTAATCTCATTGTTAGTTTTAGAAATATAACTGCCAAACATTTACTCACTCATTCAGTAAATATTGATAGAGGGCCCTGTACCCATCACTAAGGTACATCTGTGAACCAAAAATCAAGCGTTACTATCAGTTGATGGGTTCATTCTCACCCCAGTTGGAAAGCCCACTGTGGAAAGCAGGTCACCATTGGAAGGTTGCCTGGAAATTCTGGGATTGTCAGAGGACAAGGACGAGTGTTTTGAGATGAAGTGGCCACCTCTCTTCCAGCATCCTTGAATACTGGAACCAAGGCTCAGGATGGTCTGTCCCATGAACAGGAGGGTTGTGGGGAGGAGAAGAGACCAATCCTTATTAAGCACCTTCAGGTAAGATTCCTGAAACTCCTGATACAGCAAATGCTTGTAGGAGGCACTTGAGATGCTCTCAGAGGCCATGAAGTCAAAGCATTCAATAGCACAGACTGACACGTAAGAGAAGATATAGTCCTGTGCTGAAGAACTCCAGGTCTGGAGTCAAATTTCTTCGCTTCCCATTGTCTACACCCCTAGCTAGCTTGGGTGCTCTGAGCAAGTGGTTTATTCTCTCAGACTTGATGTCCTCAGCTAGAAAACAAATGGAAATGATAGAATCACTGGTCTCATAAAATCTGGAGGTGTCAATGGGAGGATATGTAAAAAGAGACTCAACAAATTTTACCCATTACTATGATCTGTCAGTCTTTCTTACTACTCCAAGAAGAAAGTCTGGGTGTGCTGGTGAGTCCAACACTTTCTAATCTTCCCTTTAACAGGAAAGGAGCAATCCTCAGGCCCACAGCCTTCTACAGGTAAGATAACCTCGTTAGGACTTCATGACATTGCTTTATTTTCATGGTGTGCGGGGGGGAGACAGGATGATTGTCTTCTAATTATGGCAAGTGATACTGGTTTTTTTCTGATAATGATAGAAAGCTTCCTTTTAAAATAAACATTTCAATAAAAACAAATCAACTTCAATACAAATGTTAAAGAAATAATAGAGCAGGTGGATACAGCAAACATCTTAACTGTGGCATCCAAATGACTGAAGTTTGGGAAACAATGACAGAACAGCCCCCATGCCACTGCTTTTGGCCTCCAGTTAGAGATGAGAGGCTCCAAAAGCCATGCTTTGAGCCTCATTCTAACTATCTCTAACATCACTGTCCTTTCCTAATATGTCCCATCAACAGAAATATGCCTTTGCTTCCAAGCCACTCCAAAGAGACCACTGCACTTCAGCCATTTCCTCCTTCGTGTACCAGTGCTGTACATTTCACCCCCTGCACTCCAGGCTGAGGGATATGGCCCAGTCCCCTGACAGGATCAAGTTGCTTCTTGAGTCTTCTTAGAAACACAACTATACCCTGTTTCTAGGTGTGGTCTACTTTTGCACATAGCTAACCCCACTCACAGGGTATCAATTCCAACTACTTCCTTCCTCAGGCAGCAATTTTGGCACCTTTTTTGTACCCACTCATGTTCCAACCACACACCCGAGATGAATGAGCATCTCATCAAGTTGGGGAGGCCAAAGCCACTGAAGGATTCTGTTTCTACTGTAGCTCTCATTACTGTTTCTCACATTAGAGCACATGTCACTCTGGGAATGCATCGCTGGATTAAAGAGTATTCTTTCACATAGTCATAATTATGGGTCCTAGAAGTCAGTGAACTAGGGAGTCCAGGGGATATGGATGAGAATAAAAGATGAGAATCATAGAATTTAGATGTACAAGTTCCCTAAAACTACACAGTCCCACTCTTCTGCTTTACCCATGAGGGGAATGAAGCTGGGAGAGGTTAGTTGACCTGCCCAAGGTCACATGCATCCCAGTCAGAAAACTACCATGTTCCCCTTTGGGCTTCTGAACCCAATTTGACCCTGGACCTCACTAAAAATTCTCTCCATGTCTTCTTTCTTCAATGGATAATTTAAAATAGAAATAATAATAAATATAACACCTCATTGTATATGTGTAGCACCTTTCTTCCAATAAGTGGTGTTCTTTCAGCTTGCCCACCCATGCTGCACAGAACGGAAGTGTTTCCACTATGGACTCTGGTGTTGGTTATTGACTGGAGCCCAACTTCTAGCCCACACACATACCACTATCAAAGATATAGCTCAGAGTACAGGCCCATGTCTGTTATTATTAACTACTCAAGGGGTAGTGTTTAAAAACAAAAGACCCTCCCCAACATAATACACATGAAAAATATGTTTAGAAAGCTTAAATCTTAACTATTTTAAAAATTAACTATTTTTGTTTTAATTGGATAGTTATTTGATTCTCCATGGAAGAACAGGCTCTTTTGTGTTGTTAGTAATAGGTTGTACTAATATTGATAGTAGAATAGTGGCAGCAGTAATAGTAACAATCATCATTTATTAAATGTCTACATGGAAGGCATTTATATCCAGTCTTTTATTTAATCCTCACAAAAATCTTAATGATATGTGTTTTTTCACCTTACTGAGGAAATAAATGAAAGTTCAGAGACATAATTTACCCAATATGCAAAAAAGTGAGGTCTTACCTTTTTGACAATAGAGTAGACATGATTTTAAGAAAAATCCCTCACTATACTAGGAAAAATATAAAAAAAATTTTAAATGTATGACAGATCTATCTAGAAAGTAATTCCTTGGGCCCCATGAATGATCAGAATGCCCAAATCCAGAGTCATCATCAAGTGATGGAGTCAGCATTTCCTGCACATGAGAGAAAAAAATCTGAAGCTCAAGGTGAGTGAAATATCAGAATGGAGACCCACAAATAAGCCAATATCATGGAAAGGCAACACTCCATTGACGGAGCTAAAAAAACATCTATCCCACAGAACAAGGTGGAGATACATGACTGGCTTGGTCTTGACTCTGAGTAGAAAAAAAAAAAAAAAACAAAGAAAGAAAAAGAAAAAGTTCCCCCTCCCTATTTCTAACTACAGATGTGTAGGTTTATAACTTTGGGCCTGAATATACACAACAAATGTGGCTAAAATAAAACTCTACAAAGTTAAATTGATTCCAAGTTGGTGATAAATGGAGCCTCAAAGAATTACTACATATTATTAAGTTACAAAGAAAATGAGCTCTGTAGAAAAAAAATCAGTAATAAAAAGTAAATAAACAACTCTGAGTGAAAGTCAGCAGAAACAATAAACTCTACAATCAGACCTTCAAAGACCACAGATACTGGAATTATTCAAATATAGAATATACAATTAGTATGTTTAATAGGTTTATAAATATGAGAGGAGATTGAAACTATGTGAAAGGTAAAAGAGACTATCAAAATTAGCCACATTTGAAAAGTACCAAACAGAAATTTAGAAATTAAAAATGTAATAAATGAAATAATTTAAATAAATAGGGTAAACATTAAAATCAATGAACTTTAATACTGAAGAGATTACACAGAATCTAGTAGTAAAAAAAGCAATGAGAAATGTGAAAAATGGTGAGAAAATGTAAAGAATAATTTGAGAATGTTTTATAGGAAGCAATAAAGAGAATGGGGAGAAGCAATATTAAAAGAGATAATAGCTAAGAATTGTCCAGAGTTAATGAAAGACACCAGTGCACAAATTGAGAAAGCCTAGAGAATACCGAAGAAATCCCTGCCTAGATATACCATAGTGAAGCTGCAGAACAACAAAGACAAAGAGACCTTAAAAGCAATCAGAGAGAACAGGTAGATTGTCTGAAAAAGAATGATCAGGTCATAGCTGAGCTCTCAAGACCAGCAGGGAAAATTGAATGACTTCAGATCAACCAACTAATGTCAAATAGCTATCTAGAATTCTAAACAAAGAAAGCTATCTTTCCTTTAAAAAAAAAAAAAAAGAGGGATGGTCAAAGAAACACAATTTCAAACTATCACAAATTGAGAGACTTTATTAACAGAATATTGTCATTGTAGAAACATCTAAAGGACATTCATTTTAGAAAGAAATCATCCCAGAAGGTAGATCTGCATTGCAAGTGAGTCAATGACAAAGATAAAAGTAAACATGTGGATAAATCTAAACAAACACTTATATGTACCAAACAACAATGTCTAATTTATGAATCTTTAAAAATCAAGAGATAATTAAAATCTGGATAACTTCATGTAAAATTTAGAGATGAATACTTAGATTTCAAGAGTTCTTTGTTTCTTGTATTGTTCAGAAAAAGCTTATATTAATTAGCTTTCAATTAAATTATGTTAAAGTTGCATATTAAAATTTTTAGGGTGGAATAGAGGGGAAAAATGGAATTCAGAGTTGAGTGAATAAAACCAATCAATCCAAAACAAGGAAGCAAAGGAGAAAAAAAAAACATATAGAAAAAAAGGTAAATATTACTATAAAGTACAAAATAAGATGGTAGAAATGAATCTAAACAGTTTGGCTATTACAAATGATATAAATGGCCTAAACTCTCCACTTAAAAGAATGACAATCAGACAAGCGCCTGACCTGGAGGGAGTTGTTAGTCCAAGTTGAGAAGTGGGGAAAAGGTTCAAAAGGTAACCCAAGCAGCACCAAGTCACATAGTGCTTTCAAAGTTTAGCTGAGGCCTTTGACTTCAAAGCTGTGCTGTTGAAGCATGGAGCAGGAGATTGCTGCTTTTCATTGTAAGACTTCTTATTATTGTTTGAATGAACTTTCATTTAGCATATTGATGAATTACAAGGATAAAATATTTAAAGTTAACAAAGAAGAAAAAATAGGGAACAATTCTTTGGTTTGAATATATATATTTTTATATATGCACACACACACACACATACTGTTATGCATTGTTTAACAATGTGGATATGTTCTAACAAATGCATCATTAGGTGATTTCTTCATTGTGTGAACATCATAGAGTGTACTTACACAAACCTAGATGGACTAGCCTACTACACATCTAAGCTATATGGCATAGCCTATTGCTCCTAGGCTACAGACATATATGGCATGTTATTGTACTAAATACTACAGGAAATTATAGCATAAAGGTAAGTATTTGTGTATCTAAACATAGAAAAGATAATGTGTTGCACTATGACGTTATCATGGCTAAGACCTCACTAGGTGATAGAAATTCTTTAGCTCCATTGTAACCTTAGGGGACCACTGTTGTATATGCAGTTCTTCATTGACTAAAACATCATTTTGCAGTGCATGACTGTGTGTGTGTGTGTGTGTATGTGTGTGTGTGTGTATATATATATATATGTATGTATGTATGCATATATATGAGATAGTTTCCTTTATATATTTATGTATTGTTTGAATTTGGGACAATAAGTAAGTTTACTTTTTTACAATTAACAACAACAACAAAAAACTCGGGCTGTGGTGACTCACGCCTATAATCTCAACACTGGTGAGAGGATTGCTTGAGGCCAGGAGTTCAAAACCATCCTGGGCAACATAGCAAAACCTATTGGTGTGGTGGTGCATGCCCATAATCTCAGCTTCTTAGGAGGCTGAGGCGGGAGGATCACTTGAGCCCAAGAGTTTAAGTCTGCAGTGAGCTGTAATCACACCAATGTACTGCAGCCTAAGACACAGAGTGAGACCCTGTCTTAAAAAAAAAAAAAAATCTTAAAAATAGGCAATGGGATACTGTAGATTTTTTAGTCAGGAAGGGCTTGAGAATAAAATATTATGTGGGAAGTAGAGAACAAGATGGATTTAGAGATCAAGAGACAAAAACTAGAACCAGAGAAACAAATCAAAACAACTAAAATAATTGTCTGGGACAGTGTCATAAATGCAAGATAGAAGGAATGGATAAATCTAAAAGAAGCAACAGAACTTCTTCACTATTCTTGTTCTTGCAGGTCAGTCATAGGAAGAACAATTGAGTGAAACTGAAGGAAGAGGCAAAAGTGACTTAATGATGATAACAGTGCCTGCTCTACTCTGCTTCTGCAGAAGACTCACTTACTGGACATTCTGGAGCATTCATACAGAATAGTGAACCCCTCCCCGATATCTTCCATATCTTCCCTTGCTAGGCATAACAGAGGATGAAGCACCACTACGGTCTTGAGAGCCTCCTAAAACACAAGTCAATTTGATTAGAATGAAAAAAAATCCTCTTTTGCATGTCCTCCAAGGACCCTCCCTAATTCCAGTCCACAACATTAGAGGCTCTGGACCTTCAGATAAATTGTTGGAAGGGATGGAGAAGTACTCCAACCATGCCATGGGTTCTCGAATGGGGCTGCCAAGTGTACCCTCTGTGCCCTAGACCAGGAACTTCCTGGAGTCACATTGTCCAGTGGTTAGATACAAGATCTTAAGCAACCAAAAGGCAAGGAATCAGTTACCTGGAAATGGAGGCAACTTTATAATCATTTTCACAACCTGTAGAATGGTATCCAAACTGGCCATTCCCTAGGCCTTCTAGAGCTCCACTTGTGTGGCCTACGTAAGTCACTTAGCCTCTCTGAGATTTAGTTTCCTCATCTGTAAAATGGGGATGGCAGTAACAGACTTCTAAAGGTTTGTTGGGTGGCTTCAATGGGATGATAATATAGAAATTACCTGGCACAGTGATTGGCCAATCTAATAATTCAATACTTATTTTTAAAAATTAATTTTGTAAAAAGTGAAGATAAAGAAAACCCTTCCATTTCTGTAGAAATGCTAGTGGAAATGTAAAGGAAAGAAGAGAGAGAGAAAAAATAGAGGAGAAGTAGAATCAATAGGACTGAAGAGAGGGGATGAAAGAAATGGAATCTTCAGGAATTAGAATGTTAAAGCCTGGCCTATTATGGAAATTACTTTATCAGTGATCAAAATAAAGATGTCAGAAGGGAAAGACTTGTCTCTGCAGTGAAGCTGTAAGATCTTGAAGGCAAGAAATGTGCTCCCTTGTGCTCACTGCATTGAGCATAGGTCAAACATTTTAGTTCTAAAAAACAAAATATTTGCTGCATAAATAATGAATAATGAATATGTGCTGCATAAATCATTGAAGAGTGGATGAACAAGTGGGAGAAAGGGAAAAGGAGAAAGAAAAAGAGATGGGAGAGAAAGGGAAGGAAAGAGAGAGAACAAACCATAATGTGACGCAGGTACTGTCTCCTGGAGCTGGGAAAGCAGCTCCTCCACATGGAGGAGGCCACCACTGTGGCGTCTTCCACCCCTTTGGTCTCTTCTCAAGCAAGATGGGATTCTGAACCTTGAGGCTACCTGCATATTATCAACCAGAATCCTTTACGAGTAGCCAGCACTGTTCTTGAGCTTCTTCTGTGCTCCTTCATAGCATTTCCCAAGGTCTGAGCTCTGAGAAACAACCAGAGAGCTAGAAGTGTGCCTAAAGAAATGCGGCCTTCACTGGCTTTGCTGGTTACAGGTACTCAGACACGACCAGCCCTGAAGCTTTTGTGCCTGCGCTGCTCCAGACTTAGCTTCCACAGGAAGCCCGTCCGTTCCCATGGCATTAGCCGACTTCCACTCTACTCTCACTGGTAAGGACAGTGGTAGTTAATAACCTTGTATACAGAGTCAGGAAATGGAAGGAGTTATTTATTTTCCCTGAAGACAGTTTGTTCTTTTGATAAACTACAGTTTTATATAATTTTATTAATGCCAATAGTAAATTGTGTTTTCTCATGACTAAGCTTCCTCCTCCCACCCTCCCAACCCCCTTTAGACTTTGGCTATAAATAGAAAGCTCTTTGTTCTGTCTCCTCTGGGCAATAATTACAAACATAAACTGGGGAGAAGCCCTCATGTCTTTCCACATCTCTTGGTTATTTCTCCACAAGTAGGCAGTCACACAAACAAACAGCCTGCTCTGTTTGTGTTTTCTCTGCAGTCACAATTCTTCCACTGAATGTTTATGCATTCCAGCATCTCGAGAACTTCAGGACCGAGATAGATGGTATCTTAATATGCGTTTGAACATGTGCACTTAATGTGCTTGGTTAATTGGAGTAATTAGTAGTCTTTTCATTCCAAGGCCGTTGCTGAAATTAAAACGGGGCTGTTATTTCTTTTAATGGACTAACTGAAGAATTATTATTTTGAAAGTGAATCAAGACTGAAGGATGCGAAGTTCTGTGCTCCAAAAGAGGAGGAAGGGACTGGAATTCTAAGGATCTGAACATCTTTGGGGAAAGTTCCCAGCCTCATTTACTCCCTCCAGATATCACAATACCCAGGGTGATATAATTTATTACCCAACCCAGGACACTTTTGAGAATAAAATGGGGCCTGTTTACTGATTTCATCGGGATAACTGTCCTAAACAGAGTGTTCCAGCAAACCGGAGTATGAGCACTCTACCAACACTTCACGTGGGTATAGCTGTATACACAGGGGACTAGCCATTTGATACCATCTGTTTCTCACACACATCCATGAGGGAAGAATCATTCCCATTTAACAGACAATGTAACTGGGGCTGAATATAGCTCAGCGACTTGCCCCAGGCCCACCAGGAAGTGGATAAAGCCGTGCTCAACCCAGCACTTCTTCAAAGCCTTATTCTTTGTCTGCCACACTGACCCGCGCTGATTCCTTCTGGTCAGCCAAGAATGGCACAGGAGTGGGCTGGTAACATGTGAGCATGTGCAGCTGAACTGGAAGGTGGCCAGGAGCTGAAGTAGCAGAGGGCAGAGCTGCATTTCAAGAGGAGGCAGCAGGGCATCCCGGCCAGGAAGCCTCACAGGCAGCCAGGTGGGTTGCCAAAAGAGGCTGCTCCCTTGGTGTTCTGGACCAGCTTCTGACCCTTAGGCGTGGAAGTGTCTCAAATGAGCTCCAGGGGTCCTGTGTGACCAAAGGAGCTTAATTGCAAAGGCACCAGCTATTGTGACAGAATTTTTGAGACGATAACTTTCAACAAGTTCCTGGACTGAGAGGGCTGGCCGTAAAGTGGGCGTGGTCTATGGGCTGTCATAGTTACCGTCTTCTGTGACGTATCAAAAGGGCATTGTTGATGCTCTCATTTCCACCATTTGATACCATCTGTTTCTCACACACATCCATGAGGGAAGAATCATTCCCATTTAACAGACAATGTAACTGGGCCTGAATATAGCTCAGCGACTTGCCCCAGGCCCACCAGGAAGTGGATAAAGCCATGCTCAACCCAGCACTTCTTCTCTCTACCTTCCACCGATCCTGCCTGCTCATCTTCCCTCCTTGGTGAAGGCATGTGTGCTGTGCTCTGCTTAACTAATTTCCCTCAGATATTCGCATTTCTGTCTTTACAATTTGGCATCCCAGTGAGGTTTCCCTTTGTATATTTTCCGGTTCCTATATTCCCATTATTCAGGTATCATCACTCAATAACCATTTGACAGCAGTAATGCTTTTCACATGGAAAGAATTGGGTTTTTATTGATGGCAAATGTTGTGATGAACTTTCATGCCCACTTGGAGCCGGAGCACTTTTTTATAGAATGAACCACAATGAGAAGCGTTTCCAAGAAATGTCTTTGGAGTGTGGACTGAGATGTACGTTTAGGAACAGGTCCTGTGGCCAGAGTGGGGAGAGAGGGGGCTTCCCATTGTCAAAATCTCATCAATCAAAATGTATAATAGCAACATTATTAATAACCCTATAGTTGCATTGCACTTGGTGCTCTTCCAAGCACTTCCCTAGAATCCTAAAATGAAGGCAGGGCAGATATTATATCCATGTTACAGGTTAAACAACATTGTAACAGGACTGATAACACCATGAATGAGAAGTCATTTGATCAATGGGTAAGTGTCTCATGAGAAAGAGACTTTTAGTAGGCCTGAAATCTGTCTTTGGGGGTCATAGATGCTCTCTGTAGGAGTCCTTCCAAGGCTAAACTCTTATCAAGATCCCTTTTGTCCAGTCCAAATATAAAAGCATGGCCACTATGTCCAGGCATGGTGCTCCACCTGCAATGAAATTAAGCATCCTGACACCTAATCCAGATACAGTGAGGAACCAGGAATTATTTCACAACATATGCCATTGGCACATGTTATGGCAAACAGAATGTGAATGCCGTGTATCGACTTCCCAGGCTAGGCTGGAAACACTATGGACAAAATACACAGGGCATTCTGCACTGGATCTAACAAAAGAATGGCAAATGCTGTGTGATGGAGGTGGTGATGCTAATGAATCACATCTGCATTACCAAATAGGCTAGTTTGGGTCCTAGGCCACCCCTGTACTCCTCAGAAGCCAGTCTTGGCACTTGCCTTGGTGAAAAAGAGAATTAAGCAATTAGACAGGAACTTGCAAACCAGCTAGGACTACCACCATCACCATTTTGTTAATATGGAAGATAAAGCCTCAAGACTGAAGAGACTTGCCCTAGTAGCAGGATTAGCCAGGGCAGAGTGGCGCTAAGAATGCAGGCCCCTGGCAGAGAATGCCACCCAGCCTCCCACATTGAGTCAAGAGATTTTCTAACTCATCATGACATCTCTTCTTCATCCTTAACCCGGAATTACCCTTATTGGTGGTCTGCAGCTGGTAATTAGGGACTCAGCAGTCTGAGTTAAGAAGAGGATGCCTTTCCTACATATTTGGCTTCTCCATGCTCCTCCCATCCTCACTACTATTGCATAGTGCAGCAGGTGTCCATGCCCTTCATTGTGAGGAAGCACCTGCCCTTACGGAAAGCTCCCTGAACAGCAGGTTGTGCAAGGAGCACTGTGAGGCTGGTATGAACCCACAGGATGTTGTAACTCAATAGGGGAATGCATGATCCACATGCACCTGGCACACCCCAGCTGGCTCACCATGGCCTGTGTCCTGATAGCTCAGTCTCAGGCTCATACATGTTCCAAACACACCAGATTACCCAGGAGTGTGCCTAGAGGAAAGGTGCTTTTTTTTTCTAAGCCACCTGCTTCCATTACCCATGGTTGTCCTTCCCCAGGTCCATAGCCTCATGACTTCTGTCAGTAATTGGTTCAGAATGTAATACTCGGACTCTCTGGAGCTCAGATCTTTTGTCATTTCAAACCTAACCCTCCCTGGCTCATGTTTCAAGGGATGTTTTTCCTGTCCTGCTTGGTTTTCCTGTCTGCTTTTTGCATTTTGGCTGGCTTATGAAATGTCCTATTTCATTCTAAACCAACACGCTGCTCCTATATCAATTCAATTTCAGTCAAAGAATATTGAATAGAGGGCACACCTAGACCGTCATTAGCTTCTATCCATCCTAAGGTTGTAGAAAATTCCATCCAATGGATCTACAGCTAACTGCCCATGCTGCATGCAAGCTTCTTAATTTATATTTTGCTTGGCAAACAAAATAACTCAGGGGACTTTCCTCTTCCTCCATACTTCCCCTCAGAACTCAACCATCTCATGCTCCTACTACCATGGTTGACGAGGAAGCTGAGCCACCAGACAGAGCAGTGGTGACCTACAGAGCCGTGCTTTCATGACCATATGGCCTCTCAGCCGCGGGACTTGCCACACTGTCCCATACAATCCTCTGTCATTTTAGTATCTGTCACTGCCAGGTCTTCTTCACACCAGCTTGTGAGAAAAAATGGTGCATCACTTCTCAATCCTGGTTTTAGTGACATCATATTGATAGCTTGAACTTTGCCATATTTACATCACAGAAATCAGTAAACACCATTAAAAAGGCTTTTGTTTTCTTCCTTTTTTTTTTCTCAGAGAGCCAGTTATTAAACATTTACCAACATGTGCAAGAACGGGTTTCAAGGCCGAGGTGGGCAGATCACAAGGTCAGGACTTTGAGACCAGCCTGGCCAATATGGTGAAACCCCATTTCTACTAAAAATACAAAAAAATTAGCCAGGCGTGGTGATGCATGCCTGTAATCCCAGCTACTCGGTAGGCTGAGGCAGGAGAATTGCTTGAACCCGGGAGGCGGAGGTTTGCAGTGAGCCAAGATCGCGCCACTGCACTCCAGCCTGGCAACAGAGCAAGACTCCGTCTCAAACAAAACACAGCACAACAAAACAAAAAAGAACGAGTTTCATAGTGAGAAACAGCGGAGAAACCAGCTTACCTGGTGGGCCTTGAGTGGCCCCTACAAACTCCAACCTGTTCAAGACTCATTTGCCACGTTGTACCTTCCAGCCAAGGCAATCCCCCCAGCCTGAGCTACTTCCCAGACCAGACCACAGAAGCAAGGCCATGCTCACCGAGGACCCCACTTGTGGACTAGACTTCTGTCCTGCTGTGGCCTCAAAAGCAATAGCCAGGGCCCCATGATGAAGCTGCCATCAGAAGCACAGGTGTGCCTGGCAAGGACACAGGAGGACCACGGCTCCATGCCGATGAGAATGGCAGCTAAGTCTGAAGCTTTCTATGATTTAGATTCCTGGTTGCGAGAGGGAGCCTATAGGAATGGCGAGAAGAGTGAGAACTTTGCAGAGGCAGCAAGGTGAGTTTAAACTGGAAACTATGAAGTTCCTGGGTTTGGGGCTTTCACTTTTTCACCTCAAAGTTCCAGGAGAGCGCTGTTCTAACTCAAGAAAACCCAGGCCAGGTGGACTCCACTATTGTTCCGTGGGTTCCCCTGACAAAGACCCCAACTTCCCTCTCACTCAGCTTCCCATTTTAGGTAAAGGATCTCAAAGGAAGAGTGGTGGGGGGCAGTTCAGAAAGAAAGAAGGAAGAGGATGAGAAACAGAGGATGGAGGTCAACACAGCCAGAAGCAGAGGAGGAAGGCATAGGAAATAACACCTTTGCTCTGGTAACCAGAAGGAAGGAAGAGTTGGGTGGGGCTGGGGAGAGGACAAGGGCAGAGGCAAATGCCACCATGTCACACGTTTCCACCATGAAGGCTTTCTCAGCTCGAATCCACTCTGCACCCTGCAGCCAGATGAACACTGCTTTCCCTGGGCCATTGACAAAAACCTTCAGTGGCTTCCTAGGGCCCCGGTCATTCGCTTCATACCTAAAATCTCCCTTATCTGGCCCCAGTCTCCCTTTTCGAACCAGGCTCCTCTTCTCTTCCCTGGGCCTCTCCTAAAGGGGTCCTATTCTTAGACATCCAAGCCTTTGCACTCACTGAGCTGGGTTTTCTTGAATTAGAACAGTCCTCTCCTGGAACTTGGAGGTGGAAAAGTGAAATACATGAGTGAATGAATGAATGAATGAATGACTTACTCTTAATATATTAATTTGACCCGCAGAGGTCTAGTCTATTCCAAATTAAGAGAGGAAAGAGACATGACAGCTAATGCAATATGGGATCCTTGATCAAATCAGAGAATTTTTGTTAAAGAGCTATGAAGAATATTCTTGAGCTAATTTGAAAATTTTAATATATTGCTGTTTAGTATATTTAATATTATTTTACGTATTAACATATTTTAATATTTAAATAATACACAATATTAATAATAGATAATATTATTTTATTAAAGTTTCTTTGGTGTGATGTCATGTTTTGGAGATGTATATATATAAATATATCTATATAGATATATCTATATAGATATATAGATAGATATACAGATATATAGATATATATAGATATATAGATATATAGATATGTAATGAGTATTTATGCCTAAAGTGTCATGATATCTGAAACTTACTTTAAAGTGGTTGAGGGGGGAAAATAGAGAAAGAAGAGAGAGAGAGATGCAGTGAGATGTTAATTGGTGAATAATCTAGGTAGAGTATTTATTGTAAAATTCTTTCAAATTTTCTGAAAGCTTAAAAGTATTCTAAATAAAAATTTGGATTAAAATTAATATAACAGGCTGGGCTTGGTGACTCATGTCTGAAATCCTAGTGCTTTGGGAGGCCAGTGTGGGAGGATCACTTGAAGCTGGGAGTTTGAGATCAGCCTTGGCAACAAAGCAAGACCCTATCTCTACAAAAAATAATTTTAAATTATTTTAAATTAGCTGAGTGTTGTGGCTTGTACCTATCATCCTAGCTACTTGGGAGGCTGAGGAAAGAGGATCACTTGAACCCAGGAGTTGGAGGCTGCAGTGAGCTAGCATCCTGCCACTGTGCTCACTCCAGCCTGGGTAACAAAGCGAGACCATGTCTCTAAATTAATAATAATAATAAAACAAATAAAGCCTAAAAAAGCTTGTGCCCTCCATCCATTACCACCACGGCTTCCCCAGTCACCTCAGAAGAAAACCTGAAGTCCTTCACAGCCTGCTGCTGGTCCTTCATGTTTCGGCCCTGTCTCCTCCTGACTTCTCTCTCCTACCGCTCCCCACTCTCCCACTACATTCCAGGCACATAAGCCTCCTGATTGTTTCTTGAGCCAAGTGTGGGCATTATACCCGGGGAAACAGACAATAAATATATAATCAGATAAAGAACATAAGATTAGTTAGTGCAAGAAGAAAAACAGAGCATGTGCCTGCCCCAGGGCCCTCACACTCATGGCTCCTGTGGCTTGGCCCTGTTTCTCCTACAGTTACAGCTCACTTTCTCACTTTCTTCAGGTTCCCATTAAGTGTGCCCACTTCAGAAAGCTCTTTCCTAACAGCCCTATCTAAAACAACATCGCCACCCACTCCTTGCCCTTTCTTTGCTTTTCGCTTATGCAAGGCACTTATCAAAACTTGATATGATGTTGTTTATTTCATTATGAATTTACTGTTTATCTGCCTTTGTTATTGTCTCTAGTGTCTAGAACAGTGGATGGGACATATTTCACATGAAATACATGAATGAATGAATGAATGAATGAATGACTTATTCTTTATATATTAATTTGACACATATCGTACCTGACTAGGTATTGTTGGTTACCTTTCCATGTACTGGATATTTATCCTCCATCACACCTAGCTATGGTAAATTACTTTTGATTTAGGCCAGGCATGTTGGCTCACTGTCTGTAATCCCAGCACTTTGGGAGGCTGAGGCGGGCAGATCACTTGAGGTCAGGAGTTCGAGACATGCCTGGCCAATGTGGCGAAACCCCATCTCTAATAAAAATACAAAAATTAGCTGGGCATGGTGGCACATGCCTGTAATCCCAGCTACTCAGAAGGCTGAGGCATGAGACTTGCTTGATCCCAGGAGGCAGAGGTTGCAGTGAGCCGAGGTCACACCACTGCACTCCAGCCTGGATGACAGAGTGACACTCCATCACAAAAAAAAAAAAAAAAAATTACTTTTGATTTAACAATTTTGCCTGAGAATAGTTTCAGGCATCATATACACAAGTTCTCCCTTTGGAGAGTACACGCGAGAGAATCTGCATTGAAGCCCCAGCTCTACCATTTACTGTTTGTAGAACCTTGGCTAAGCTGCTTAACCTCTTGGAACCTTTGTTACTTCACTCATAACCTCATTACCTACTCTACTTTGCAAGGCTATTGCATTAGAATGAAGTTTGTAAACTACAAAGTACTGTTTAAAAAAAAAAGTCTATTATTTTATCTCTGAGAAAGACTTGGAATAAATAAGTAACTCAAGTACCATTAGAAGTATTAATTAAACTAGCAGTAGAACTAGTTATGAAAATGCAATTCTTTCTCGACTTACTCTCTAAAGCAGCACAGTCCAATAATACATTGCATGTGGCTAAAGAGCCCTAGTGTGACCAGCGAACTGCATTTTAAATTTAATTTTGTTAGTTTTATTTAGAGCTGTGCTGCCACATGTGGACAGAGGCTATCTCATTGGACAGCACAACTCTAGATCATCATTTCTTCAAATATGTTTTGCAGAAAACTCCTTGACCCTGACTATGAAGGGATTAGGTTTTGCAAGCATCAAGAAGTCTAGTGATGGAAATATTATAGTTTAATGAAAAAAGTGTGGAATGGAATGAAGACAGGAAGAGGAGAACAGAGGGTGGTGTCCTTGTCCTGTGACAATGCTGATTTTGGAATGGCAAATGAAATCTGCCTCTTTGGAATTCTATCATCCCCTCTTACTGCTCTGTGGCCTTAAAAATGATATTTAAGATCTCTGAGCCTCAGTCTCCTAACTGTAAATTAGGAATCATAAGGCCTACCTCATAGGATTACTGTGAGGATTAAATGAGACTGACTAATGACACAAAGTGACTAACGCAGTGCCCAACACAAAGCAAGCTCTCAGTCCTCTAATTCTCCCCTCCCCACACACTTTTGCTACTCTGGGAACACAGGGAGGTCAGGAACGGCATGGTGAACTTGTGTTTCTTGCCCCAGACCACTTGTTCTGGGGCTGCCTAGCTGTGAGTGGGGCATCCCTCCAGCTGCATGCAGCCTCGAAGTGGCCTGGGCTGGCACACACCCAGTCTCCCTCCCTCCATCCAGGCCTCTTGAATGCCCTGACCTCACCCAGCACTTTGCTCTGAAGATCTCTGAGGGCTTCAAAGGCTCCTCTTTGGATTCAATACAAACGATGTTCCTTCTGGGTATGTACACAGGTTGGGGGAAGGCTAGTGGGTGGGGCCCAACCACCTCCTCCTAATGAAGCCACTGCTCCCTCTTCTCGGCTCTTAGGGAGAGTTCCTTGCACTGCCATTTCCTTTGCTGTTGGTAGAAAAAAATGTAAAGTCTAGTTCATGCCCACACATGTTTCCAGGCGAAAGCTTCCTTTGGTGTCACCTGGGCAGTCCCACTCCAGTTAAAAAGCAGATGGTGGTGAATTCTCTTCTCAGATGTGGCAAATGAAAATCTTAAGCAAACTGCTTAAAACTCTTAACCTCCCTCCCAGGATTACCCAAGATAGTCTCATTTTTAATTACTCTGTATCTAAACCTTCAAAAATGCCCCAAAGATCCAATACATCAATGTCCAAGTCTGATCTCTTAGACTGTCTCTTTTCCGTGGAAGCAGCACCAATCCGGTCAGGCAGTGGATTCTCAGTGTTCCAAAACTTGATCACCATGTGTGACCATTTAACATCATGGCTGCCAATCTTTGACACTCCCACCTTGAGAGATGGGGTCCCCTCTCCTTGAATGTGAGGAGGCTTGTGACTGCTTCGATCCATGGAGTATGGTGAAAGTGACAGACACCACATGACCTCTGAGGCTATGTCATAAAAGGTCACACAGCTCCAGCCAAGTTGGCTGGGACATTTGTTCTCAGAGCCCAAGTTACCATGGAAGAAATCTAACTACCCTGAGACGGCTATCCTGGAGAGGCCACGGAGAGTGTCTTAGCTAAGATTGTCCTTTGACCAGCCCAGTCAGGCACCCAGCATGTGAGTGAAGAAGCCTCAGAAGATTCTAGCCCCCAGCCTTTCAGGTCACCCCCTGCCTTTCAAGGTGGCCAGCTGAGACCACAGATATTTAGGGTGGAGATGAGCCATTCCTAGTGTGCCTGCTCCAATTCCTGATCCACAGAGTCTGTGAGCATAATAAAATGTTGTTCTCTGACACCACTGAGTTTTGGGGTGATTTGTTGTGCAGCAAAACATAACAGGGCCCTGGTATAATGTCTCATAGAACCCAGGCCTCCTGACTCTCATCTCATCTGGACAACTAATTTCCATCAACCGAAATGCCCTGACTCCTTGTCAATGGACCACAAAGTTCCCAGTGCTACTTGTTGATAAGAGGGAGACCAATTTGGACTTGCGTAAAACTTGTCTGGTATAGAAGTGGCAGGCAAGGGTGGAGTGGGGCACAGCCTGGAAGGAGACATATTCTTTTTGAAAAAATAATTCTGGCTTGGTGCAGTGGCTCATGCCTGCAATCCCAGAACTTGCCAAGGTGGGATGATTGCTTGAGGCTAGGAGTTAGAGACCAGCCTGGGCAACACAGTGAGACCCCATCTCTGCAAAAATGTTTAGCCAGGTGTGATGGCATGCACTTGTAGTCCTAGCTACTCAGGAGGCTGAGGTAGGAGGATTGCTTGAACCTAGGAGGTCAAGGCTGCAGTGAGCCATGATCCTGCCACTGCACTCCACCTTGAACAACAGAGCAAGACCCCGTCCCTTAAATAATAAGAATTCTGAACTCTGATCTTTAAAATAATTTTTTTAACTAAAATAGAAAAAAATACAAAGAGGAGTAAGGGCTTACTAATGTGATTTAAGTGGATGGCAATGGCTTTATTCAAAGATTTTCATGTTAAAACTTGTTGGTGTTTTAATTGGTTTTATTTGGTTGTCTGTTTTTTAACGTTTTGCTTTGTTTTTTGAAGCTAGGATTTTCTCTTTGGGTCACCGCGTGTTCTTTGGGGTCATATAAAGTACTCTGCTCAAGAACAAAGGCCAGTGTGGCTATGATGAAAATGCATTGACAGAGGGGCTTCAATGTCTATGGAACAGAAACAAGAGCCCTGGACCAAGAGGAGGAAATGTGGATTCACCAACATGTTGAAAATCATTCTAACATCTCCAGGCCTCAGCGTGGTCATTCACAAATGGAATTCAACAATTTCTAAGGCAACTTTTCTAACATTTTGGAGATAAAAAATTTAATGTTTAGTAAGTGCTTATCCTGTGGCAAGCACCATGCAAGATCCTTTAAATTTTTAATTCTTTAAAAAAAATCCTGAGCAGCACAACTGTGCATTTCTCATATCACCAATGTGTGTATTAGAAAACGGAGGCCCAGTGAGATAGAGTCCCATGGTTGAGAAGTAGAGGGGCAGAATTCTAGAATCAACATTGCCATCCCCAAGAAACGCTGGCTCCCCTCTGCCTCCGCAGCATTTCCCACACCTCATGCCCAGAGGCTTTCACAGTCTGGTTCTTCAGTCTCTAATCCTTCATAGTTAGAAGGGAGGGTCGTAACTGCATTCCTTTGTACTGTCATCAGCTACTTAAAGTGGCAAGAAACAATAGCCTCTTTCTCTGGAGAGTCCCAGCTCTGCTTTCCTGGAAGGGTTGCTCTTTGGACCCTGCTGGATCTCTGAGTGATGGCCAGGGCAGCCCCCAGGTGCACTGGGAAGTTCAGAGGACTCCTGCCACCTAGCACTTCCCTGCAGATCTTGAAACGTAAAGTGATGTGAGTCCCTATTTCCCCCTTACCAAGGCTCCCTCAACTGCCGGTTATTTGACATATACTCAGTCTATTACAGGACTCAAGAAAGCATATAATGACTCCATTCACAAAACACTAAGGACTCATCTTTTCCTGCCAAACACTCACTTTCCTTATCACCATGATGCTTCCTATCCTTGTGTCTTGACGAAGAGGTGTCTGCCTGTGCAGGGATGCCTCATGCCCAAAATCTCTTCTCCTTGTACACCTGTTACTGATGCTGGAACCCTGAAATAATCACCAGATGTTCACTAAGTCCCACTGCAATCAGCGCTGAGAGGGATCATTGAGAACCATGATATCTAAGAGGAATCATTGCAAAGTGATTAAGATCATGGGCTTCCAAGTCAGTCACGATGGGTTTCAACTATTAATACATGTAATAGTTTAAAGACAGCTCTAAATTTGTTGCCTCTCCGCTTATTCCTCTCTCCTTGATTCTGGGCAGGTCCCTGTAACTAGCTTTGACAAAGAGAACACAGTGGAAGTGATCCTGCCCACCCCTTTTCCAAGGTAGACCTTAAAAGACCTGTAGCTTCCACTATTGTGCCTCCTAGAAGCCTGTACCATGTAAGAATTCTAACTACCATGGGAACATCATGCTGTGAGGAAGCCCAAGCTAGCCATTTGGGAGAGAGGAAGGCCACGTAGAGAAGCACCAAGAAACTAGACATGTTTGTGAAGCCTACTTGAACTTTCCAGCCCAACTCCAGCTGAATGCATCCAAGTGAATGGCCCCAGCTGATCCCCTGTGGAGCAGAACCACCCTGCTGACTCCTGACTGAATCCCTGATCCACAGAATTGTGAGCAATAATATGACTGTTGTTCTAAATCACAAAGTTGAGGCATAATTTGTTAATCAGCAATAGATAACTGAAACAGAGTATAAGAGGATTGGAGGACCAAACTCACAGTGCAGGCTACATATACTATCACTGAGCAATTGGGTCAGAATGGCAAGGAGATCTTCATGGAGGAGGTGGGAAATGTTTTGCAGGAAGGGATGGAGTTGGATGAGTGAAAGGACAAGGTATGCAGGAGAAAATTCTACAAGAGCTAACCACTCCATAGGCCTCTGGGGACATGCCCTGAACACTGACAGGACTTCACAATTATTTCTATCACAGCCACCTAACTGCCTCAATACCGGGGAGTCTGCCTGGGTTTGGCCCAAAGTAGATTTCACCAAAGTCCTGCTTTATCTTCACAACTCCTATGAATTTTATATTGCATTTCATAATTTAGTCATCTACATTTTAATTTTAAAAATGGTTGAAATTACTTACCAATTACATTGTTTAACTTCTCCCCACCCATCCCAATCTCTTCAGTAAAACAGATGCCCCATGAAGAAGGGTCACCATGAGACCTGGGCACTGTGTGCCCCAGAACATGTGACCTCAAGGGGGTCAGAGACTTGGGTTTTTCCTTTCAGGATCTATGCACAGATCTTTTTTAGTGCCATAACTGGCCTCTGGGTTCCCCACTCCTGTCTCAGTCCCAACTTTAAGCTACCCTTAGATTCACAAGGAACCTGACTCAGGAGAGACCACCTCCTGACCCTGCCCAGAGGCAGCTTAAAAACAACCTAGTTCTTCAGTCTCTGGACCATGCTCCTGGCCTCCTCCCACAGAGCATTTGGAAAGCAACCCAAGGCAATGTTCAGTCTTCCCTGAACATACTCGAATACCCCTCAAACCTCTTTTTTTCTTAAACAGGCAACTCACATATGCATCTATAACCTGTATAGATACGTTGACACTTGGAAGCAAAATAGAGGAAAGCTTTCATTATCATTTGCCATTTGAAAATGATTATATGGGGGGATGATGGGTATTGAAGGAGACAGCTTACAGGTAGCATCCCGGGGAGACCTCTCTCTCAAGACCTGGGTGAGACTACACTACACTACCTCCCGGCTTCCAGAATGGGGACTGCTTGGTGCCAGACCTGGATGCCTACCAACACAAATTAAAGGAATAAGACACCTCCTAGATGGGAAGGCAGGACACTCAAGAGTGAGAATGGTGAGAACTTTAAAGGGATCATCACCTCTGCAGGAGACCAAAAATCTGCCCCAGAAAGAGCAGCTACCCCAACAGATGTTTCCCTCACATTCAGAAAGTCTTTGATTCTGTGTTACCATGAGACTCCAGACTCTGTCTCTCCCACATCCCACCCCGATCCCAGCCCAGGACCTCTGCTGCTCCCCATGAGAAATACTCCCTCTCTCCTCTCAGTCCCATCCAGAAATACAGCCATGCCTTATTTAAAGTTGTGAATCCCTAACTGGACACTCTGTGGAAACCAAGCTGATCAGGTCAACTTATATTAAAAAATGGATGTGGAGGTGAGACTAGGAAGCAACTGCTTAATGGGCACGAGGTTTTCTTTTAGGGTGATAAAAATGTTTTGGAACTAGACAGAGGTGGTGGTTGAACAACATTGAGAGTGTACTAAATGCCACTGAATCATTCACTTAAAAATGATTAATTTTATGTTATGTGAATTTCAACTCAATTTTTTTTAAATCTCCCGATAAAGAGTCAATCCTTCTAGAATCCTATAAACCAACACACATTTAACTCTGGAGCTTCGTCTCCTCATCTGTTAATGGGAGGTTGTGGGAGAAGAAAGAGTTCTGACCCCTATGATTGTTCTAATTCCTATAGCAGGACAAGGACTCCAGATGATCCCAGGACAGGACAGAGAGAAAATAAGATCAGCAAGCTGCCAGTAGGCTAAAATTAACTGACCCTCCACAATCTGGATTTGGCAAGTGACTGAACTTCTCTTATGTTCCTCCTCTGTGAGCTCAAACATATCATATGAAACTCTTGAGAGCAGCCCATAAAAATGATTCTAAGACTCAGGCCAAATCTGGAGAGCTATATATTTGAATCCTATAACTTCATTTCTCTCTCAAACATGAGTTCACAGTCTGCAATAAGTCCCAACATTAGGCGACGCAGGATTTTTCTTAATACATGATTATAATCTTCAAAAGCCCTTGCCGATACAAAATAAAGAGAAAAGAAGATTCCGGGAGCAGGCACCCTACAAATTTTAAAAGAAAATGAAAGGGGTCCCATCTGGTACTTTAACAAGTTGATTTGATACTTAGAAAATGATCCTTTTGGCCAAAGAATATTTTTACTTCGTGTGTCTATATAAATACACTTTTTTTTTTATAGAAAGTACATCACTAGTCTCTAAAACCAAACGTGGTTTTGATTGAACCAGACTTACATTTATTTCTGAAGCTCGTTTGCTAACAATAGAACTGGCTTTCCCATTTGCCAAGATCAATGTTGACCTGTTTTCACCTAAATTTTATAGATGTCAGAAAAAGAAACTGTTCACTATTCAGTGGCATACCCTGGCCTTTCTCAGCCACACTTGCTTGCATTTTTGCAGCTCCTTTAAATTCCCCTTGTCACAAAAACTAACAATAAGGTCAAGTATTTCAGTAAGAAATATTGAATTATTATCCAACGTTGTCAAGCAGCCAAGAAGCTACGAAAGCTAACCACGAACTGTAGAAGAGAGCAGCTTGACCTCAGGCCTCCCAGACCTGCCTCCATTGCACGGGGAAGGATTTTTGGCAGTGGGGGGCACCAGAAGGGTTGGGGAGGAAGGGGGGAGGGTGGATGAGTAGAATGAGAACTGGACGGCTCACAATCACGTCCAGGCTCTCGTCCCTCAGGAGTGTCTTGTTGCACTCATTTGCTGCTGCAAAGAGCCAGCTTTGATTTTTCTTGGAGAGGGCTCCAGGCACCCTAACATCTCAGCTATGCCAACACCATGAAGCTGCCGAGCTCTCCTGATTTCCTGGCCATATCCCTGTCCATCAAGGCTAATTTCTGTGACAACATAAACTTCACTGTGTAGCCAATAAACTCAAACCCGATGGAACTTGATGTGGCCAGGAAGGAGAATGACAAACGGGCAAGATGTCAGGGCTGGAAATATAACTCATTTCGCCAGCCAGTGGTTTGGGAGGGGTATAGATGAATTAACATGTGTGTGCATGAGTGTGTTTTATTTGTTCTAATAACTCTAATAAAGATTCCATGAATCAATAAAATAACTCTCACAGAGACAGAAATCAATGCAAGCTCCCAAAATGGGCCTCTGATAGAATCAGAACTCTCTCTCATTTTCACCCTAACCCACAGTGGCTATGGGCTCAGATCCTCTCTTACTTCAAGGGATCTGGGCTGGATGCTTGGGCGCGAGAGAGAAGAATGGCTCTCAACTGGGCGGGGAAGAGTAGCCCGCAAGGAGGCAGCGGCTCCAGGATGGGAAGTGAGGATGCCAAAAAAGCATCCCTAGGAAGGTTCCTGCCTTTCCACGAGGCTATGGGGCTTTGAAGGTAAGGTTTTCATAGTTCCAGAAAACTTCCCTGGAAATGCAAATTCACCCCTCCAGGATGAGAGTCAGGACAGGTTCATTTTATGAAAGGGGAGGTCCACGGGAAAGGGTTAGCTGATGTGGGCTTAGAGAGAGGGGAGTCCATGTGAAGTCCTCTAGGGGCATGGTGAGCCTCCAAAGGAGAGCTGTGGAGGTGTGGGTAGAGAAGACACCAAGATCCTGCTTTAAAATGTTCCATAGGATCAGTCACAAGCATAGCTCTTGTCAAGCTCTTTGAATGTGTGACCATGCAGAGTGGTCTTACCCCAACCATTTATGCTTGACAACCTTTCCTATTGAAGGCTGAAGGGTCCTTTGTGCCAAAATTATCCCTCACTGCTCTATCAAGACTCTAGTTCACTTGGTAGTAGGTACAGGGTGAGCAATCAGATAAAATACATCCCTGTTCTGTACTGAAAATTTGACATTTTATGCTGTCCTCTCAACATTTTTATATCTATGCTCTCTTTTGTTAAACATTAAAATCTCACATTTTTTCATGTTATCTGTTTTAACAACATAGGTGCTTCTCTAGGTTTTTAATTATTAAATTCTACTATTGACTATGGTTTTCCCAAGTATGACTCCTATCCCACAGAAATTCTGATACTGCCCACCCTACCCCACCACTCCACCCCCTTGCTCATCCTATCCGTGGACGTGTAGTCTGGCATGCTAAAGAATGCTGCAGAGCCTGGGGTGATTCTCTCTTTCTTTCTTCTTTCTTTCTTTTTCTTTCTTTCTTCCTTCCTTCCTTCCTTCTTTCTTTCTCTTTCTTTTCTTTCTTTCTTTCTTTCTTTCTTTCTTTCTTTCTTTCTTTCTTTCTTTCTTTCTCTTTCTTTCTCTCTTTCTCTTTCTTTCTGAAGAGCTACACATGGGAGCTCCATGCTGGCAGTACGTGTCCACTCCCAGGTGCTGCACTGCAGGAACTGACACTAGCTCAGCTTCAGACCCTGAGTGGCAAGGAATTACTCAGGCTTCCAGATCCAGCCCAGATGTCATCTTCCTGCCTTTCCCAGGACTTGCTGCCTCCTTGGGGCCCCCTCTGCCCTTGGTTCATATGGCACCTGCTGCACTGTACAAGTTTATATTTCTTTTTTCTTTTCTTTTTTTTTTTTTTTTTTTTTTGAGAAGGAGTCTCACTCTGTCACCCAGGCTGGAGTGCAGTGGCACAATTTGGCTCACTGCAACCTCTGCCTTCCACATTCAAGTGATTCTCCTGCCTCAGCCTCCTGAGTAGCTGGGACTACAGGCGTGCACCACCACATCTGGCTAATTTTTGTATTTTTAGTAGAGACAGGGTTTCACCACGTTGGCCAGGCTGGCCTCGAACTCCTGACCTCAGGTGATCCACCCGCCTCAGCTTCCCAAAGTGCTGGGATTACAGGCGTGAGCCACCGCACCTGGCTGTGAAGTTTATACTTCTGTCTCTCTGAGCAGATGGTGAGCTTCATGAGGGTGGAGATATATCTCATTCATTTTCATTTCCATCATTTCTAGTAAGTGTTTAATCAATATTTTTGAATGAATACAAATGTAACCCCTCCCTTAAGATCAGACTAGAGTTGGGGACTGAAGCAAAGCAATGACAATTATTTTCTCAAGCAAGGGATGGGGTGAAGCCACAAATTCCTCCTCCTCTTAGCTTTCCACCTTCCTCTGCCCTGTAAATGACTTGACACTTATGTCTGAGAATCACTTGGCACAATAATGGCTGTGTCTATCATTAAACAGGGGTCAGATGAACTATGTTATAAGTCTTATAACACTATACTTAATACCTGTGTGCTCTATCATCACCCCATCAGAATGGTTTTCCCCTTCTACTTTTTAAATTGAAGGGTGATATGGTTTGGCTGTGTCTCCACCCAAATCTCATTTTGAATTCCCACGTGTTGTGGGAGGGATCCGGTGGAAGGTAATTGAATCATAGGGGAAAATCTTTCCCATGCTGTTCTCATGATAGTGAATAAGTCTCATGAGATCTGATGGTTTTAAAAAGAGGAGTTCCCCTGCACAAGCTCTCTCTTTGCCTGCCACCAACCATGTAAGATATGATTTGCTCCTCCTTGCCTTCCACCATGATTGTGAGGCCTCCCCAGCCACGTGGAACTGTGAGTCCAATTAGACCTCTTTCTTTTGTAGATTGCCCAGTCTTGGGTATGTCTTTGTCAGCAGTGTGAAAATGGACTAATACAAAGGGATATTGGTTATAGGTAACTTAGATAGCAAGCAGATAAAAGGTACAATTGAGATGACAAGCCCTTTTTCAAGAATAGCTGTTATGCTTTGATTTGTTTAGGTGGCTAGGACATCATGTTAATGAAGTCAAGACTATGGCCCCATCTCTAGAGGCCAAAGCTTGAAACAGCAAATAGAAAGACCTTTCCAAGCCACTACCCTTAGCATTGATGGCAAGGGTCTGGGTGAGAAAATCCCTCTTGTCCACTAAACGGAAATCAACTTGAAGCATGTTGCCAACAGATATATCAGCTTTCTCCAGGAAGAAATGGCACTGATGCTCCTAGACTGGATTTCTCATCCTCTAAGTCAGGCCTGGTATGCTAACTTCATCTATGTTTTAAATAAAGTAACATATAACAGGTCTTTAATTAATAAGGTTAGCTGGAGCATGGTATGGGATCAGCATGTTGGAAATTAATTTATATAAGAAAGTTTTAATAAATCAGTTTGCCTAAATTTATAACAAATGAAAATAGGTTCATGAAAACTAGGACATTAAAAAAGTAGTTAATGAAAATATAATGCAGAAGGTGCTACTATTATGAAGGAAGGAAATATCTCTTACGGTGAGTGAGTATAGAAACTGCTTGAAATAGATGTCCTGACCCTTGACTTCCAATCATCTGTCTATGGGGTGATCCTTCAAAAGTGATTTGACCTCTCTGGGATTCCATTTCCCCATCCTCTACAAAATGACCATTTTGCCAGTTCTGCAGTAAACAATGGACCCCATTCTCTTTCTTAATGTTAGACAGACTCTAGTCTTTTAAAACTCCCCATAATTTCTCCATTCCAAAAGCCATTCCAAATCTATAGGTAAGAGCTCCATGGTCCTTCAGCAGACCATCTGGCTGGCAATATATTATTGTCCCAAGTTAAAGAGAAGGTCAAGAGAGGTTAAGTGGCTTGTTCAAGGTCATGCATCTAGTTAGTAGGGGTTAAGGATCTGGAACCCAGAACTTTTTGCCACTTTCTGATGTCCCCCTTTCAATACACTGCTCAACCCCTTCAGGGAGAGTTGGCTTCATGGCTGCTACAACAGGGTGGAGAAAATGGAAGAGTAGATTTTCCCTCTTTGACTGTATGAAAATCACCCACTTTTAGAATACCAAACCACCCATATATGTGGTGGGAATGAAAGTCTTGTGTGACTAAATATAGATGCCAAGTACCTTACAAATATTTGAGTGTTTGCTTTAGGAAATGAGAAATGGAAAATGAAACTGGCTATAAACAGAAATCAAAACTGTCTAAATTCTCTCTATAAACTAATTACTACTTTTAATATCTGTTTTTTGCAATCTCAAGAATTCATGAATTTGCTTAAAATAAAGAATGGCATGACAAAAACCTCTTTTACTGAAATGGATTAAGTTGAACAGACATGCTTTCCAATACGCTTCTTAATGACGGCAAGCCTTCCAACATATTGGTCTGCCTATAGTAGCTGTTCAATAAATATTTTCAAAGAGAAGAAAGAAAAGAAGGGAGAGAGTGTGAGAGGGAGAGAGATAATTTCTATTATCTGGACTTTCAGTAAAATATAATATTTTTTTCCATATAGATTTAAGAAAATAGTCTGCAAGATACTTTAAGATACTTGGAGAGAAGCCTACCTATTCATTCAAAGTGATTTAAATCATTTAGGGCAAGAAACGGTCGTGCCCCATCCCTGGGCTCCTCCAGGCTTCTGCACACCAACACAAAGCCTTGCCCAGATCAGGGGTTCCACTTCAGATGTGAGGGAACTGGGTAGTGCCCCTTTGTCAGATTGCAAGGAGGACCCCAGAGCCATTCATAGAAAGGTAAGGGTTGAAGTTGACAGGAATTTCTTGGCTCGGGTCTCTTTCTAGTTAGATGAAGCCAATGCTGCCAAATTAAGTGCAATAATAACATTTTCAGTGACATTGTTCACACAAAACACAACATACCTACATGGAAAACCTTGGAAGAGACTACAGATTGAGGATTGGGATGGGGGTAAGGTCAACATTCTTGTTCTGAAGGTGTTGATGTATTCCATTCATGGTTTACGTGATACGATATCTCCGGGTTCCCTAGGGAAGAAGCCCATAGCAAGCCAATTGCCAAACTTAACCTTAATGAAATGGACTAATGGCTGTTGTAACAGCCTGAACCTTAATGTTCAGTAGAAAAATAGTTTATAAAATATATAGGAAAAAAACCTCTGTCAAAGAGCAACATTTTTAAAAATGTTAAAATAGCATTTTTTAAAAATCTTCCACTTCTGGCTTCAGCTCTATTGTGATTCCAACTAATTGAACATTTTATTTATGCTTTTAAAAACAATCTTAATTATTATCAACAATAATAAAACGTACCATCTAGTTTACATCTATTATGTGCCACACACTCTGCTGGGCATTTTTAGATCTCATTAATTCATTTACTTCTCATAACCTCCATTATACAGATGATACAGAGATTGTGCCCAAAGTTTGAGCTTAGGAACATAGTCTCTGGTATCAAGCAGATCTAGACTTGAGTCTTAATAGCTGTATAACCTTGGACAAGTCTGAACCTCAGTTTTCCTATCAGTAAAATGGGGATAAACACAGTACTAACTTCTTCATAAGTTGCTGGGAAGATTAAGATAAGGCACGTGAAACATTAAGAAAAGTGCCAGGTACATATGTGATCATGCTACTGGTACCAAATCTGAATTTTCCTCAAAAAGACATTAAAACAATGGGCTTCAGTGCCATCCTAAGTAGGGAAGGAGGAAAATCATCTTTGGCTCCCATTCCTTTCCCCCCAGGATGTTCATACTAGTGAGATCAAGGCCAAGTGAACTTCAAGGACAGCTAGGGAGGAAAAAATAGAAAGGATAATGTGCACTTTCTGCATTTCAGGGGAGGATGTGGCAATTGGAGAGAGAAAGTATGAGGGTTTAGGAGGATGATATGAACAGGAAAGGTAATGAAAGGGGTCTTTGGGGAACTTATTTTTGGGGCGAGCTTCTCAACCTCCTCCTAACATCCCCTTCTTCTCTCGCTCACTTTCCTGCAGGCCTTGGAAGCAAAGCCCCCAGGAATGACTGGAAGACAACACTCTGCAGACCCCTTCCACAGGGTACCCCTGCTCTCCAGGAAGGGCCTTCAGGGCAGCATTTGGAGGTGGCATGAGCTAGCAGCGGCGTGCAGCCTGGTCACTGTCTGATCTGGTCAGCCCAGCCGCACAGAACACCACACAGGCTCTGGCAGCTCCCTGGGAAAGAAGAAAGCAGCATCTTGCATGTGTGGCTTATTCTGAAAGGAATAGTATCTGAGGGATTTGATGGACTCTGACAGGGGGAAGAAGGTAGTGAAAAAGATGGAACAAAGATGCCATTTAAAAATACTGGCTCGTGTTCAGGATTTCGCTATTTTTTACTGCAAGGAACAAGTAAAAAAAAAAATCCTCCTATTGATGAGTATTTTTCTACAGTCATTAAAAGTCAAAGGACTCAGGGCTTCCGACTTTCCCTCTTGGGAAACCTGTAAGCTCGTCTTCTGGACAGCTTAGAAAAGGGCTGGATGGCGAAGGCGAGAGGCTTAAAGGCCCCCAGCAAGCAGCTCCGCCGAGGAACGGGTGCAGGGGACACACTGTGTTTTCAGTTCAGATTCTGTGATCTTTCTGCCAAACAGGGGTTTACAAAGCAAAAACCTCCAGAGAATTCTCATACTTTCTGGCTTATTCTCCTGGTGTTCGTCTTAACAGGAATCAGCTGTTTGCCTTCTCACTTATACAGCATGTTGCTGAGGCGAATTTAGCATCTGGCCTGGCTATTATTAAAAACAAGAACATCCTGCTCTGTTGGGAGAACAGCACCACTGGCAATAAAAGGACAGAGATCATTTGCATTCAGGATTCCAGAGATGTGTTTCAGTTCAATATCTGCGCTCCCTCCTTCCACCCCTGCTTTCATTTTAAGATTTCCTGATGCATCCATCACTTGCAGCGTGGTCAACTTTTTTTCTGAAACAGGCACACACAGGCAGAGCATATTTTTTCCTTTCACTGGGAGGCAGGAATGACTGGAGTTGTTCAAACACCGGTCCGTTCCTGCAATTCCTATGATAAAGTTGAACTACCAGAGGAATTTTTTTTTTTTTTTTTACAACTGCGGAAATGAAAAAGTAAACAAGACTGGGACTGCATTGGTATTTAGGCTCCAGCTTTTTGTTGTTGTTTTTGTCTTTCCCTTTTTTTAAGCCATTGGGCTAGGAGCCTGAAGGGACCATATAATATGAAAAACGCTGAGAGGTTTTATTAGCCAATAAAAAAAAAAACTGAGTTCCTATTAACCACTTAACTCCTTGCTGAAGTTCAAACTTGCTTTCTCCTTGGATCCTTCTCTCCCTCTCATGCCCACGAGGAATGACGGTTGGTTCACCAATCTTTCCCTGCACAACCTGAGCTCACAGTTTGTGCTCCAGAAGGTGTGGTTGAGAATCGTATTCAATAATAATCTCTGTATTTCTCATCTGTGAAGCCATAAATAAGATTTCTGTAAGGAGCCAAATGTTCTACGCCCCCAAATCTACACACACAAAGACTCTTTAAGCACTCTACTAAAAAAGAGTAAAGTCATTGTGATTTCTAGGATTTTAAATACTAAATGATGGTTAGGGAGAACAAAATCAGGCTGAAGCATTTCTGGGATAAATAATGATCCCACAAAACGCTCCTCTCATTTGGGGGCAGAAGAATGAAGGGAAACTCACAGAGAAACAGAAAATGAAATTGGTCCAACTATTTCACTGCTGGAGATAGATGGAGTTAGGATACATAGGTGACTTGGTTTAGGAAAGAGAGGATGTCGAAGGTGATTTAAATCCTAACACTGTTTTATTAATCGTGCCACAATTCTACATGTCATGTGATTTTGTTATCTGCTTTTTGCTGCTTTTAAATAAATTTGTACTTTTCTATCAATCCATCATCCAATTGTGTTTCGGGTGTTCTTGGCATTCCCATCTCTCAAAAACACCCTTAGTTTCTGCCATTATATACTGTATCTCTAATTCCACGAAGCTCACTCTATCCTATTTCCATTTTCCACATTCGGGTTAACTCTAGTACTTTTGGTCCTCCCAGAGAAATTTCCTAAGGCCACATGAGCCTGTGCGCTTTTGTGTTCTGGTCCCATTTAATGTTACTGCTCCAAGAGCTACTCCCTGAAGGGCTTATGTGGAAGAATTTTGCCTTTTTGTTAAAAGTATTTTGCTCTATGTCCTTGATTTCTTTATAAGAATAGCAGGTGGGGGAAATTCTTCCCTTTTTATTGGCTACAGAGTGGGACAGAATGACCTGGAAAGAATAGATAGCAATCAAGAAGTGAGCTATGTTTGCAGTGCTAAAACAGGAAGCAAGTTTTGCAGAAAACCCCACTAAGTGGCCTGACATCAATGCAACAAGATAATAAGAAACGAATTAAAAGACATTTTGGTAAATGTTAAATGTGTTTCCAGAAATTTGATCCCTCTGCTTCCCAAATGGCTGAGCATATCTGAATAGCAGGGCTGGATTGAGTCACAAACTTTTGAATAATAGCTTTACAAAAATTACTAAAAACTCCTTAAATGTTAGCTTCTCCCTGCTCCCTTAATTGACATATCAAGGAGCATCCAGTGTCCCTTGTCCCAGTAACCTATTTGAAGACAAGTAATTGTTTCTTTATCACTTGTGGGATAAAGGCAGTACTTTTTTTTTTTTTTGAAGAATTTGCAGAAATAAAAAACTGAGGCCAAGAAACACTGTGTCTCCTGAGTACATGTGCAGGGGTGGTGAGCCCCATCTTTCTCTGAGTGGGTGGCTGTTCAGGTACCCTTTCCAAACTTCACCCTCCTCCTTCCCTCCCTTCAGGCACACACATACCTGTGTGTGCATACACATATACACACATACACACATACACCACACCACACACAGACACATACACATGCACCACACATATACACACACATGCACATACATACACATGCACACACACCACACACATATACACACACATACACATGCACACACACACCACACATACACACCACACACACATACACACACCACACACACACATACACATGCACACACACACCACACACATACACACCACACACACACCACACACATATACACACATACACACACCACACATGCACACATACACACATAGACACACACCACACACCCGTATACACATATACACACACATATACATATACGTGCACATACACACCACACACATACACACATGCACCACACACATAAATACACATACACACATGCACCACAGACACATATACACACACATACATACACCCCACACACACACACACATACACCACACACACGCCCACACACACACATCCCTGGTGTATTACCCTTTGCGTCTTCACTGGATCCTTTTCCTTGGTAAGTTTTGATTCATAACTTTTTAAAATTTCCTTTCCAAGGCCTCCTGATTGAGTAGTTACCGCTGAGAAGCCCCTAAGAAGACACAAAGAGGCTTCTCAGGGTCCACAGCAATGGTGGTGAGGAAGGAAAGACTCCCTTGCCTTTGCTCAGAACCCAGAGTTTAAATCAAGAGTATCAGCTCTCCACATACTGGTTCCTACCTGGCCTTTCTTAGCACCTTTTCCGGGCCAGAGGAGAGAGACAATGGAAGAGCCGAGAAGGGTTGGGAGCAATTTGGAGTATACCTGGGGTGCATAGGCCTAGGGTGTAAGCCTGATTCCCAGTACCAATACCTGGACAGCTCAGGTGTTATGAACTCTTGCATGAAGATGTCCTTTCCAGCCTCACAGAAACTGACTAAGGAGTGAATGCATGAGAATTTGCTTGGGATTTTCACAGGTGAGCTGGCCCACACTCACTACAACTGGAGCAGTCAGTTGAGTTGTCCTCCACTTCCCCAGAAGAACTTAGAGATGGTGACACTGTTTCATAAGCATCCTTTTTAGATACCTCCAAATTGTTGCTTCCTAGGACTGATCTCTAAAATAATTTTCGAATAGTTAGGACAGAGAGGCCAACTGATAGCATTTCTTATTGTTAACCTGGTAATCTAGGTACAGGCAAGCCAGTACCTCCATTTCTGCAGTGGCTCTTGGCTAGGTCATTATTGTTTACCAACCATTTCCAGAGAGAATGAAAAATTAACTAATAAAGAGCTGTAGGACCTGCTCTCACTGACTGCCAATGAGGGCTTCCCTGACATCCTCCCTTGCCTTTCATACTGTTTTCAAGTCCCATAAATATAAACATGCGGCTCTTCCACTGCGTCTGTAGATAATAACTTCAGGGGCCTTCCTGTTTACATGGCAATACCCATTTCCCAGCCAAATAAACTCTATGACAGAGACCTGAGGTGTTTATTGGGCCAGTCCCGGCTGGGATTGAGTTAACAGGAAACACCCACTCTTGCAGAAATGCCTGATGATTAAATATTTGGGGGATAGGGGACACCAGGGGTCAAAAACACTGCAGAAATTGCTTTCTTCTTCCGCCTGCCGTTTCAGTGAGAAACAGGCCATGATAAATATGGCCAACCAATCCAGGCTTAACAAAGCCCCACAGCTGGGCTGTTCACTGGCTGCACAGCCCATGTTGCAGAGAGGAGTGAAGAGGTGCAGACGAAAAAGCCAACAGCAGCCCTCATGATACATCCAAATCAAGTGAAGGGATGGAAAAGGTTGAGGTGTAGCCATCACTGGGAAGTCCCTCAGCCTCTGCCTGGCTACTCTGATTTAATAAGCAATGTATTCTCATATCAGTTCTGTCAATAAAGCCTCTAGCTAAGTGGTTCTCAATCGGTGGTGATCTTGCCACCCAGGGACCATTTGGCAACATCTGGAGACATTTTTGATTGTCCTAACTAGGGAGGTGCTACTAACTTTTAGTGGGTAGAGGCTAGGAATGCTGCTAAACATCCTACAATACACAGGAGAGCATCCCTGACACACACACACAAAAAGAATTACCCAGTCTGAAATGTCAATAGTGCCAAGATCTAGCCCAATGCCTTTTCATAAACCAAGAAACTGAGACACAGAGGAATAAAGGGATTTGCCCTAGACCATCCTGATAGAGAAAACTGGAGACAGAAAGCAAGCCACTGTGACCACCTCCCTTGTGAATGCCCTTTAAAGTCACACAGATGTTTGATTTTTTTTTAAATAAATAAATCTACATCCTCAGAGTTGCAGACAAGTTCCCTGGCTTAAGCTCACCCAAGTGCTTTCAGGACATTTCCTATTCTTGGAATTTAACTATTTCCAAGATTTCTTAGAAAATAGTGCCAAAGGGTTAAGAATGAGCAGATCTTCAAGGTCTCTAACTCTCCCTGTGATGTGGGTCAGCTTGGCCACTGGCTGACCTTCTCTGCACCATGTTTTCCTGGGTCCCTATTTTAGAATTGTGGTGAGCCCAAGCATTCAGAAAGCATAGGACACAGAGAAAGCAACCTTTCTACCCCAGGTCTTCAACCTTATCACAAGGGGGGGGACTTACCAAAAATAAACAATGGCCACGGGAAAAAAAAATCTCCAAACTATAGTTATGTTCACTAGGAGAATTCTTCTGAGGCTATAGCCCTCCAGGCCAAGGTCCGTTTTTACTCATCCTTGGGCTTTGGTTGACTTTATTTTTAAGAACCCAAAAGAGATGTGGAAAGGAAAACAGACTAGCCTATATCTGGGCTGCCTGAGATCTTCTGTTGATAGCCAGAGGTTCACTTGCGGGGCCCTGTTCATGTTCTCAGAGATTAGAATCATGAAGCCATCGAGACTGCATCTATACGCCTGATAGGTCCCCCAGTTGGAATAAATGGCCTTACTCAAGGATGAGGTGAGCACTCCTTCCTTCAGACACAAGCTAGTAAGGAAGTGAGTTCACTGCTAGATTCTTTGCCCACCCCTCGCTAGGAACAGGACAAAACAAGAAGACACCGTTTACCAAGATTTTTTTTCTTCTCCCCAGTAATATAGCATCTCTTCTCTTAACTAGCCCTGGCAAGTCCTAAGACCAAACAGTGCCCAGGTGTAAGCAGGAGTAGACATCAGACTAGGGAGAAACCGTGAACAAGAAAAGACCCAAGGTACACACATAACAAAACCAAAAAAGCCATTTTATTGAAAATTAAATTCAAACTTCAAATTAATATTACAATCATGAGAAAAATGCCAAATAATTCAATTTACAGTTGCAACATACAATACAAATAGTCCCTTTGAAGTTAAGAGTAAACTCATCCACAATCATGACCTGTGGCACAAAGCGGAATTTTTACAATATGTGCATGGAAAGCAATTCTTGGGCAATAGCAATTGGAAAAAATAAAAATGAAAGCTTGTATTTACACAAAATGCTACAAATATTTTTGTTCCACAGAAACCTAAGAATGGTAAAGCATATCCAAAAGAAATGGAATTTTATTCAGAATACCTAAGAAATTATTGTAAGTTATGGTTTTGGCTGATATATTTCAAAGTACTGCATTAAAAAGCAAACAGTTATTTGTAAACATGAAGTAAACACACATCTAAAAAATTCTCACATAGAAAATATTTTTAAATGCATTCGTTTTCTAAAAACAACAAATTCAAGGTTTGGAAGAAGTGTCTTTTATTATTGTTCTTTCAAATACCATAGGTATAATTATTACTTTTGCTAATGCTTCGTGTTTCCATGTATTAACCTGGATTCTGGGCCAGTCCCTTTCCTCGGAATTGAGGGAATCCTTAAAGCTGTACACACATCTCCTCCCTTCTGAATTTATCACAGATGGTCCCTAATGGTGTGGACTTCTCTGCTCATTTTGAAAGGGCTCTGGCAAGTGAGAGGCAGTGAGACCGTCTAAAGAGCAAACGATAGTTAATCTGTTGAGTTTCTCAGTTCTGGGCTGAATGTTATTCCACTAATCTAAAACCAAAGCTGTGGTACCTGTTCTGGAACTCTGATATGGGTTAAAATTTGTGAGACAACTGAAATGGATAAAAATGTGGCTGCATTGAAAAGACTGCAAATTCCAGCAATGTTTGTGCTACAAAGAGAACCACGCTATTTTAATTCCCAGGAACTAGTACATGGTTCCACAGTAGTAGTAAGACTTTGCTTTGGTCTTGAAATCACAAATCAAACACATGACCCAGTGCAAATTAAGGGTTCAGTGAAAAAAAAAAAAAAAGAAAGAAAGAAAAACAAAATTTTAATCCCTAGACCAAAAAAGGGCAGAATTTGTTCTAAGAAATGTGAATTACCCCCATTGGGGTGGTTGGAGTGAGGGTGGAGGGAAGAAGTGCTTGAATTTTTCCCAAGGAAAAAAAGCTTCTAAAGTGTTTCTGGGTTGCTGCCTGCAGCCACTATAGTAACATTTCAACACAAAAGCATCCCTAAAGTCACTCGGTATGTGTACTGTAAACTTAAAAAAGCCCTTTTAACATTAAAAAATAATGTACAAATATAGTACCTTTTTAATTAAATAGGATGCAGCTGGCACTGGCGGTAGCATTTTTATGTCAATTAATTAAAATTGAAATGTGTAACCAGACACTGGCTTTTTTAAGTGCTGCTGAAACAAACACACATATTTTACACTTACAAATAAATGGACAGTGGTGTGCTTCAAGCTACCACACACAAACAATAAATAGTATCAATTACTACTTCCTTCTTACTTAAGTAATAGAAAAGTGGCTTATTTATCTAAGCATACTTGGTATACGGCCTTTAGAAGGCAAAGTGTTTTGCTTTCCCATCCATTTTTATTAGAAGGAGTCAGGATGAATTCCAAGGGAGACTCCCAGGCAGGAAGCACAGGTCCAGCTGCCCCACACGCTGTCCTGCAATGCTGGGTGGCCTACAAAGGTGGGTTTGAGAAGGACCAGAGAACAAGGGGGCCGTTAGGGTTTGAAGGCAAATCTCTGCTAAATTCTGCTTGGGTGGGTGGAGGATTCCAATGAAGGGACCCTGACTTTTCGGGGAGGAGAGCAGGGATTGGCCTGGTGGTGTCATTAGATGATCCTTGTTTGGATTAAGGATTTGCACTTGGAAATCTGCCATGTGACTGCCAGGAGTGGTCAAAGTGCATGCCACAGAAGGACTCTAGCTCAAATTCATACACACTAGTAGACACCAAACTCCACAGCCCCTTGCCCTCCTTGGCCCTCCATTGTAAGAAATACAAATGTCAAAGGCTGTCTGTAGGTCCCCGTGGGCCATATGTCCTCTCAGCTCAGCTACCTGCTGGAACCTGCTGCCTTTTCAGAGGACCTACTCCCAAAGGACAGTGATGTCATTCTGCTCCTCTAAATGCAAATTCTGTGGAAAGCTGCCAGTGGGGCCTTGGGTAAGGCAGATTGGGGTTCCCCTGTTGTGTTGTTTGGTAAGGCTGGTTGGTTAAGAATCTCTGGTGCAATTTTGCTCTCCTGTACTAGGTGTCTCATAATTGAACCCTCTATCCACATGTGCGGCTTTTAGCTGACTATGTCTTTGCTATGAAGCCTGGCGATTTAGAGTTTTGCTTAACTATGAAACCACAGAACATTTTTCTGTAGTTCAATGATTTACTTGTGCTTGTCTTTTTAATATGACAAGAGTCATAATTACCCCAAAGAAATTAGAAAACCACATCACTCCAGCATTTCATGCTGATAAAGGGCTAAAGGTTGTTTTTTAAATCCCTAATTACCGCTTTAGAAGGCAAAGCTGTGTTAGAGGCATTCAAAGATCTGAAAGAACTAAACATAACATTTCCTTCATACATCACAAAAACAATCTATATCTAAAATATTTGGAGATGGAAGTATTTTTTAAAATCACATTGTGCCTGGATGAACTGAAATTGCTTAGCAATATTTCAGATATGGCTCTAGACCACTGAAGAAATTTGTTATTTAATAAAGAGCACTTTTAGAGACCGAAGTCAACATATCAATACACTAAGAAATGTTTCAAGGGTCCAAATGTCATTAAATAATTATAAATATATCTTTAAAGTTATATGACCATTCACGTTAGCAAGTTACCTCAGATTTTACACATATTCATAATTTAAAAAAAAAGAAAACAACACATAGCCAAACGCAATCACTATCTATACCATTATGGCTATAATAATGTATTGCCATTTTCAGTTTTGCATAAAAGGAGAAGGCAGGTTTTAGGGATGGGATTTCTTTTTGGTTCAGTGGGAAAAGGGGAGAAGGAGTGTTAAAAAGTAAAATAAAATAATCTATCCTGATCAGTTATTTTTGAAGTCACTTTCTTGGAGCAGGAAAAAAAAAAAAAAAAACGAACCCAACAGTTCAGATGAGGACCTGCAGCATGTCTGAAAGCAGAAATTGGAAGAGTTATTCTGAATGATGGTACTGTGATGGAAGCATCCATTCTACCTCATGTCCCTTTAGTGCACCTCAACTGGTTTTGTGAGCTGTCTGCGGAGGGCACTGGTCCATACACAGCTGCCACCGTGAGGGTGTGAAGTTTCAAAGCACAGAGAGGAAGCGGCTTTGCTCTTCTCCCTCCTGAACCTGGAGTCCACCTCTCTGAATTGGCATATGAACAGGTTATTGATGATAACAGACCAAACAACAAAAACAAAAATACCTTTTCCCTTCTTTGTTCCTTTGTAAAAGTACATCTTAAATAGTAAACAATCTGAAGCTCGATTGCAATTGTCTCTCTTGAGCCTTCTGCTTCTCAATATCTACCCTCTTATGGCTGCAAGATCATGACTGAGTGAGTGAATGAAAAATCTTCTAAAAAATAGGCACTTTGTAGATAGCTAATCGATATACATATATATGCACTCTCTCTATATATGTATATATTGATACGTGTGGGATGTGGCCCCCAGATACCACTGGGCCACTGCTGAGGAATTTCAATATGGTCGCCAAACAGATTCATCCATTCTGCCACTAGAATTCAAAACAGTTGGGGAACTGCTGTGGCTTCCATCAGCGTCAACACCATCATTCTGGTTAGGCAAATTTGGATTTAATAGCGTGCTGCCATTCGAGGTGGTGGTGCATGGCGGAAGCATTCTGGAAGGAGACCGGTCTCCCCCCGGCACCATGGGAAACTGATAGGATCCTGACGAAGTGCCATAGTAGAGATATGGAGTGCTGCTGGTCTGGAAGGGTCCACTCTGGCTTTGGGAAGAGCCGGGGTAGGGTGGTGGCAGGTAGGTGTGGTAGTGAGTGGTGGCGGACATACCGAGGGACATGCCTGAGGTGACTGGCGGGGTGTAAGTAAAGGTGGCTGGATAGTGCATTCGTGGGTTGGAGAAGCGGCTCTCAGTGAGGGATGAAATGCTTGGGAACTGCCTGGGGTCTGAAAAAGGGCCCAGTTCTGAAGCACCTAAAAATTATAACAGAAGATGGAGGGAAAAATCTGTAAATATCAATTAAAATAATGATAGAATTGTTACAAGAAAAAAAAAGAGAAAACTTTAGCTTTCCCATAAAGGAACAGCAAGCCACAGACAGACCTTCAAATGCACCAGTCACTTTACAGTCTTTTTCCCCCACTTTGCAGTCTTAACAGCATTGATCCTTAAGTTCTTCACCCCCAGAGAATCCCAGAGGGCTTTAAAAACCCACATGTGTGCCAGGTCAATGTGTAAACCAACCCAACACTCTGATCACATAGGTTCACTCACCAGACTTTAAAACCAAATCCTCATGGATTTTTTTTCTCTTTTTGCTTCTCGTTGCACTTTAGATATTTGAAGTGAAATTTTTACTAAGTCAGACAAGTTTATTTTCCTCAACTCAATATAAAGAAATTCCAAAATAATGTCTTACTGTTATTTACTCTTGGTAGGCTCTTTCATCAATGAAGGAACATCAAAAAGATATCCTATCATGTTCCTATCATTTCCTTTAAGGCCTTTAAAGAATTTAAAATCTTGTCAGAGGTCTCATCTTAGCAACAGTGAAATCAAACCAGAAACTCATAACTTCTCTGGGGGTGGATAGGGAGGGTCATAAGCTACTAGATCAGTCGGTTTTGAAAATGGGAGTTAGGAGGCACAAGGGGGCTTGGTACCTTAGGAATCATTGATTTCAAGTCTTGATGGGAGACTTGTGACCTGATTTAGACCAGGTGCTAACAGTAGCTTTTGCGAGAGGCTCGCTGCCTAGGGGAGATTAAGAGGAGGGCACTCCCCACCCGTCTCCCAGGCCCCAGCACCACATCCTACAGAACCAGCTTCAGGTCAACTTGAAGCAGTAACCTGAAGGCAAAGATGGTTTTCCCCTAAAACATGAAGTCCTTTCACTTCTAAAGCTAACAGTAGGCCTCCTTAATAGATGTTTCTGGTGCCTAAGTTATGAAACCACCGTTATAAACCATTTCATGTGGAAATTTGTTTTCTGAAATGCTAGAATCTTGTAGTTGTGACCTTTAAAGATTGGGTTTATTATTATTTTTCTAGAATTGACAGAATTGTGACAAGCCCTTTTCTAATACCAGTGCTCTTGTTAAGATATTGTTCCCTTCTAAAATATTTTGATTATTCAGATCTCATATATTTGTTTCTCCTACAGCTTTTAGCTATAAAGGAAAGCACTAAACAATTCTTGAGGACTTTAATGAATGGGTACTTCTTCACCTCATTTTTATTCAGACCTTGTTCTTGGATATTACGATGTTTATTAAGGGAATAATCCGAACACTTTTCTTTAAAGGTGCTGATTGAAGGTTATTAATTTTTGTTAAAATGCACACTGCTTATAATCTTCACAAAATGCAAGGGTTAAGTGCCATGATGTGCATTTGTAATAAAAAGTGACTCTTTAAAAGCAACATATAGTTAACAAAACTCACAAATCGGACAGTAACAACCAGACAGCCCAGCCCAGCCCAGCCCTGCCCAGCCCAGCAATTGTTAAAAGTCTCACCTGCCTGGCTCTTCTTACTGAGAGTGGAAGGCCAGAGGCAGAAGTCAGAGGTGGCAGTGTCATCATCTGTAAAATGAGGGGGATGAGCTCTAAGTTCCCTTCCAGCTCTAATGTTCTATGACTATGAATTCCAAGAGAGAAGGAGAAGCAACAGCCTTAGGGGAGGGGTAGACAGAGAGGTTCCCATCCCTCATTAGTATTTCCCAGAGTCTGCAGGCCCATAAGCAGAGGGTAAAAGCTAGTGAGCAGCTTCTAAGGCCAGAAGCAAACACTTTCAAGATGAAGAACCAAAACTGACAGCCCAGGCAGTCACTCTCTGCTTTTTATAAATTCTTCCATCCTCAACTAGCCTCTACCTATTCCTCCCAAAAACGAAATTCTGACAAGCTTAAATTTAAAAATGTGGAAACAGCGATTATGACAGAATCAGAAATGGGAGCAGATGCTCCATAACATTTCCCCCGCCCAGTGCTTGTGCCCTGCCTCGTACAATACAGAGGCCAAATGGAGGCCACAGACGTTCCTCAGGCAGCCTCTGCATTGCAGGGCATCCAGGTGACCTTGAGCTGGCAGAACTAACAGCGATGGGCAGGGCACTTCTGTATGCATTAAGTTCAATATTTAGATCATATAAGAAGAACCAGAATAATGTGAACAGCGTGTATCAGAAAGAAGTCGCACTTAAAACGCCAACGTGTGCCCCCTGCAGAAGTATGGAGTTCACACAGATAGACATGTTAATGTAAAAACTGCTTCTTAGGTGTATCTGTACTTAAAATACACTGCAGTAATAATTACAATTCCGTATGGTTTCACTTATTTTGATGCAGAAGCCTCATTAAAACTCTTTATGTGGGGCCCTGGCAGTAAACTCCAATATGGTTTTGAATTTACCCCTCCCCACTCCTTCCTCTCAATTTTACCTGATACATTTTGCTGATGTTTTTATTGCCCATCACATGCCAGGATCACTGTACCTTTTTGGTTTATAGATGCTAGCTAACACAAAATGACATTTGTTTTTCAATTAATGAGCTCTGGTTATGGTTTATAGAAAACAATGCAACAAATTTCCGCTAGGTTTACAGTATTTTAACCAATCACTTCTAGGCATTTGAGTCTTAATGTCTTGAGAATGGACTCTTTCTTGATAAAGAGCGCTAATGTTGACTTGAAAGGGATTATAGGATGATTTTTCAACTTACAAACAATAGAATTTTCTGGAATTTGCTTAGTCACTTTATGTTACCAAGAAATGTTCCTGAAACATTTTGCAACATGTTCTCTAGGAAGAAATAGTAACAATTTGCTCTAGTACCATACGAGATCCCTTATAAAATAATCATGATAAGGTGGTGGGAGAAATCCTAAACTTAAAAGAAAGACTATAAACTCCTTCCTAATCTTCAAATTTTTAAATAATAATAGTTACAGAAGCAAATAATATCCTTAAATTTTCTTTCATTGAATAAGGTTGTGTCTGTGCTTCCAATGTCTGTTTTGTACATGAACTCAGGTTTTCTTTTAGAACCCCTGCTTGGGCTATTTTGACATTGTATCCTAAACTAGTCATCCTTGTGTCACCAACCACATTGTAGCCACAAACTTACCAACATAGAACTAACTGGATGTTACATCAACTAAAGTAAGCAAAATATAAGTTTGACTTATTAAGAGTCCATATTATGAAGGCCTAGAGTTCTAAAAGCAGTGCAACCCCAATCTGATTTTCTAAATATAAAACCAAAGCTCAGCCACTCCCCCAGTGATATGCCTGGTACGCTCAGAGCTCCCAAGAGCCAGTTTAAAACTCATGACTACAACTTACTGGATAGATAAAGCCAAAGGTGGTTTGGGGACCTTTTTAAAATAGCAAGGAACAACTTGCACAAGTCCATTCTTTTTGCTGTTATCCATGTTATCTCCTCCATATACAAAGTACATTCGGCTATTAGGCTTTGCTGAACAGTGGAGAAGTTGAGAGTGCTATAGCCAACACTAGATCACTTGGTGCGAAGAGTTTCAAAATGGTATGTGCCTACATCTTCCTGGGGGACTGCCAGGAGTTACTAGAAGCCCAAGATAATCATCGTGCATTTTCCTGATGGGTTGGTTTTACTCAACTTGGGGAAAATAATACACTATACAATAAACATGAATATGATGTGGAGGAGAGTGCAACATTTATGTGAATTTTTAGATAAATAAAAAATGACTTCAACAAAATTTTGCTCTTGTAAAGCTTTAGGCTATGATCCGAGATCCCCCAAGGTACTCAAATACTCCTTTATGCTGGTTGAGGAACTCTGATGGAAAAGTCTAAACTCTTAATTTGCTGCTTAGGTAATGCAAATCTAACCCCTGTTTGACAAATAGGAAAGCTGGTATCTAGAGAAAAGAAGCCATTTACTCAATATCACAAAATCACAGCCACAGCTAGACAGACCTCTTTGACTTCTAACAAAGGATATGCTATCTTAGTTACCCTTAAGGAATTTGGTTAACATGATCACAGGTCTATCTACATACACATACACACCTGCTATCTTAGAAGTTGATTTGCCTAAATGAAAAATACTCAAAATATCTCAAAATACTTAAATTGACTCTTCTACTGCCTAAGTGTTGCCCCAGTGAGAGTTCCTATCTTTGGGATATTATTAATAACTCTTTTAGGCCTTGTTGATCTAATCTGCTAAATAATGGGCAATTAGTTTGGTTGCTCAGGGCAACATGTGAATGAGACCAAGGTCAAGGGTATGATCCCCTTAGGACCTGCTGGCTTCCTACAGATGCATTTCATTCCAAAACTGCTGTCTACACCCCTAGCCAAAGCCAAACAGCTTGCAAACAAATGTAGCTGTCATAAAAAGAGCTGCAAGAACTTTGCTCATTAAAATAGTAACAGCAGCGGCAGCAGCAATTTTTCACAACCTAATATACACAGGAAAGAATATATTAATAACATTTCCATGGAGCACAAATAAAAATAAAATCACTAATAAAAATTAAAACATCTTGCCCCTCCTCCCAAGGTCTATGAGGGAAAAGGAAATAGCCTCTCTTTACCCAACTAGGTTTCTTGGGTCTTCAAGTGGAAAGTGTGTGAAACCAAGATAAGAGGGAATCAAACAGAATGTCTGATCTTCAATTTTCAGGGCCGGGAATCCTCCCTGTGGCATCTTTCACACACTGTTTTCGAATGCTGCTTATCCTGAGTCACGTTTGGCTCCCACTGAGAGTGAGCTGTGGAGGGTAGAGAAGTGTCTGATACTTCTTTGCCTCCCCTTCAGAACTTCATAACAGTCACACCTGTTTGACATTTGAAGGCCTTTACTTTAACATACATTTTCTCATTGACTAGGCCCCCAATAAATATGGTTGGTTGACGGAAAATGGGTAAGGAGATCTCTAGAACAAAAAAGAAATTGGAATTTGACCAAAATAACAGACCGGGTACTTGCCATTGGGGCTGTCAGCTGGGAAACCCCATGCCCCATGTCCTCTTGGCCTCTGTGCAGTACATTCACACATCCCAGCAGAGCAGGCAGGTCAGGGCAGAAAAAAGGAAGGGGGGCCTTGAATCCAGACTGAACATATGCTGGCATATTCAGAGTCCTCTGCCCACTTTATGTGAGGGGATAAAGGTACAGAATGAAAAGCCATTGTACTTCTCAGCAATGAGGTGTTAACTTCAAAGCTTCATTGGGGCCTTTTAAATGGTAGGAGTTATTGCTTCAACAAATCTCAAATAAATCCGAAGGACGTTTTATTAACCCCTCTCAGAGTTCTTTCTATTGGAACATGTAATACACAAGACCTATGTGGAGCTGCTCTCCCCTGGTAACCAAGAATCTTCTCCCCCTTTTAAACGTTTTGGCTGCCCCCTTCCCAACAGCTCTATTATTTAATTTCCTATTTTACTTCCGTTCCAATAGCATTTATTTTCTATATCACTCTTTTGGACCCTTACTCACTCCCTTATTGAATTATTAGCTGTTTCTTAGTCTGTTTTCTCCAACTATAAAGTCAGCTTTGGATGGTAAAGAATATGTTTTCCTCTCATATCCCTCTTGGAACCTAGTACATTGTAAGAGGCTAAAATGAAAAAAAAAATGTCAGTGCATGGTTGGATGGATAAATGAATACGTAAATGAGTCTAAGGATTGGGAACTCTGTACAATAACTCTGTACAGTTTTAACACAAAAGGAAAAGATATGAAAAGCATTGAGCAATGCTGACATCAAACCTAAAATGTAATTCAAATACATTCCATACCTATAAAACCTTATACAACTCTCTTTAAAGAGCATTCAAAGCTATTCCCAAGCATTATTGCATCACTTGACCTCACATTGCAGACAGGAGCCCCCAAAACAGCAGTTGACACTAGTAAACGGATGCCTCTGCTTTGCTTCCACTGTTATTTCCTCTTCACTCCCAGCACCTGTCCTGCCTCCCAGCCAGTATCTGGGTGTAGATCCACACTAGGGAGCCCTGGGGAGACTAGATGAAGGGGAAAGAGGGCCAGGCCAGAAACCCATGGCCTGCTGTTAGGTAAGCACACTCGTCCTTCCTTATGATCCTGGGTTAATCGCTGCCACTAAGATCATAATCTTTATTTGGAGTGAATAGTTTAAAGGAACAGAGAGTGAAACTAGCATCTTGTTTGAATTTTTTTAGACTAGTATACAGAAGCAGAAGTCAGAGTCATCAAGAATCATAGATGAGTTCTATAGATGAGTTTTATAGACACGGAAACCTGCAGGCATGGTAGATCTGAGCGGCAACACGAGACTCCAACATGGTTCTCTGTCCTAGCTCCAGCATTCTATTCTACCTCTGCACCCTGACAGAGCATGCAGGGTGCAGAGGAAAACATAGAGGGTCTGCCTTGAGCTTCCTGAGATCTGCATTCTATGAAAACACACATGAAAAGGGAAATTCTTCCACTTACTGCCTTTTTAAGTCACACAGGCAGCAGGGCCTTAAAACAAGAGTGTATTACCCCTTACTCAAGCATAGGCCAGCCACCTTTCAAAAAGCATATCTGAGCAATTCTGTAATGAAGGGGTGAAAAGGAAGGAGGCTATGGGCATATTCAGAGTCCTCTGCCCTATTTCAAAGTCATATCCCACTGCTCCTAAGCATGGCCCCTCTTCCTGGTGGAGTGATTATATACTCAGGACACTCACGGGAGCTTTGCCCATGCTCTCCCCAGCACCCATGGTTTTCTCTCTTCTCTCTGCCAGACCAAAGTAAGCGAGCTCTGGCTCAAAGCTCACCACTACACAAGGATTTCCTGGGCACACAAATTCTTACCATAATATTTCATTTACCAAACTAACCTTGGACATTTATGTAGATAAATCTTACTGCTGCACACATTCCTAAGTATTATCATTGGTTTTAGATAAGAATTTTCATTTTCCAACTAAAGAGGAAGCAAATGAAGAGGAAGAACCACATATTCTTCTTCCAGATCCTACCTTATAGTATGGTGCTGAGAAGACAGATGCTTCAAAAAATTTTGCAAAGCAGATGAATTACTACCAAAGTCTCAAGGAGGCAAACACGACAGAGGTAGAAATGCTATGGATAAACATTATTCAAAAGTCAAATGTAGACTATATGCAAAATATTACTTTGCATTTTCCACACTGAGGTTCTAAGGGACCAATTTTCTAAATTTCCCTGAATTTCTCCCCTCACACTAAAAAATGACCAACTATCCATCACTAACTTAGTTTTACTTTTCATTTCATTAGATAATAATTAGGAAAATATACCATATATAGAAGACATGCAATGGATCATGCTGATGGAGAAGAAACCAGCAAAATGAGATTGTAAAATCATTTTAAGATAATGAAATGACCAGCAAACTCCATTCTTTTGCAAAAGAGAGGGAAAGTCCCTCGACTATCCAGTCTAAATATTTGTTTTCTGTGTTGTAATGAATTGTACTTTTCCACTGCATGCTCACAAATTCTGAAAGAACTAGCTGATCCTAAGGCTAAGAAAGTATGTTATGCTGAAGGAAAAAGAGAGAGAGAGAGAGAAAAAAAAACCTGGCAATTTTCAGAAAATTCAGCCATTCCTTAAACCCACCCAAATTTTGAGGATATTGTTGGAAGAATATATTTCCTTTTATAAAGGGAAAGGGGGCAGGCAGTAGATGTGTGAGTGAGTGTGTATGCATACAGGGAGGGAGAGTAAGGGAAGGAACGAGCCAAAGATGGAGGGGGAGAGAAAAGGGAGGAAAAATGAGAGAGATCTTCCTGCTAGGCCTTGATTAAGAACTTTTTAAATCCTAGGAAGGATGGATAGTCTTTGAAACCAGATCCACTGCAGGAAGGAGGCCAGCACCCAGGACACCGTGTCTTTCAGAAGGGGCCACCCACGGTGCCGTGGCAGTCATATGACTGCCCTGTCACATCCTGAAGCCATTTCCAGCCCATGCACACGTCTGTGCTCCCATTTAGAGAGGATGGGATATATTGGGAACACATATGGAAACACTTTCAGAGAATCAGTTTCCATGAAATTCATAATGAGCCAAGTGGCTTCAGATGTGGTTGCGTTCCTCCGATTAGCCAGCCAAAAAAAAAAAGGAAAAAAGGAGGAAAAAAGGGACAAATCCACCCTTTCAGACCTTATTTCAGTTTCAGAAAAATTAAAAACCACTAATGACTTATGGCTACCAAAACATGGAGCCAAATTAGGAGAGAAGGAACTAGGAAAATGAGGGAGAGAGGTTTAAAAGTGATAGCCTTTCCCTCCTAAAAATAACAGCTTAGATATTGGTAATCTTATCTTAAATCAGAGAGAGCCTTTCCTGCGATGGTATCTGCCTGGAGTGGCATAATTAATTTTCTGACATCCTGGCAGAAGGTTGTACACATGTGCAAATGAGGGGGTGGGAGGTGGCGGGGAGATGGCGAGCGAGGCAGAGGCTACAAGACCAACTCTTATTTGATAACATATGTGGTCAATTAAGATTATTTTAAAAATTGCAAACTAAATGATAAATTGTTCCTAAGTAAATCTTTCAAAAAAGCCAGAATTCAGACAGGACAGACTGGTATTTTCCTGTGGCCTGCGCTAGTGGTAACTTGGTCTATATTAAAAGCAGAAATTTATGAACTGGTTGAGATGTTATATATTAGACACCAAAGCCTAACTGATAGGAAGGCATGAAATACAAGAAGTGGACAAATGGAGAAGGGTTTTTAAAGGGGGACATTTAACTGATATTAGTAAGTTAAAACGTTATTTATATATTAAAACAAAAACATACATATTCTAAAATAAAATTCACATACATTCTCAGATAAAACAAGAGACTTGAAAATATTCTCTTTGGGGACCTGGGGTTGTTTTGGGTTATGCCAGCAGATCAGGGAGAGCAGGGATAGTGAAGGAGCCCTTGAGTTTCCTCTGCCCTTTGAGGCGCTCCCGTGGAAAAATCTGCGCAGCGTTTCTTTCAGGCTTGGTAGCAAGCCTGAAGCCCTGGTGCAGGAATGTTCTGACTTGAAGCTGCTTGATGATGGGCTGGGAACTAGAACTGCCTATTGCTTAACAGACTAGTCAGTCGCTTTTCCCTAACCATATGAATCCTATAAGTGATGGAATAGCCACAGCATCCCATGGTGTTAGCAAAAATTGACTAAGAGGAAAGAGTGGCTAACCAAACAGCTGGGATGCCACAGCTCAGATCTGCAGAAGTACTCGATCAAAGCACTCCCACTGCCATTTTGTCATTAAATCCTCTGTAAGGTAGCAATGCCACTGACTATACTATATGAATGGCAAACTCAAGCTCAAAAAAAGTGATTTCGTCGAAGTTACAGATCAGTACATGGTAGCCCAAGACCTGGCCCCAGACTTGTGGGGGCTTTGCTGTCACTGTCTCCCCTAAGGTGCAGGGATTCGGGGTCATTTTCATGTGAATCTAGCAGCCTGGCCATGGCTACCTGGAGGGCAATGATGAAAAGTGTTCTGACCAATTATCACTGACAGCCCTGGGATGGAGGTGGAATGGGAGGCAGACGCATGCACTCATTAGCCATGCTTGACCCAGCCCCAGAATTCTGATATTGTCTTTACCACTGGTGTTCTGAATGATATGAAGCAAACCATGTTTTATATTCCTTAGGTAAACTCATTGCATGAGACTCTTGTAAGCAGGAATTGGTAACAGTACACAGCAAATAGCAAACATTTCCATCCTAAAAGGGCATTCCTCCTTACCCGCACTATTTGAACTAGTAGAGCCAGAGAAGAAGGAAACCGAAAAGATTGGGTCTCCAAGCTAGAAAATACATAAATTGAGAATCAAAATCTTGAAATTCGTGATTAACCCCACACACCCAGCTGCAGGTCCAGCCAAACTCTTCTGTAAAAAAACCATAACTGAGAAGAGAGATGCTGGTTGAGGTAGGAAAAGACTATGAAATGAATAATCACCACAAAGCCCAATGTTTTCAGATAGAGTTTGAAGAGTTCTGGTTGGACTCTGCTTCTTAAAGTAGGACTCAAGCTGCTCCTTTAAATCTAAAACCAACCCAATCTAAGACTACACCTGTAACTGAGACTAGCACTGGTCCAGGAGAGATGCCGGGGAAAAGGAAGAGTCCGCTGCAGGCAGCGGCTGTTTTCAAGGCCGAATCACACAAAACCTGACAAGCTGGGGGCACTATTTTTTTCAAATACAATTTCCCAAAATAGATCTCAAAAGGCTTGGTCCCCAGGTGTGGTCCAACAGCCCTGAGGCCATCCTGGGCCTTAAAGCACGTGGCTCGAATTGCCTGATGCCCCTAGACCTAGGACTTGAACCAGATTACCAAGTGCTGTTCAGTCTCTATAATTCAGCTCCAAAAGATACAGCTACCCCAGGCCTAACGCAATCCATGTTAATCTAGGATCAAAGCCACAGGCTTCAGCCTCAAACTGTATCCTGTGAGGACCTATGCTTATTTTTGCCCTTTCTCCCTCTACAGTCAGATGCAGCCACTTACCTGTGCCCCACTGGAGGCCTGGGCTGACCATGCCCTGGGAGGGGTTCCTGCCCCAGGAGGAAATACATAAGGGGCTTCCGGGTTGTGACAGAAGCTGGCTTTATATTCAAGGTTCACTTTCTGTGTTGCATCTTCTGCTTGGGTGGTTTATCTGGCTTCCTCAATCTTTATCTTGTTTGACTTTCTGGTTCCTCGGGATTTCCTTGTTCATGTTTGCCTACCTGTTCTGTGACTTCACGTCAGGCTTTTTCGCTCAGGTGTGTGTGTGTTTCTAGACTCTGTGTTAAGGGCACACAAACATTTGCAAGAGCAACAATCTTGTCCCAACTTACCTTTCCAGTCTTGTCTCTCATTTTACTTCCATGAACTCTATAATCCAGTCATACCAGACCCTTTTCCATCTTCTGTGCTACCCTACCTTTTCCCACCTTCCTGCCTGGGTTTACATTGGCCCCTCCGCCCTTAGTATCCCACTAGCCCCCTACCCTATCTCAGCTCCTTAAAATTCTAAGCAGCCTTTAAAATCGACCTCACAGTCCCCCTCTGCTGTGAAGCTTCTTCATATATTCCTGCTTTAGCCCACAGTAACCTCCCCTTCCTCTCTGCAGGCAATTAGTTCTTCATTTGTATCTTTCTTTTTCTTTCTTTTTTTTTTTTTGAGACAGAGTCTCACTCTGTTGCCCAGGCTAGAGTGCAGTGGCGCAATCTCGGCTCACTGCAAGCTCTGCCTCCCGGGTTCACGCCATTCTTCTGCCTCAGCCTCCCCAGTAGCTGGGACTACAGGCACCCGCCACCACGCCCAGCTAATTCTTTGTATTTTTAGTAGAGATGGGGTTTCACCGTGTTAGCCAGGATGGTCTCGATCTCCTGACCTCGTGATCTGCCCGCCTCGGCCTCCCAAAGTGCTGGGATTACAGGCATGAGCCACTGCCCCCGGCCCATTTGTATCTTTCTTATAAGTGTGCTGGGGAAGCAACAATCGCGCAATCACCTCTATAGCCTTTTTTTTTAATTTAACTTTTAAGTTCAAGGGTACATGTGCAGGTTTGTTACATAGATAAACTTGTGACTCGGAGGTTTGTTATACAGATTATTTCATCGTCCAGGTATTAAGCCTAGCACCCATTAGTTATTTATCCTGATCCTCTCCCTCCTCCCAGCCTCCACCGTCCAATAGGCCCCAGTGTGCACCGTTCCCCTCTATGTGTCCATGTGTTCTCATCATTCAGGCTCCCACGTATAAGAACATGCAGCGGTATTTGGTTTTCTGTTCATGCATTAGTTTGCTAAGGATAATGGTCTCCAGCTCCATCCATCTTACTGCAAAGGACATGATCTTTCTTTTTTATGGCTGTGTTCAACTAGACTTTAAACTGCTTAAAAATGGGAATGCTGTCCTATTTATCTTTAAACACACCATGGCCCCTCTCACAGTTACATACAAAAAGTATTTACATGTGTGTCTAAGGGAAAAATGATGGCAATAGCAGATTTGACCTAAATCCTTGTCTTTCACTGAAATTTGTGTGTGTCATCTGCCTTCTGTCTGTACATCTTCAACTAACTGCCTTTCCTACTTACTCTACCTGTGTTTACCTGAGAGGGTTCAGGTTAGTTGCGGAGCCACAGCTCTGCCCTGACTACCAGTTAGTTCTGTGGTGCGTCTCTTGCTCTCCTCAGTTCCCTGGCTTGCCCTCTTTATCCTATGAACAAAAACTGTTTCTGATTTTTTTCAGTCCCAGCAAACCATCAGGTCCCACATCAACCTACCTCTCAAAAATCATCATGAAATAATAAGGTAACATCTCAGATTTTGCTTTTTAAGTTTTCACTGCTTTTACATACATTTGGTTTTACCTTCACAAAGAGCCTGAGAGGTAGTCAGGATAGGCACCCATTGATAAGGAAGCTTCATCAGAGAAAGAAGGCACCATCTCGAGGACACAGCTCATTAGTGCAGAGCTGAAGTGAACGCGTTGGGTTTCCAATTTGTGTCCTTTTTTCCCCCAATAGAGGTGCCTCATTAGCATCTACTACTTTCCATCCAAACAGAAGTCTCAACGGGAGGTCTGGGCGTGGTGGCTCAGGTCTGTAATCCCAGCACTTTGGGAGGCCCAGGCAGGCAGATCACTTGAGGCCAGGAGTTTGAGACCAGCCTGACCAATATGGTGAAACCCCATCTCTACTAAAAATACAAAAATTAGCCAGGCGTGATGGCGGGCACCTGTAGTCCCAGCTACTCGGGAGGCTGAGGCATGAGAATCACTTGAACCCAGGAGGCGGAGGTTGCAGTGAGCCGAGATCGAGCCACTGCACTCCAGCCTGGATGACAGAGCGAGACTCTGTCTCCAAAAAAAAAAAAAAAAAAAAAAAGTCTCAACAGGGGAAAGGACGGTATTTCTTTAAAAACAGGGCACAGGGCACATTTCAATTGATATTTTTAAAGTGATGACTGGTATGCCTTCTCGCACTGGATGTTTATATCCAGTGACATCAGGAACCAAACTACTACCTTTTATTTAACTGAAAAACTGACTTTGCAAAGAATTTCTTTCTCTTTGTTGTTAGGATTTAGCCTAAAACCATGTACAAGAGTCTTCCTGCTATCCTGAGACAATGCTCCTTATGTAACTTCCGAATCCAAATGTAGTGTTGTAGTAACTCGTTCCTCTGACAGTCTCAGCGTTTTTCCACTCAAGCCCTGCACACAGAATTAACTCAAAACTTCTGCAAGAAAAACGTCCCTTTTAGAGTTTGATTTGGCATCAGTTTCAAAGAGCTGTTTGTATATTTTAGAATATGTAGAATTTTCCTTTGATTGAAAACTCTCTTTTTAACAATGGACAAGAGATGATTTCTCTTCTGAGTGATTTAAACAAAAACAAACACATCTTAGTTACATAGAGCCTTGTTCTCAAAGTGGTCTTTCTGAAAGAAATCAAACCCTACAGATTGTTAAGCATTTGGCAAAAGCCTTCAAACAGCCAAAGCCAAATAGCGAAATTTTCCTTGTTGCAGGAGATAAACAAATACTAGAGCAAATTTTTTAAAAAATAGAACCTCCTTTCACTTTCTACTCTGTTCGATAACATTCCCCTCTCAACACACACACACACACACACACACCCCTTCAGAGGGGTTTCATCTTCAATGTTTATTCCTGGTGCTATAGTAATAAACTCGCCACAAATGGACATTTTCAACATCTGTTTGTGGCTGTTCCCAGACGTCTTGTATTTCTCTGGGACATGAAGCCCTCTGTCTCCCAAGTGTAAACAGACACACCTAATTATGTATTAAGGTGTCTGAGAGGAGCTACTTGTTTTGATGACCGTGAAAAAAAAAAAAAAAAAAAAGAGCCCGGTCTGCTTAGCTAGCTGTGGGACGTGGGACAAACACACAGTAGTCCAGTAGTAGCTCCTCAAACAGTGGAAGTTCTCTGCCTGCCAAGGACAAAATCCAAGTCCTATTTTTCTCAGCCTGAGAATCATGTCCACTGAGTCCACTCCAGATGTGGACCAAAACAGTCAGTGACTGGTCAGGAGAGACAGTGCTGCCACAGATGCAGGGCCACATCTATTTAATCTTTTCATAAGGACTTAATTTTCGGGTGAAAAGAGGAAAGGTGCAGAGGAGGAAGAGGTCATTGGTGGTTCATTTTTTTTCTTCTTCTTCAGGTCACAATGGCCATGGATAGCAATTTTAATACAATGTCAGTAGCCTATGAGAAGAGTAGCAGGATAAAATAATTCTAGAGTGTTGGACTAGCAACTGGAGATGTGGGTTCTGGCCACAGTGCTGTCCCTGCCTCACAGGGTGATCACGGTGGAGTCCCTTTCCCTCCCTGACCCACACATTCCTTGTCAGTAAAAAGAGGGGCGGGGATGAAATCATCTCTGTGGGTTTCCCTGCTCTAAAATTCTGATCCTGCTACATATTGGACAAGTCTGAGAATTCCAAAAATACCTTCAAAAATTCTACTAGAAATACTGTTCCTGCAAAGAATGGTCCCCATTCATTAAAAAGCAGTACTAGTTTTCAAAATGAGGTAATAAAGCTATACATTCAATGTGCAAAAAAAAAAAAAAAAAAAAAAAAATCTAGGTTTTCTATGTACAAAATGTCAATTCAAAAATTTAGGATCTTTTCTAAAAACTAAAAAAATGTAATTGTTAACAACAGTTCCCAACACAGGCCAAAAGAAAATGGGAACACTACTAACTTTTTAAGAAAGTCTTTCATCCTTAAATTTAGCAGTAAAGGAGGTTAAAACTAACACTTCAGGCTCCCATATTCGATGGGAGATACCACGTGAGCTATTTCTCTTTCTTTTCTGTTCTAGATTATTTAAGCAAATTGTTTGATCTGAATTATCCAAAGTTAAATAAATGATTTTTTGTATCAACCTTTCCAGCTCTTGCAAGGTAGAATATATCGTGCAAAATTTAAGTAGCTTTAAATTTCCTCGCCCCACATATAAAACCATATATTTTGAGTTTTGTTTTTTTTTTAGACAGAATCTCACCCTGTTGCCAGACTGGAGTGCAGTGGCGCCATCTCGGCTCACCACAGCCTCTGTCTCCTGGGTTCAAGCGATTCTCCGGCCTCAGCCTCCCAAGTAGCTGGGACTACAGGTGCGCACCACCACGCCTGGCTAATTTTTGTATTTTTAGTAGAGATGCGGTTTCACCATGTTGGCCAGGATGGTCTCGATCTCTTGACCTTGTGATCTGCCCACCTCGGCCTCCCAAAGTGCTGGGATTACAGGTGTGAGCCACCGTGCCTGGCCTATTTTGAGGTTTTAAGATTTCATTAATGTGTACATTTTTAATTTCTAGAATAAAATTTATGTTTACAAAATTGGGAGGTAGATTTTTCCACTATTATTTCTTGTTAGGGATTTGGTCCATTTTACTTTATTTTGGGTTCTCTGATCTGCATCAAACCATGAATTTTGGCTACTTAGTAAGGATTAATGGTGTTATCCAGGTTTGGGCTGGAAAGATCAGTGATAACAAATATTCCTCTTAGGATGATAGCCAACAGGCCTTTGTAGCAAAGTCCGATTCTGATATGGAGACTCCTACAGCAACGCAGAGTAGGGAAAAGCATATTATGTGGAGCTAAAAGACCTGGAATTGAGTTTTCACTCTCTATCCCTTTCACTTGATGACCCTGAACAAATCTCTAAATGTCTCTGAGCCCTCATTTCCTGCTGGCAAACTACTGAGTATAGTAGTATTGATACTTCAATGCGTTGTAATGATTAAATGAAATAATGTCTATGAAAGTGCTTTCTATAGATGTAAAGCACTATCTAAGTATTATTAATATTAAGTCTTGCTATGCATTTATTTTTACTCTCACCTTTGGAGTTAGTTGCTAAAATTCTTCCCATCTTCCCCTGCACTTAATTTGTCTGAGGTTCTAACATGATGTTCTTTATCTGTGAGCTTTAAGTACTTTCCGCCATCAGAAAAGAGCTGTTACAGAGGACCCAATAGTCCTGCTCCTTTTTAATTCCCTCACTCTCTGGAGTTCCTGAAGCAGAGCAGAAGAGTTCAAGGTGCCCTCCTAAGATGCCTCCTCCTTCCTGGGGGAGTCCTCAGTTTGTCTGTACATATTCTGTTGCACATGCCCGAGTTTCCACTTCTCTTGGATGACCAGCAGCATCCTCTGGAGACAGCAGCTTGATAAGCTGCCAGAGTCCACTGTCATCTAACTGCACTGGACCATGGACCTCTTCATATGCAATAGGATACTGTGGGGGAATGCAATAAGCCTAACTCACAGATTGTACTTGTACCAATCTCTTTGTTCTTCCCGTTTCCCTCAGTGTTAACCTGCTTGTTACACTTGTTGGAACTTACTTGCCACATTTTTAGATAACTGAAGGGATTTACCTCCAAATCGCCTTCTATATAACCTAAAGTGGTACTGCTTATTTGATTTTAATGAACTTTTACAAAGATTGTTTTCAAACTTCTAACTAGACATTCTATAATTTGCAGTTTGAGATTTAACCTTTTTATTAAAATGGTGGTAGGAAGACCCCTGGGAGGGGTTCACTTTGGAGAAATAGTTTTTCTCTCTTAGGTACCAGGGAATGTGGTAAAGTGCAGGAGGAAGGCAACTTAGCCATCTGCAGAAGCTGTGGCTTTGCAAGTCCAAAGCTGACACCTCAAATACTAGCTTGCAAAGTCTGCAAATGGGCTGAAAGATAACCACATCTCCAGTTCCCTAGTTTTAATCTATCTCCTAGTTACCTATCTCCTAACCCACCTGTGCGGTGATTTTCACTATTATACCACGGTGTTGTTGGAGTGAAAAAGATCAGTACCAATGCCTTAAGACTGGAGGGGGAGGGCATTAGTATAAGCAAGTCCAGCCACTCATCTGAAGAGGAGGGGAATTCATTACACACATGTGTATTGTCAGGATTCAGACCTCTTGGCTCATGGGGAGAAAGCACGCCTCTTTTCAATAAACTACCCTACCAATTTTATTCCTTTTTAAAGTGACTGTTTTTTTCCAGGGGCTGTTATCTGTTATCTGCTGCTTCTGACTCTAGTGAGAAAATTCACATTACATTTTTTCACCTCCATTCTCTTTTACTATACCCTTCTAAATGAAAGGGAATGCAATAAGCCTAACTCACAGATTGTACTTGTACCAATCTCTTTGTTCTTCCCGTTTCCCTCAATGGGCTGTCAAACCTAGTTTTTAACCAGGGAGAAAGGTTAAAAACTAGGTTTGACAGCCAAAGAAACAGCCAACCCATCATCCGAAGCTCCAATCTATGAAGTTTTTGGAGCTCTGAGAATTATTCTGGATTCCCCATGCTGACACCCTTTGAACTGTATCTTCTATGGAGTCCTTGAGCTTCCAAAACTCAAAATAAATCCATCAAATACATTTTGAGTAGGTTTGGTCACTGGGAAATGTGCTCTCCAGGTCCTGATTTTACTACTCTCCTTTCCTTTAAAACAAACTAACAAATGGCTGTAATAGTTTTCAGTACACACACCTCTGAACTTCAGGATTCCAGAAAGAACAGAAAGCTGTGTCCATGGAGAAATGGAACTTCATTACATTTTAAACAGGAAATATAAGAAAAAGTGTTCATATCTGCATAAGATCTTGAAGCTAACTTCCAGAGCCCCAAATTTAGAGTTTCATGAGGAGGAATCTCCTTTTAGGGCATGGTTGAAGGATCTGAGAATGGAGTGATAGCTTACTACAACTGTGATGCCAACAGGGTTACCTGTTTAAAGCTTTCTCCTATAAGCTTGGCTTGTGGTTATGAGATTCTGCTTAGAACATGTTCCTCATCCCTTATCAATTCAAGTTCCTTGCTATTTAAGATAAGCCCCAATTTCTCAGTCCTCTGAAGAAGCTGTTTGGGTACTGACTCCACAGGGAGGACAAGTGCTGGTTTCTCACCTGGACTGACTTTTCTTGACTGCTGGATATTAGCTCGCCAGCCTGAAGGAACTGATAGCCCCTTGCCTAAGTGTTTCTTCACTTCAGAGCTGTTGCCACGCACTGCCCAGTGTGATCATCTAATGATTGCCTGCAAAGCCAGCCTGGTCACACCTGCATGCATGATGCTTTCCATTGAAGTGCATCTTTTTTTTTTTTGAGACAGAGTCTCCCTCTGTCACCCAGGCTGGAGTGCAGTGGCACAAGCTAGGCTCACTGCAACCTCTGCCTCCTGGATTCACACAATTCTCCTGCCTCAGCCTCCCCAGTAGCTGGGATTACAATTGCGTGCCACCACACCCGACTAATTTTTGTATTTTTAGTAGAGACGGTGTTTCACTGTGTTGGCCAGGCTAATCTTGAACTCCTGACCTCAAATGATCCACCTGCCTAGGTCTCCCAAAGTGCTGGGATTACAGGCTTGAGCCACCGCGCCTGACCTAAAGTGCATTTTAGAAGCAGTAGAAGGAACTGGTGTGTATGAAAGATACAGAAGATACATTTTGAGAATGAGAAGAATGTTGATATGGTTTGGCTGTGTCCCCATCCAAATTTCATCTTGCATTATAGCTTTCATAATCCCCATGTGCCATGGGAGGGACCTGGTGGGAGGTAACTGAATCATGGGGGTGGGTCTCTTCCATACTGTTCTCGTGATAGTGAATAAGTCTCATGAGATCTGATGGTTTTAAAAAGAGGAGTTCCCCTGCCCCCTGTACACATTCTCTTGCCTGCCACCATGTAAGATGTGCCTTTCTCCTCTTTCGCGTTTTGCCATGATTGAGGCTTCCCCAACCATGTGGAACTGTGAGTCCATTAAACCCATCTTTCTTTATAAATTACTCAGTTCTTGGGTATGTCTTTATTAGCAGCATGAGAACAGACTAATACAAACATATAATGTTCTTTCAGTCCCCAAAATTCATCTCATCATTGTACATCATTGTACTAAAATCTGGGTTTGCATGGTGCCAAGGAAGGAAAGCTATTGGAAATCAGAAGATTAACAAAATGTGATTACAAAAACCTAAAAATTTTCAGTCAAACAAAACATTTCAGATCTCAAAATGGATTTCTGGCCTGAAATTTCCAGGTTAATAGTTCTGTATTTGTTTAATAAATCAAGTAACTCCTGAATTACCACTTCACTTAGGGTGTATAATAGTGTCTAAACATTAATTAAACTTGTAAAAGATGCAATATTATTCCTTTTAAAGTAAACTAACAATTGGGAGAAAACATTACTAAAGCATTTTGATGATACCAGCAAAATTCTCTCTCTACTCCAGTGTCTCTATCCCCACCATTTCCAGGGAAGCCCAAGCCACTGTCCTCTCACTAGGGTGACTGCCAAGCCTCCTAACCTCCTCCCTACCCCTGTTACAATTCTCCACCCAACCGCCAGAGTGAGCTTTGAAAAATATAAATCAGTGTATATCAAGACCCTGCTTAAAATCTGCCAAATGGCTTAACACTGCACATAACAGCAAATCTAAACCTCTGATCTTGACCTGTAGTGGCCCTGCATAACTTGGACCCAGCCTATCTCTCTAACTTCATGTCATCTACACACTCCAGCCACTGAGCATTCTTCTCAAACACCCCACAGTCTTCCCACCTCTGGGCCCTTGCACTCGATTTTCCCACTGCCTAGAATGCCCTCCCTTCCTCCTGATCTTGACAGGGCTAACTCTTTTTTGTTAATTAGATCTCAGCTTCAATATTGACTCCTCATCACATCACTCTATTTTACTTCTTTCATAGTACATATCCCTAGATAATATTTTATTATTTTCAATTGCCCACCCTTTGGTAGTAATAGCTAACATTTATTGAGCATCAGGCATTATTCTAAGGGCTTTACATATATTAACTATCCTTTAGTCCCCATAACAACCTATTAAAGCAGGTATTATTATTATTAGATTATATGGTCATTTAACTGATGCGGAAATTGAGGTACAAACAAGCTAAGTTACCTCCCCACAGGCACAAAGCTAGTGAGTAAAGAAGCCTGAATTTAGACCTGGCTCTAAAGACTGTTTAATTATTATGCCATATGCCAATAGAAAAAGTTCCAAGAGCCTTTCTGTCTTGATCATCAGAGTATCTCCAGTGGGCAGAACGGTGCTCAATAAATGAGTAACTTTAATGTTGGCAATAACTTGTGTTAAATATTTTTATCATGCAGTCATAAAACACTATGACAGTAATGTTTCATTAAGAGAAATCTCGTTATGATTCAAATCATATTTTCTTTAAATAGATCTAATTTCTTTAATATAGAAAGCCTGGTCCTGTGATCACATTTATTCTGTTATTAACAGAATTCGTCTGTTTTAATAACTCTTAGCTTATAAGGTTCTCATTTCTCCAGTAAGATAAATTATCACTTACAAATGTACCATTCTCATGTAAAGAGGGTTAACAAATAAATTACATAAAACCATGCAAGGGTATGAGAGATGTCAATAAAATTCCTTAATTTTACATTAAATCTGGGATTTCAAAAATTGTCTATGGATTCTGACACACATGCACATATATAAGGCTTCACCTTAAAGACAGGTTCAGCTGTGGTCAGGTATCAAGATCTAAATGTACAGTTTTTTGGTATTAAATAACCTGATCTTAGGTTGCTTCTCATCAGAATCTCTTAACTGAAATACAAAACAAAACCTTTCCTGACATCTATCATAGTTGCTCCTGTTAATTTAGTTCTTCGATTAAATGCTATATTAGCCTTTAGTGTTATTATTGATGGTGGTATTTAGTTTTCTTTTTTTTTTTTGGAGACAGAGTCTCTGTCACCCAGGCTGGGGTGCAGTGGCACAATCTCAGCTTACTGCAGCCTCAGCCTCCCTGGCTCAAGCAATCCTCCCACCTCAGTCTCCCAAGTAGCTGGGACTACAGGCACGCACCACCCCCAGCTAATTTTTGTATTTTCTGTAGAGACGGGGTTTCGCCATGTTGCTGAGGCTGGTCTCCAACTGCTGGGCTCAAGCAAACTGCCCGCCTCAGCCTCCCAAAGTGCTAGGATTACAAATGTGAGCCACCGCACCCAGCCGGAATTTAGTTTTCTGATGTGATGATTACTAAATCTCTCCTGTAAGAAAACCTGCCCTTTCAGGCCTTAATTTAGAATCACAGACATCAAAAACTTTATGATATACCTTGGGGAAAAACTAGCCCAATTAACTCAGTTCACGCTTAAAGAAACTAAGACCTACAGAAGTTAGTGACCTGCTCAAGAACTCAGAGGCACATCTGAAATTCAAAAGAGAGGCTCCTCAATTCCCAGCCAACTCCTATTTCCAATACACTGTCAACGATGCTATGAATGTTTAATTACCACTCTACATGCTTGAGTCATGGAAGAAATGTTTTCCTGATAAACCAAATCAATTCAGCACAATTTTATTGAGCAACTGCTGTTTTATCAGTGTTGAACTCAATTCTTCTTTGGGAGGCAAGACCCAATTCAAAAGTTTCAACCACCTACTGGATTAAAGAGGTTATGTGAGGTTTTATTAACCCTTCAAAGAGTATCTGTGGCACCTGCCAATTTCTAAGGTTAGAGAACAACTTTAACTTTCTTTGTTAACTGCTCTGAGGGCCAAACTCTTTCCTTTTTGGAATCTTTTAGGTCAGTTCTCTACTATATCTTTTGAGACTGAGTCTCACTCTGTCACCCAGGCTGGAGTGCAATTACGCAATCTTGGCTCACTGCAACCTCCACCTCCCGGGTTCAAGCAATTCTCCTGCCTCAGCCTCCCAAGTAGCTGGGACTACAGGCGTGCGCCACCACACCCAGCTAATTGTTGTATTTATAGTAGATACGAGGTTTCACCATTTTGGCCAGAATGGTCTCAATCTCTTGACCTTGTGATCCACCCACCTCGGCCTCTCAAAGTGCTGGAATTACAAGCATGAGCCACCGCGCCCAGCCTCTACCATATCTTTAAGCCACACTGAGAATGTACTGTTTTCCTAAGGTGTAGTTTGGGAGCTTACAAGTTTGTTTTCTTTAATGATGAGTACCATAACGCTATTATCAGACTTTTTCCTCTTTTCCAAACCTGTTTTTATTTCCTTTGTAGTTTTTATTTAGAAAAGGTTCTTCTTAATTATGTACGGATTTATTGTGACCACATCAATGGGTTTATTTATTGATTTTTCATGAATCACTGCTCTCCTTGGCACAGGTCAGGGTGTGTTTGTAACCATCATTATATGTGTTATTTTTATTCCATCAACTATAGCATTGTTACTAATTACCACAGAGAGCTGGAACGGTGACCGTTTTGGGTACAGCGCGAGATGGCGATAAGCTTTAGATACAAAAGCACAGGGCTCCTCCTAGTCTCCCATGCTTCGCTGCATAGTTATGGGTTGATCACTTAAGGTCACAGTCTCTCTGGAAAATACATGGCATGTTTCTACTTAAAAAAAAATCCTCTGAGATATTTAGGAACAATGTTGCCTGTGCAGCATTTTATTTTTATTTACATTACTTTCATGGATTTGAAATTCATTAATTTATTGAGTCATATAAAAAAATTTAGGCAGTATAGTCAAATGGGGTCCTAGATTTGCCTCAGACCAAGTTACTTAAATTCTGACCCAGTTCCAGAAAATACGCCTTCCTGTTTGCATTTCAGGAAAACAAAAAAGAAGTCTGAAAATGACTGAACTATTTGAAACAAAGTGTTGTCCACAAATGACTTTGAACAATTCAAATTAAAGTTCTGTCATTTGCATTTTATCATATAAGATATTTTAATTAGAAAAAAGCTTTTTACTTGTTTAGTTATCTCTTTTTTTTTGTTTTCGTTTTTGGTTTTTTTTTGAGATGCAGTCTCGCTCTGTTGCTAGGCTAGAGTGCAGTGGCATGATCTCAGCTCACTGCAACCTCCGCCTCCCGGGTTCAAGTGATTCTCCTGCATCAACTTCCTGAGTAGCTGGGATTACAGACATGTGCCACCACGCCTGGCTAATTTTGTATTTTTAGTAGAGATGGGGTTTTACCATGTTGGCCAGGATGGTCTCTATCTCCTGACCTCGTGATCCATCCACCTCTGCCTCCCAAAGTCCTGGGATTACAGGCGTGAGCCACCGCACCAGCCTAGTTATCTATTTTCTAAGATTTCCCCTTATAACTATTTCTGCATGTTAACAAACCTAAGAGCTAATTTAAAATAATCATGCAGGCCGGGCGCAGTGGCTCATGCCTGTAATCCCAGCACTTTGGGAGGCCGAGGCGGGTAGATCACCTGAGGTCAGGAGTTTGAGACCAGCCTGGCCAACATGGTGAAACCCCGTCTCTACTAATAATTTTTGTATTAGTTAGCCAGGCATCGTGGCAGGTGCCTATAATCCCAGCTACCTAGAAAGGCTGAGTTAGGGGAATCGCTTGAACCTGGGAGGGGGAGGTTGCAGTGAGCTGAGATCATGCCACTACACTCCAGCCTGGGCAATAAGAGAAAACTCTGTCTCAAAAAATTAATAAAATAATAATAATAATCATGCAGTTCCTCTGTCCCCTTTCTATCAACAGTGATCAGTTAATGTTTCCTGAGAAATCAATGCTTAATGAAGTAATCAAATAATATTAAGACATAGGGATGTCAGTGATCCTATTTTTCCTGAAAAAAGTATGAACTTGGCTAATATTTATTAATATCACAAATAATAGACCTGTCAAGACTATTTATATGTATATTCATTATCAATATAATGAGTAGGTGGATTCATGCATATGGGGATGTATATGCTGAAGCAGAGCAACAACGTTGTTTGATTTTGTCAGAGTTGCTGGCATATTCCGTAACATATTGCATAGTGAGACCATACATGCATTTACGAAATATGAAATAAAGGTAAACAGAAATTGTCTTAGTCTCCTATAGAATCTTACTTCTAGATCTATTAGCCAATTTCTAATAATAGTCACAGCATAAGAACCCTGAAGCATGCAGCACTGATTCCTGGGTAGACTTTTCTACTGAATGCTAGTACTTCCCACGACATTATGCATGCTGAGCATCGGAGTAGGAGTTAGAGATAGAAAGGGATTAGAAGGCCAGGCCCTGGGCCAATGGGAGTCTTCAATCTAGCAGGAGCTCTGGAGAGATAGCAAAGGATTAGAAGACTAGGCCCCTGACTTAGGGGAGCTTTCAGTCTAGCTGGGAAAAGACAAGATCCTCCATATCCTTGTCACATCTTAAGAAACATGAAGCCACACACATCAAACATACGTAATTTTTAAAAGTTGAAAACGTAATTGTTGAAGCAATTCGGAGTGAAAGTATAATCTGAGCTGAATGGGATTGTTGTTTTTTTTTAATTTCCTAATGCAGATGGCTTTAAGTTGGTTACGGATGTGAATTATTATAATAGAGCAAAGGAACAAAAGAGATCTCCTTTCCTAAAATCCTGAGCATTCTTTGCATGTTTTTGGCATCTACATGGGCTAGTACTATAATGTAACCATCACATTTGCTTTATGTTGTATCCTAAATGAGACTGAAAGCTTCTTGAAGGCAGAGACTATATCTTCTATTTCTTTTTTTACTTCTCACCTGCATAAGCACATTTTAAGTACATGCCAAATATTTGTTGAGCTGACTTGAAATGACTGAAATGAATGAAAGAAAAGCATTCCAAACAGGAAGGAATGCCAGGGACTACTAATGTATTAGATGACATTATTAAAATCTAAAATGTTCTAGACAGGCAGAAATTATTACCTGAATTAAATAAGGTAAAACCTAACAGGGATAACTGTAAAGTATCATATTTGGATCTACAAAAAAACAGCTCTAAAAGTAAATAATTGGAGAAATGCAGATTGACAGAAGTGGCAAATAAGAGAAAACAGTGTAATATGGTCACCAAAAGAACAAAGGCCACTAAAGCCTGCACTACCAGAGCCTGAGAAGAGAGGAATAGTTTGGTTCTGGGTACGAGGCGTTAAGATGGACACTAATGAACTGTGTCAGAGACCACTGACCAGACCAGTAGGATGACCTGCAACCATACTATACAGAAAGCGTCAAAAAAAACAGGCAGAGGTGGGGCATACAGGAAAAATTCAGCCTGAAAAAGATAAGACTATGAGAAATGATAGCTGTCAAAACCCTATCTTTTGCTTTGTTGTAGAGGAATAGCTGTGCTTCAGTTTACAGATTAGTTAACATAATTTCTATCATTTTCTCAGAAAAGAGCTTTGACACTTTATTACATGATGGCTATAATTAATGTCAGACTCTAAAGTGGAAATCAAAAATTCTATTTGATCATTTGGTTTCAAGCTGGACCTAAAATATGTTTTGGCATTGTTACTAACTGTTAGCAGCAAGTTCTGGAAACAGATACAGTCTTGATATGTGTTCTAAATATGAAACATATTGCAAAAAGACTTGGAGATAAAAATATATACTGCTTATGCACACTCTTACTGTGCTATTTCCTGTCCTTATCAGCAATGAAAGTTTCTCTTGTTTTGCCCTTTCTTTGTTGTTCCAGGTGAACAAAATCTTTTTTCTTCCTTTTTTTCTCCTACATATCTATCTTCCTCTTTTTTTTAAAATCTTCTTTCCCACTAATACTTGTTTCATTAAACATTCTTAAGCACCTACCATGTGCCAAAAACTGTGCTAGGTTATAAGGATTCAAGAATATGCAAAACATAGCCACTGTCCTTAAGAAGCTTATAAAAGGAGAATGGCATGCAATTAAATTTTTATGCTAAAGGACAATATGGGCTGGGCATGAGGCCTCACACCTGTAATCCCAGCACTTTGGGAGGCCGAGGCGGGTGGATCAACTGAGGTCAGGAGTTCGCAGCCTGGCCAACATAGAGAAATCCGTCTCTACTAACACTACAAAAATTAGCTGGGTGTGGTGGCTCATGCCTGCAATCCCAGCTACTCGGGAGGGTAAGGCAAGAGAATCTTTTGAACCTGGGAGGCAGAGGCTGTAGTGAGCCGAGATCACACCACTGCACTCCAGCCTGGGCAACAGAGTGAGACTCTGTCTCAAAAAAAAAAGAAAGATATGTACACATTAGAGGTGTGTCCAAAGTACAGAAATGACATACAAATGGGTGTAGATGAGACAGCGATTCACTTTGAAGAAAGTGGTGTTTGGGAAAGGCATGCCCAAGAGGGAACAACAGGGCCCTGCCCCCCAGTGCAAAGAAATGGGCTGACATGGAAGTGGGAAATAGCACAGCACACTTAAGGAATGCCAGGCATTTTTAAGAGAAAAGGCCCCCCTTTACCTAGGAGAGTCAAATATTTTGGGAGACAACTAAGCAGTCACATAACTGTATTGTTATTTTAACTTGGTATGTTCCGTATTTGAATTGGTATGCATGACCACCAAACAGTAGATGTTCAGGAATTTATCTATGGGCAAGATTAGGAAAAAAATATTTAATTTAAAAATGCACCCAAGATACAGAAAACCATTTGGTGACAATTGCTATGATAGAAAACATGCTTCTCCAGGAAGAAATGTGTGAAATGCTTTCTAATAGGAACGACCACTGACAAAGTCAGCAACAAAAGGAAAATGGAAGATAAGATAGTATCCTCAGGTTCAGGTAGAGCACCTTTGATGATTTTAAAAATATAATAGCATCCGGTCGGGTGCAGTGGCTCACACCTGTAATCCCAGCACTTTGGGAGGCCAAGGCAGGTGGATCACCTGAGGTCAGGAGTTCGAGACCACTCTGGCCAACATGGTGGAACCCCATCACTACTAAAAATACAAAAAAATAGCCAGATGTGGTGGTGGGTGCCTGTAATCCCAGTCTGTAATCGGGAGGGTGAGGCAAGAGAATTGCTTGAATCTGGGAGGCAGAGGTTGCCATGAGCCGAGATCATGCCATTGCACTCCAGCAGGGGCAACAAGAGCGAACTCCATCTCAAATATATACACACACACACACACACACACACACACACACACACACACACACACATATATATATATATATAATAGCATCCTTCCAATGGAATGCAATTCGGGGTAGAATGAAATGCATTAATAAGCCATGAAAAGACATGGAGGAACTTAAATGCATATTACCAAGTGAAAGAAGCCAGTCTGCAAAAGCTACTTACTTATTGTATGATTCCAACTATATAACACTGGAAAAGGCAAAACTATAGAGACAGTTAAAAAAAAAGAATCTGTGGTTGCCAGGGGCTCAGGAAAAGAGAAGGGAAAGAGAGATGAACAGGTGGTGTACAGGGGATTTTTAGGGTAATGAAACTACTCCTTATGATTCTGTAATGGTGGACACATGGCATTATGATAAAACCCATAGAACTGCACAACACAAAGAGTGAGCCCTGTGTAAACTATGGACGTTATTTCATAACAATGTATCAATATTGGTTCATCAATTACATCAAACATCACACAAATGCAAGATGTAAATAACAGGAGAAAGTGGGAGATGGTAGGAGGAGAATATAAGAAACTATACATTCTGCTCCATTTTTCTGTAAACTTAAAATCTCTCAAAAGAATAAAGTATTAATTTTAAGACATATACATAAAAGTAATAATGTCGCATGCATTTCTACTCTTTAGAAGATAATTATGCGACCTCCTTTTTCCACTAGCATTTATCTGGTAAGGCAAACTTTACTAAAAGTCCTAAGAACATCAAATCCCTAAACAGATAGCACCTTACTCCTTGCAGAGCCTCTGAGATATATGATTCAGCGATTTCTAGTAATTCATTAACATAGGACCACTGAGGCACAATAAATTAACTGTATCTGAGAATGATACAAAGACTCTTTAGTGACAATGAAATGAAAACTCAGGTGTCCTAAGTTAAACTGCGCCCCCTCTTCTCAGACCCCAGTGCACTGCAGAAGCCACTGTATCTATCGTTAGAAAATTAATACTTTGGGTGAAATGAGGTTCATACACTCAAGTTTTCTTTGATGGAAAGGAGATTTCAGCAAATCCTCAATAAAATATATAACCATGTGTTTGCCATCCCTGCAAAAGCATGATTCCTTTCATTACTAAATCTTTTCCCTATGTGTGGGTGGTTGTACATGTGTCAGAAATAAATCCCCACAAAAACAACTGAGAAAAACCATGTAAAAAATCAGAGTCAAACCATGTACACAGGTTTCATTCTGAGCTTTAGTATCTCAGTGTAGCTACAAATAACAGTAATTAATCATACAACCAAGCTTAGTAAACTTTGTGAGCTGGACCAACTATTATCTCCAACTGATCTAGTAGGAATGAAAACCACTTCTTTGGGCCTCAGCAGGAGTAAATCAAAAATTAGAGTAAACGGAGGTCCAGGTAAGATTAGAACACCATCTGCTATGTCAAAAGATAGGCTATTTTTAGGGAAAGCAAGATGAATTTCAACTTATGGAATGCAAAAGTAATCCATCCAATCAGTGGCGATATAATGAAGAATACGGAACATTCAATTTTTGACACAGGGCTTGCCTTTGTTTAGGGTCCATAAAATTTAATAACTTCCCCACTCTGTGGCTTTAAACGGAGAACTTCTTCAAAATAAGAGTTACTCCTATTAAACTTAATTATTTGCCTGTGGCTGCTGTGGCAGAGTATGTCTACCAAACAGGTGGCTCTTAAGAAAGGAATGGTTCTGTAGTAAAAAGTAGATGCTCTAGTGTTTTATTATGGTTGCTTTAACTTTCTGGTTTATTAGTATTAATTGCTGAAGTTTTCCTTTTAACCTTTCTTAAGGCATTCCTCCCTCCTGTGAGTTAAGAGCTGCTCTGCTAAAATAAATGTTCACATATAATTGGCACATTACGAAGCTGCTGGTTTCAAGAACTTGACTCGGTGGACTTGATAGAGACTGGGTTATAAGGGACATTTTAGAATGAACAACCTCAAACTCTACTGGGTTTGAATCCTCCTGACAGACCTTGAGTACTCAAATGGGGTGGGGTTTTTCCACTGGCAATTTCTAGATTTTGTAGTAGTGATAAAATAATTTTTAATAATTGTATTATTAAACTAATGCTTATTCTCCTGACCTTGGAATATTATAGTTTAGCCACCGAAAGTCATAAAACTGGAGACATCTTCAATAGTCCTGTGCAGTTGAGTAAGTGAAAAGTGTTAATATTTACATATTTTGAAATAAGAGATTCAAGACTACTTTCCTAAGCAGAAGAAAAAAATAACCTTACAGAAAGATTAACTCTGTCCTATGTTAACAACAACAACAAACAAAAACCCCATAAATGCAGAGAAGAATCTTCCATACAATCTATAGTGGCAAGCAGGGAGAGGTGGCTCATGTCTGTAATCCCAGCACTTTGGGAGGCCAAGGCAAGAGGATCACTTGAGACCAGGAGTTCGAGACCAGCCCAGGCAACATAGTGAGATCCTGTCCCTATGAAAAATATTGGCCTGGCAAGGTGGTGCAGGCCTTTAGTCCCAGCTACTCAGGAGGCTGAGATGGGGGAATTGTTTAAGCTCAGGAATTCAAGGCTGCAGTGAGCTATGATCACGCCTCTGCATCCCATCCTGAGCAATAGAGCAAGACCCTGTCTCTTAAAAAAAAAAATCTATAGTGACCTCTTTCAGAGTAACTGAGGCAGCCAACATCTATGAATAAGATGCATCTTACCTGTGCATCTTTAACTAACATATCCTAAGTCTCTAAGAAACCTCCAGAAAGCATCAGAAAGGTATAAATCCCTTCTACTTCATTATGCCAAAGAGTGGTACAGACTTAGGTTAATCTAAGCTACTTCACTCAAATGAGTGGGATAGTGGAGGAGTTATTTGCAGTGAAAAAAAAAACCTGTGTAAGCTCTCTAGGAGACTCATACTCTGACCCAAACAATCAGCCTCAATAAAGAGTTGTGCTTCTTTCCATAGTAGGATAATTGTATAAAATACATTTTGAAAGTCAGCAATTATTTATTTACATAGTATTTTGTAATGACTTCCAGAAATGTAATTATAATCTTTGTGTCAAGCCTCACAAGTGCTTTGAAGATCAAAACTGCCATGGGTGATACGATTGCAATTATAAAGACATGCAGTGGTTCGGGTCATATAAGGCTTGCCTTGTCACACCTTACCCTTGACTAGAATCAATGAGAAATAACTTTGGCCACCTCTGTGTACTGAATAATCTTTTAGAAACATGTAGGATGAAGTGAGATAATGTATAAAATCACCTGGGGATAGGAGTGCTACTTAAATACAGATTATTATATGATGAGGCCATATGTATCAATGTAAGTATGGTAGGAAAGGAGGTGTCTTCTGCACTGTAACATCACTAGACTGGTTTCTGAGACTAGTGCTGACTTTTATAATTCAACTGAATATGATTCAAACTCATTACCATAACATACACCTGTTAGTCAATTACATGGCAATAACTTCTCATTCAATTACAAACTTATATGTGCTCTTGTTGTTCCATTACAATATTTAAGGCTACCCAATGTTAAGGAAATATTTCCTGAATCATTGTATTGTACCTCTGAACTTGAAGACGTCTAGTATTATATCTTTCTCTGCAGTAAAGTAAGGATTGTAGGTAACATACCTTTATCATTTTATCTTATTTTGTTTATACCTTCCTTCCAAAAATGGTCTGAGGAAAACTACAAGACTATCTAATATAATATCACTGTGATTATTGTCATTTATTAACTTCTAGAATTGTTGCCATGCTTGAAAATTACTCAGAAGAAAGGATACTAATAAAGAAAGGTGAAATATTGGATTCTCTGAAGGTCTTTAGGTAGATTAAATCATGGTCTTTCTTTGGAATGGTCTTTTAGGAGAAAATGGAATTTCTTTTGGAACAGTTCTTTCTGGTGGATCTTTCTGGTTGTTTCTATTCCTATGATCCCTTGGAACACAGCATTAGCATGCCTAGTTAATTTAAGTGTAACTCAGCACTTTCTATTGTCTGACATAATTGAATCGTTATTTTCTCTTAATGCTTTATTGACTTTTTTGTGAATGGTTCCCAATTGCTTTTTGCTCTGTAAATATTCATTTTAAATCTACGAATAATAATAATAATGGGAAACATTTGAGGAGTTCTATGTGCTAGGTACTGCATTAAGTGCTTTATGAATGCCATGTGGGTATTAACTTATTTAGATAATCTAAGGGCTTTGTTTTAAATATGCCCTGCGGTGATCTATTTTCTGAAGGAAAAGTCCCCTTTAAAAGTTTAGATTTTTATCTAATCTAATTTGACTCACTTAACAAGACTTGCCTGTAAATTACATATGGATATAGAATTTTTACAAAACAATTTTAGCTTCATAATATCAGCTACAATCTATTTGGCACATATCATGTGCCAGGCCAGTTCTAAACACTTTATATGAAGTATCTCACTTAATCCTCACACCAACCCTGAAGATGAATATTGTATGCCTATTTTACAAATAATAAAACTAAGTTTCAGAGAAGTAAGAAGTTGCCTGATATATGTATGAGCTGGGATAAAAACCTGGGTCCGAACATCCAATCCTACTGTGAAGTGAAGAATTTTATTCTTTCTCACCCAAAATCATATGAGAATATTTTGTGTATCCCTTTAGATATGGAGATGAAAATTGATCAATGCACACAAAAACATAAACTGTTCTGGAAAGCATTTCAAAAAGAGACCACAGGACTGCCTGTAAACAGGGATAGAGGTTAGTATTTTTAGCTGTCCGCGTTATGTGGAAACAGCATTATTTGGCACAGAGCATTATGAAGACTAAAGGCACAGGAATGGACTCAATCCAAAGGACTTTATTTACTAAAGCACACAAACAAAAAAAAAAAAAACCCAAATTAAAAAACCCCTCATGCTTAAGTCTCACATGTAGGAGCCTCTAGGTCATGGACTTAGACATTGGGTTTAGATGTTGAGAGGAATCATAAGATATAAATTGTCTAACTTGGTACCTGGGAACCTATGAGACAGGCTCCCCCAAGAAGGCTCCCAGGACTAGTCCCCAGGGAATTAGAAATGGTGCACACTCCGATGACATGGTCCTTGAGTCCACCAGGCAGTGCTTGGGTGTGCAGGCACAGCCCCGCAGCCCAGGGCAAGGTCAGGTGAGTCACGGCTCCTCCAGTTCCCTGACAGTCCATGTCTAGTTGTTTCTTCCTGTTTCCCTACCTACATGCTGACAAGAGGGATTTTCTGTTCTCTTTACTGTTTATACAGAACCTCC